>NC_000017.11:80540901-80841311 GCF_000001405.40 Homo sapiens | reverse complement strand
GAGCTGCCGTGCTGTGAGAGTGAGCTGCCGTGCGGTGAGAGTGAGCTGCGGTGCGGTGAGAGTGAGCTGCCGTGCGGTGAGAGTGAGCTGCCGTGCGGTGAGAGTGAGCTGCCGTGCGGTGAGTGTGAGCTGCCGTGCGGTGAGAGTGAGCTGCCGTGCGGTGAGAGTGAGCTGCCGTGCGGTGAGTGTGAGCTGCGGTGCAGAGAGAGTGAGCTGCCGTGTGGTGAGAGTGAGTTGCCGTGTGGTGAATGTGAGCTGCCGTGCGGTGAGTGTGAGCTGCGGTGCAGAGAGAGTGAGCTGCCGTGTGGTGAGAGTGAGTTGCCGTGTGGTGAATGTGAGCTGCCGTGCGGTGAGTGTGAGCTGCGGTGCAGAGAGAGTGAGCTGCCGTGTGGTGAGAGTGAGCTGCCGTGTGGTGAGTGTGAGCTGCCGTGTGGTGAGAGTGAGCTGCCGTGTGGTGAGTGTGAGCTGCCGTGCGGTGAGTGTGAGCTGCGGCGTGGTGAGAGTGAGCTGCCGTGCGGTGAGTGTGAGCTGCGGTGTGGTGAGAGCTGCCGTGTGGTGAGAGTGAGCTGCCGTGCGGTGAGAGTGAGCTGCCGTGTGGTGTGAGCTGCCGTGTGGTGAGAGTGAGCTGCCGTGTGGTGAGAGTGAGCTGTGGTGTGGTGAGAGTGAGCTGCCGTGCGGTGAGAGTGAGCTGTGGTGTGGTGAGAGTGAGCTGCCGTGCGGTGAATGTGAGCTGCCGTGCGGTGTGAGCTGCCGTGCGGTGAGAGTGAGCTGCCGTGCGGTGAGTGTGAGCTGCCGTGGTGTGAGCTGCCGTGTGGTGAGAGTGAGCTGCCGTGCGGTGAGCGTGAGCTGCGGTGCAAAGAGAGTGAGCTGCCGTGTGGTGAGAGTGAGCTGCCATGCGGTGAATGTGAGCTGCCATGCAGTGAGAGTGAGCTGCCGTGTGGTGAGAGTGAGCTGCCGTGTGGTGAGTGTGAGCTGCCGTGCGGTGAGAGTGAGCTGCCGTGCGGTGAGTGTGAGCTGCGGTGCAGAGAGAGTGAGCTTACTCAAACAATGCTGAGTGACAGCGGGCAGGCACAAAGACTACACCCTGCGTGACTCCACGCATCCAAGCACAAAACTGGGCAGGAAAGCGGCCACTGCTGGGGAAGGGAGGAGCTAAGAGGGGCGCCGAGGGGGCTCATGGGGCTGCTTGATTTGGGTGTGATTACACGAGTATGTGCAGCTTGAAACATTCACCAAGCTGTATGTGTATGATGTGTACACTTTTCTATATGTAAGTTACACCTCCAATAAGATTAAAAACAAAAGGAACCTAGTGTGTGGTCCACGTCAGTTATCCCCGGCTTGTCCTGACACCCCAACATGGTGAAATCATTCCCAAATGCAGAATATTGATTCTAGTTGTTTAGCATAGATAGAGTAAAATCCTTGAAAAGAAACTTGGCAAAGATACCTGGCACAGAAACCTAAGTATTCGTTTAGAAAGAGCACACATGCAAATAGAAACTGCATTATTTTATATAAGAGCAGATTATTCTGATCTCTTAAAAGTACCGAGTGAAGCCACGCTCAGAGTACAGAAAGGCCAGTTTCCCGAAGGTTTCCAAATATCTGTTTGCGGCAACAGGCCCAGAGCTCTTCGGAAAAGCGCAGGCACTCTGAAAGCAGCTCTGGCAGGCTGAGGGTGGACAGCTGGCGTCTGTGAAGGTTTGCCACTCTGCAGGAGACCCTGTCATTGCCCCCCAAGGTTTGTGGTCCAGCAGGAAGGGAGGGAAGGCCTTTGTCTAGAAGCCCAGTGTTGATGCCAAGCACATGACGGGGAGCTGGCTTCCGCCTCACGGTGTAAAATGCGGGGCGGTCTGCAATGCCCTTGAAAATACCCCATGAATACAAAGATGGGGTAGAAGTAAGTGGTGGGCATGGGGTGCTCACTGTAAATTTCTTCCAACTTTGCTGTAGGTTTGAAAATTTTCACAATCAAATGTTACCAAAAAAATCAAGCAATAATGGGAGGGTAACAGAAGATTATAAAAAAGAAAGCCCTCTTAAAAGGCCGTTTTCCCAGTCATCCCACCCGTGGGACATGTCAAAATCATCTGAGGAGTTAAAACACCCCACACAGGCACATCACACACACCTCATGCACACCCACTCACGCGTACACACGCACGCACGCAGGCACACCCAGGCTCCCGACTGCATGTGTTAAAAGCTTCCCTGACGGCTGTGGTGTGCACTGAAAGTTAAAAGTCTGTGCAGTGGACGGAACCTTCCTGACCATCGGTGCCCCTGCCCTGGGCTGGAGGGTGGCATCCTCACATCAGTGACAGCTGGCTCTGGGGCAGTGCCTGCACATGAATTCCCAAGGGCCCTGTGCTGGGCTCTGTCCAAAGCACTTTTCTTACATTAACTCCCTTTGTCCTTCCAGCACCCCTGGGGTTGGATACCACCATAATCCCTCCCTTAAATGAGGAGACGACCAAACTTGCCCTCGGTGGCAAAGCTAGGCTCTGTGGCTCTGGAGCCTGACACGGTGGTGTCTCAGGTGTGGCCCCAACGGGAGGCGGGGATGCTGGTCCCCTCCTGCCTCTGCCCAGGCTGCCGCCTCCCCCATCCCTGGCCTCCCCGTGTCTGCCGCGCCCTCTTGCCGATTGCTCCCTTGCATTCTGCACAGATGTGAGAGGCTCCTCTTTCCTCACGGGTTTCTGGAGGGCAGGGCCTCCGTCTTATTTATCTATTTTCAGACTTGGCGCCTCACGTAAGGCAAAAGCTCATTAAGAAACCACGAGGGGGTCCTAGGGAGCTGCCGCGAAGGCCCGGGGCCACCCTCACTTGCAGGTGCGGCGACTAAACCCAGGTTCCGCCGTAGGGTGGCTCAGCTCTCCAGCGCCCGTGCAGTGCGGCCGGGGGCAGAACGCCCTCCAGGGTTCAGCACCAAACCCCCCGTGGGTCACTGTCCCACAGGGCTGAGAGTCAGAGGCCTGGGGGAGATCCACAACGCGTCTGTGGTGAAAAGGCTAGAAAGTGTAACAGGATCACCACTCACAGGGAGTGAGTCCGCATTAAGAAAAGTAGATCTGTAATAGCAAAATTTTGAGATAGGACTGTTTTAAAAGTTGATTCTTTCAAAGTTTAACTTTAAACCCTGGTTGACTCGATGTTTTAAACTCTGGCAACTACATTTTTTCCAGGCAGGTGAACAAAATCTGACACCCGAGAGTCCTGGGCACCACCCCCAGTCTGGGGGCTTTGCAGTCCAGGTGCCCAGAGAAGTGGCTGCCGCCGCGGATGCACAGGGTGCCCTTGGAGGGACTCACCCGAAACGCAGTGCCTTCCTCGATGATCGTCGGCAGCTGAGACAGACAGATGTCAACAGCCAGGTCCCAGGCTTGCCTGCGGAGAGAACAGAGGAAATCCACTGAGCATTATGGACGGGCTTCCACACGAGGCCACTTCACAGGGCACAGGAGGAGCCGGCTGAGCCTGGGCAGCAAGGGTCTGGGCGGAGGCCACGGCAGCTGGTGGGGGGCATGTTTACGGTTTCACTGCTGTTCAGATTTGGGCTGCAGAAGACGTCCGAGGGGAGGCCAGGAGAGAGTGCAGGCCGGGAACGCTGGCGCTGCCAGCATCCTCACCATTTTGTCACATTTTTTCTCTTTAAAATAAAATAAGAAAAAAAGCCTGGAAAAATAAAGGAATGCTTCCCATTTTCTGCTGTGGCTTCTGACTGTGACTTGAACCCATGTACTGGCAGCCCACGTGTTCTAAGCAGCTGTGGTCCCTGCGCAGGCTCTGATGGGGCAGCGTCCTGGAGGGACGCGGGAGAGACACCAGGGCCAGGCCCAAAGTGCCTCATCAGGAGGGGTCGGCATGCAGTCAGGGAAAGGAGTCCTGGCGGTCAGGGCTGAGCTCTGCGCTGTGATGGTGCCGTCAGGCCCCTCCCTGTCCCTCCCTTGCCTCCCCCCTGCTGCTCCCTGGTGTGGACAGCCACCTGCTCAGTCAGTTCCTGCTGCCTCCCTGTGGGTCTCACCAGGCACCCTGCAGTCTGGGGTCTCCTACCATGCATAGAGCTGCTCCCCCCAAGCCACAGTGGCTCCACAGATGACCCCGGTGATGTGCTTCCCCTGTCGAGACCCCTTGTCACAGTAACCGACCACACTGTCCCTCTTGAGTTCTCCCCCTTGGACATTATGAGGCTTTCTCCTCCGGCCTCCTTCCCGTCACGGTGAACGTGAGACAGCCTCCTCCCCGGGCTCCCGACCCCGTCCTTCAGGGCCGCACTGCTGCAGCTTCCACAGCCCTTTCCCTGCCTGCTCTCATCCTTGCTCAGGGCGCCCAATGCCACCTGCTCACCGACACCCCCAGACGCTATTTAAAATAGCCTCACACCTCTCCCCAGAGCTCCACACCCCAATTCTACTGTAGGAACAGCCGGCAGTCTGAATTGGACCTCACACCTCCAGGCCAGTTCCTGGGATTCCCAGGTGTAGGCAACAGCCTTATGGGGCACCCCCAGCCACCATCGCCACTTTCCTGACATGGCCTTGTCAGAGCCTCGGTGTTGTCCTAACAGCCCCCTCCCAATGGGCCCCTCTGCCGGCACCTCCCTCCAGGCCAGCTGCCCTGTGAGCTTTCTCGGAGGCTCTAACACAGCCCCCCTAAGCCTTTCTGTGGCTCTGGCCTTCTCGTGGTACCCCAGGCCTGGCACACCCCAGCACCTCTGACATCTCTAGCCCTGTGGCAGAGGGACAGCAGCTGCCTCTGACCGACCCCTGCTTTGTGTCAGCTGCTCTACAAGGACACTGTGAGGGAGACATGATCATGAGACTGTTTCACCCTAGAGAGACAGCCACGCGCCCAAGGCCGCAGAGCCACACGCTGAATTACAGACATCCTGCAGGTGCCCTGGCATCCAGCCGTACCCAACTTCTTTCCCAGTGCCAGGCACATAGCAGGCTTTCAATATGCATTGGCTAAATGAGAGTGAGGGCGAGCAGGAAAGCACCCTCTGTGCATGAGCAGCCCCGTGTGACTTTCGAGAAGGAGAGAGGGAAGAAAAGATCTGACCGGGAGCCATGAGCCTGGGCTCTGCTCCCAGCTCTGCTACCCACTAGCTCCGGCCCAGGGAGCGGCTGACCTGCCTGCCTCGCTGCCTCGCCCGGAGGATGAGGGCCTGACCAGGGAGCCCGTGTGGGAGGCTGCTTGGTGAAATTCAGCGTGTGGCTCTGGGGCTCTGGGCGCGTGGCTCTCTCTCTAGGATCCGTTTCACCATCTGTGAAATGGGCTTATGATCATGCCTCCCTCACAGCGTCCTCGTAGAGCGGCTGACACAAAGCAGGGGTCAGTCGGAGGCAGCTGCTGTGGCCCCGCCACAACATCCAACATGAACTCTCAACTGGAAGTGAATCATCACCTCGCTCTCAGCACAGCCACAGAACACAGTCTTGATCTCCGCGGATACAGGTTGAGTATCTCTTCTCTAAAATGCCTGGGACCGGAAGTGTTTTGGGTTTCCGATATTTTCAGGTTTTGGAATATTTGCATATACATAATGAGATATCAGGGGATGGGACCCAAGTCTAAGAGTAAACTCCATGTATGTTTCATATACCTCTTACACACACAGCCTGAAGCGAATTTTACACAATTTTGTGCATGAAACAAAGTTTGCGCCCGCAAGGTCGGGAGGGGAACTGTCCACCTGTGGCAGCGTGGTGGCCCTCACAGAGTTTCGGATTTTGGAACATTTTGGATTTTTGAATTAGGGACACTCAACCTTCGTCGTAGGGATGGAGGAAGGACAGCAATCCCTTCAGCCCTACTCTCCCTTTCTGCTAGAAATATGTTCCTTGTGGAAACCGAGTGATGATCAGTATACTGGATTCTGCTTCTAGCACTGCGCTCTCTTCTCCTGGGTAATTTTCTAAGAGACTCGAGGACTCTGTGTTATTTTTTAGGTTAATGACACTCCGTGCTGCCGTGTCAAAGGGCATATTTTCTCAATGTCTTAGTAAAGGACCAAAATGAGAATGAAAAATGTTAAAATCCAGAAAAAAAAGTAAAAGTTTAAGATGAACAAAGGGACTAAAGAGCAATTTTTCACTTTCAAATATATGAAATATATTTCAATTTTCCCAAGACTGGCCCTCTTTGCACAAACATGCCCTTCCCCTGCCAACAGAGTTAAGAAGCAATCAGGAGATAATCAAAAGGCCTCAAAGTACGTGCAATAAATAGCTCCCATATGCCCAGTAAATCCCCAGCTGCAGGCAAATGGTATTCAGCAGCATTGAGGGAGATTTTACTCTTTGTTAAGACAGAAGCAAAGTCAATTATTGCAATTAAACTCTATAAAGATTCCTCGAATTTAATCAAATAAAAAGTTTCTGCTTCAGGAGTTAGAAGAAAGTGTGTGCAAGTTAGGGGAGGTGGAGGCGAGAGGAGGGCAGAGAGGGTGTCCGGGCCGTGGGCCGAGCAGACCAGCGTGGCACCTGGTGTGGCCTCGGTCAGTGCTGGGCAAGGCGCCTTTGGAACCATGCCTCCCGGAAAGCCTATTCGCACGTTCTCCAAGGCCCTCGCTTGGTGTTGAAGGCCTGAACTGCACTGGAGACATCGCTCAGCACACCGGACAGGATGCCGCCCAGCAAAGCTGTGTCAGAGCCACGGGTGACAATCTCTCTCGGACACGTGACCCATGTTGCTGCAGTGGGACATGTGCTCCTAAAAGGCTGGGGGCCCACTTGGATCCAGCCCCGGGGTGGGAGGCGGGGACTGACCCAGCTCCACATTTCAGACCAGAAAAGCAGCCCCAGATGGTTCTGGTTTCACTGATGCACAGAGGCTCAGGAGGCTGCGGGGATGACACAAAGCCCAGGAGGAAGGGCTGTGGCTCGGCGCCCAGACGATGCACGGAGGCTGCTCGGGGCCGTCCGGCTACCCAGGGCTGTGGACTCGAGGCAGAGCTGTCTACATGAGAGGAGGAAAATAACTTTGTTCAAGTACTAATGAGAAGAAAGGATGTAAAAGAACGCCTACAAACCGCTGAAAGACAAGCGCTGGAACCCGATTATCAGCACACAGTGAAGCGGCCCTGAACCTCAAGCCACAGCTCGGCCTGGGCCCGAAGGACAGCCCCACTCAGAGCAAGGCAGGGAAGACGGAGGTACTGGGAGGAGCTTGCACCCTGGCACCGCCTGCTGAGCAAGCCAGAGGCCCTCTCGGGGCCGTGGGTGGTTTATTTATTTATTTATTTAACCAAATTACAGGGCCAGATTACCCATTAAATTCTAAAATCGCATGGCAACCTTTTGTTTTGTTTTGTTTTTTGAGACGGAGTCTCACTCTGTCACCTATGCTGGAGCGCAGTGGTGCGATCTTGGCTCACTGCAACCTCCGCCTCCCGGGTTCAAGTGATTCTCCTGCCTCGGTCTCCTGAGTAGCTGGGATTACAGGAATGTGCCACACGCCTGGCTAATTTTTGTATTTTTAGTAGAGACGGGGTTTCACCATGTTGGTCAGGCGGGTCTCGAACTCCTGACCTCAGGTGATCTGCCTGCCGTGGCCTCCCAAAGTGCTGGGATTACAGGCGTGAGCCATTGCACCCGGCCTGCACGGCAACCTTTTAAACAGCAGAACAACGGTATTCTCTAATGAACATTTATCTGTTGATTAAAACTGGCTGCATTTTCTACGGTAAAATCAACACACACTTGCAGCTCTAATTTGGGATTCCCAGCTAAAGACAAGTGGGAAAGTGGGTCCTACGTACACACGAGAGGCCATGGTGGTGGGCTTCGGCGGCAGCAGCCAGCCCTGTGAGGTTTGGCAGCACACGACAGCAGAAGGTGGGAGGGGACCGGGAAGGTGTCTGGATTAGCACTTCCCACAGCCTGCGATCAAGCTGCCTGGAGAAGCAGGGCTGGAGTGCTGGAGTGCAGATCTGAGGGGAGGAGGCTGTGATTAGCTGTGACCAGCTCATCTGCATCGTGGGCTCCTCCCCCCCAGCAGCTGGGGGCAGAGGGACTTTCTAAGCTGTTGGCTGTTCTGATGAGTCACTCGCCTGGAAAACATGTCATCCAGGCAAGAGCTGGGTTTTCAGGAAACAGCCCTGAGATGGCGGGTGCCCAGGAGGTGGGCTGGAGGAAAACCGTCCAAGTCCAAGTCCGCACAGCCTCCATCTGCGCTGATCAGTCAGAGCGCGCCCGCCCCGGGAACGGAAAGCACGGGTTATTACCGCAGAGAAACGCAGGGTTTCAGGACCCCTGAAATTGAAAGTGAAGGAGAATGACTCCCCGGTGACTTTGCATCAAACATTAAACAGAAAGCCGGCTCTGAGTATTCATTACTGCCGCGGCCTGAAGCAAAGTGTAAATGCAGATGACTTCATGTTTTAACCTCAATGTTTGTTAGGCTTTGTTCCCTCTTTCCTCTTGCTAAAAATTCAACCTCTCCATCACCACCCAAGGAGTATAATAGCTAGATTGTACATTATTTATTCCAAATGCTCTTTTCTGCTATCTTTCCTGTGTGCTCCCTGGGGATGTACACACTTTGGTCTATTGATGAGGGGAGGAGAGAGCTCTGGGCATTGTTTTCGTGGCAGACAGCCCTGCAGAGCCCCCGGTGATGCTCCCATGGTGAGGAGCCCACCTCCACAGCAGCTCAGTCCTCAGTTGCAGTTGGCAAAATCTAGTAACAGAGGAGAGCACGATTCTGTTTCTGAGCCGAATGTTCTCCGTCTGAGCGTCTGAAACCACTCCTCACTCCTTTGTGCCTCCCTCCCTGCCCTTGTTAAGGAACAGCATTGGAGCTGGGACATGCCACTCAAGGTGGAGGCCACATTCCCTCCCTCCCTGGATGAGGCTGGACCAGACACTGCCACAGGACAGGGGGGCGATGGGCATGTGAGCTCCAAGTCTGTCCCCCAGGCCTGAGCTGCCTCGTCCACTCCTCGCGGCCTTCCCACCTGCGGGAATGTTGCTCCAGTGGCCAGCACGAGCTTCCACGGGGGATGGAAGCCTCCAAGACAGGAGCCGCCTGCACCCTGACACCTGGGGCCACGGCAGCCTATGCTGCCTATGCTCACACATGCCCATTTGTAAAGCCCCTGGATCACGGGTTCCCAATGAATGGGTGTTTCAACTAGTACACCTAACTACCTCCAGGGAGAAAGGCAAACCATTCAATGGAGTTTTTCCACACTAACCCAGCCGGTGTCTCAAGAGCGGTGTTGGCTGCATGCCCTCCGTATCCACCTGGCTCAAGCCCTTATAGCCAGGCACCAACATCTTCCTCATCTCTGGCTCAGCATAAAGGCCCTCCACAATCAAGACCAGTACCAAGTCTGTGTGGTTACGCCTCCCTAAATCTGCAACATGGTAACATGGTGGAATGGACTGGCTTCTTGTTAAATTTTACTGTGTGCACAGTGATACACAGGGATACACGGTGACATACAGGCACACACAGGGATACACAGTGACACACAGGGATACATGGTGACACACAGGGATACACGGTGACACACAGGGATACACAGTGACACACAGGGATACATAGTGATACACAGGGATACACAGTGACACAGTGACACACAGGGATACACAGTGACACACAGGGATACATAGTGATACACAAGGATACACAGGGAGATGCTGCTGCCCTCTGTGGAAGTTCACTGTCATCAGAGATCTGACATCTCTGCCTCCAGAGCCTCGGCGGGATTCCGATGGACAGTGATAAAGTCATGCATGAAATTCATCACGAGCAGCAAGGACTGCTCATATCTAAGAAGGCCTGGGGTTTCCCAGTCTTCCAGAAGCCTCCCTCCTGTGTCCAGACTAGTAAACTCACTCGTGTTAAGGACGTGGTGAGAGTGTCTAAGAGTTAGAATTAGACTTCGAATGTTAACACGCCTAGGACAGAGTGGAGGTAAAATTCTGCAATAACGGACTCCACAGAATCAAATGCCTTATTGGAGGGGGATTTTCTCAGGGTGACATGGACTGAGGAATCGTCTCAGCCTCCGTGGGGAATGGAGAGGAGGCAGTGCTGGGGCCTGGTCTCTGGGCAGTGCAAGGGCAAGTACATGCCTTTCTGAAACCCGGGAAGGACGTGGAGCTAGTGCAAGCCAAACCTCTGTGCTTGCCTCTCCTCCCTCCTAAGCACCTTAATTGTGTAGCGCATTTGGGAAAACACACATCGGAACAACACACGGCTGCTATGGAATCTCCGCTGGGAAGCAAAGAGCTGCTTTAAAATGATGTTCCCTATTGGGCGCGGTGGCACACACCTGTTAATTCCAGCACTTTGGGAGGCCAAGGTGGGAGGATTGTCTGAGCTCAGGAGTTCAAGACCAGCCTGAGCAACCTGGTGAAACCTCATCTCTACAAAAAATACAAAACAATTAGCTGGGCGTGTGCCTGTAGTCCCAGCTACTTGGGGGTCTGACGTGAGAGGATTGCTTGACCCTGGGAGGTTGAGGCTGCAGTGAGCCAAGATCACACCACTGCACTCCAGCCTGGGTGACAGAGCGAGACCCCGCCTCCGAAAAAAAAAAAAAAGATGAAAATGATGCTCCCCATCATGGGAAGCCTCTGCCATTCCTGAGGAGCAGTGCACCTGCGATCTCACCTCAACTACCAAACTCCTTTCGAAGCCACTGGAGCAGCGCACCTGCGGTCTCACCTCAACTACCAAACTCCTTTCGAAGCCACTGGACAGCAGCGGCCCGTGCAAGATGGCCCAGCGCGGGGGCACCGTGGGGCGCAGCAGCCCGACGCCGTGAGAAGGCCGTGCGTGAGTGGCTTTGGCAGAGCACCTGGAAAGGGCCTTTTACAAACTGTCAGCACTCAGAATTGGGGGGTGGTCTACTACCGTTAAAGTCATTCCGATAAATTTTCTGCACACATAGTGAACTGATACAGACTGAGAAACCCCCATTTTTTGACATAATGTTTTGGTGGCAGTGAGAGGAGAGGAAATGAGAGAACTGGGTGGAGCTGGAGTTGGGGCGGGGCGGGGTCGGAACTGGTCAGTGGCCAAGGTGGCAAGTCCACCTCAGTCAGGTTTGTTCTCTGGAAACTGAGGCCAGTGGAGCTGCCCTGACTCCAGGAAACCAGGAAGATGCCACAGAACAGAGAAGCCAGCGGGGAGAATCTGTGTACACCTATAGCGTGGGACCTGCTGTCCCGGCTCCTGACCAGCCAGACCACATTTCCAGTCTTTCTTCTCCTACGAGGATCTAGGATCTTCTCCAAATCTAAAGCCCAATTTTTACATTCAATTCCCTATCAAAGTTGGCTCATGATATAATTTTCAGCATTAAATGGAACTGACTCGTGTTTACTTTTTAGCTCTAGATTCACGCTGGCATCCTTGTTGCTGAAAACCTACCCCAGAGAACATGTGTAAAATGCAAGTGATTCTCCCTGAATTCACATCATCATTGATTTCTGTACAAAGAACCCTTTAATATTACTTATTTGGCACTTCCCAGCATAGAAAGACAAGAAGACACGATGTCAGACCTTGCAGAAAATATCCCTAACTAGAGAGGACCCTTGGACACGCACAGGAGGGGCTGAGGAAGAAGAGTGGGGGAAGCATCCTGAGACTCGGCCACAAGTCGCCGTGGACGCCGCCCTCTCCATGCACGCGGCACTGCCATGTCTACGGGCCGCCCCCCATGCTGGGAGCCGAGGCACCGAGGGCTTCACTGAAGCCTCTGTCCCTAGGGGTTCATGGCCCAGCTTGGAACAGGCAGGCTACAGGCCGCTGTCTGGTTGGATGTGTCGGGTTGGATGTGTCTGGTTGGGCTCGCAGAATGTTTTTTAATGCCACGTTAGATATCAACATCTAATAATCAGATAATTAAAAATGAAAATATGAACTTTTGGCTACTCTATGACTGGCAACTGTGGGCCAAAACCGCCCCGCAGAGCCCCGGTTGGACTGAGCACAGCCCGGGCGCTGCCCTACCCATGCCCGCGCCCTCCTGGACACCAGCCCCGTCTTTCTGCTGTCTGAAAGCCCCCACGCCTGCCTCTTAGGCCACTCTACCAGTCATGATTCTCCTCATGTAAAGAAGTATGTAATGATTTCTTCTGTGTGTCTCTAGTTCTGAATTTATGAACAATAATGCCTTAGCCATAAAGACTCTATTTTTAAAAATTGCTTTTAGTGCTTCGAAGGCTTAGAAAATCTACAGGCAGACTTTTAATTAACCAAAGTAATATCTATCAATTTTTAAAATGGAGAACCATCACTCCAATTGTACCACCCTGGCACAAGCATCATTAATGTTTATTTATAAATCTGTTTAGTGTTTTATTGCTGTGTGTACTATGTATTTTAACATAGATATTAACTATATTGCTGATGCAATTTGGTGTTCTGTTTCTCTCATTTAACATATATTTTGCATACTCATGAATAAAATTTTAAGACTGCTTACATTTTCTTTTAAGTATCCGTTCTGAATTTACGTTCCTATTCTGTTAGGTAGTAGAGTTATTCCCAAATTTTCCCTCTTATAACCAATGTTCTGACAAATGGCTTGATTTGTCCTTGTCTTTCAGAACATCCCATTAGTCCCGTTGCTTGGTTTTTCCTTAGCGACCTGCTTCAGCTATGCTCCTAAGCCAGGTCACATTGGTTGTGGGGCAAAGAGGCTGGGCATTCAAAGGCAGGGTGAGCACGGTGGGCAGGCAGGTGGGTGGCCACCGGGGCCAGCACTGTAAAGGCCGTAAAGCCAAGGCAGGGGTCGGGGTTAGGGGCCTCAGGTCAGTGAGGTCCCAACCAAGGGCAGGCCCAAGCCAGGCGGGTCTCGGCCAGGCATCGAAGCGTGGGAGTCACCAAGACGACTCGGATCCCAGGACAGGGCTGCTGACTCCCCAGCAGCTTCTCATGTCCAGCTGGAGGGAAAACCCCAGGGCTCTGTTCTGTAGGTGGGATGCAGCTGACTGCAAAATGCAAGGAATGCCACCTGCCACGGGTTTCTCATATGAGGCGCACATCCTTCCTGAGACCTCGCATGGTCTCAGGAGCATGCTCCCAGGAGCATGACTACAGCAGGTCGCTAAGTGCCACTCCCTGCTCGTCTCTGCCTGATCAGACTCGTTCAGACACCGGGGAAGCTTCCTCACGCTGACAACGATGCTGTGATCCGCCAGCACAGTGGCCATGTGTAACAAGAGGTGACAAGAGCTTTCCTCCCTGGTTAAACACCACTTCTGCCTGGGTGCACTCCTGTCCCAGGGATGCGCCTGAAACAGAAGCTCATGCACGTACATCCCATGACTCAGCACGTACGCCGCTAAGTCAGCATGGGGCAGGCTGGCACTAGACGGCTAGAGCCACAGCCTGGCCCTACCATGCAGGTCCTCACACACCCCAGTTTCTCATCAGTAAAATGGGCATATTGATAGTAAAAATCGTAGCTTTGCGGCAGTACCTGCTGTGAGGGGGAGATGGCCTAACAATTGTAAAGCCCAACACGCAGCAGGCGCTTAATCAGTCAGTCACTGGAATTCCTATTCTTACATGACCACCTGTGGTCACCCGCCGCGACTGGTGTGCCTCAGGGGAGCTGTGGTCAGATTGCTCCCTGGGCTCTGCGACTTTACTCTCACCCTCTCCAAACCCCAGCACAGTTCACCAGCTGAGGTGGACAGGCTTGAACGTGGCCCCAGGACCCCTGTCCCAGGTGTGGCCCCTCCCTGGGGGTGCAGGTGGGACCTGAGACTGCTTTCAACCAGCAGAATATGGCAACGGTGATGGCTGCTGTGACTGTGTGTGGCACTAGGTGAGGATGCAGCACCCGGCTCCTGCGCTGGCTCTGAGTGGTGGGAGGCCAAGCTAAGGACCCCACTGGTGGGGACGGCGGGTGGTCTCAACTGCGAAGGCAGCCTTAACCTGATGGGACCCTGCACAGAGAACCTGGCTGAGCCCCACAACAGGAACTGGATCTGGAGGCCACGTGCTGTTCTGAGCTGCCAAGTCTGCAGCGACACTGCTGTCACACAGGATTAGATGGCTAGTGCCCTCCCTAGTGCTGTTTCCACCTTCAAATTCTATTTCCCACAAGTGGCGCTGGAGGAACTCCTATTACTAAGCAGAGGGAGACGCGTCCACCAGAAGGGCCATGACTGGTCTGTAATCTGTGAATGAGGTTTTCTTCTTTCAGCACAAATCAGCTTCAATTTGGCACAGCTGCCCCCTGGGTGTTCACATTCACTGCTTTGCCAGGAAGCCTGGAGCCCGAGCCTGGTGTGAGTCACTCCTGCTCGCCTCTTCCTTCCCGCGGGCCGAGCGGCTGACTAAAGCTCCCTTCATGCTCACGTCAGTCGCCAGGGCAGTACGCAGATGCGTGCCCAGGTGTGAGTTTAAAAAAGAAAAAGGAAAAAAATTCAAGCGCATAATGTTTCTTCTGCCGGTTGAAGGTGAAACCCCAAAGCCACCCAGGCCATCGGCAACAGCAGGGCGAGTTCTAGCTGTGTGGCTGGTGGAGCCCACAGGTGTGCCCAGTGGCCAGCGGTGACGGCACGGGGGCCCACCCTGTGCACCCCACTGGAGGAGCCCTGCCCTTCACCACTCCTGGCCTGGTTCTTCTTCAGTCTTCATCCCTGATGTCCGTCAAACCCAACCATGGGGACACAGTGACACCCGGCAGAAGGGTGCCAGGGACCAGGAGGAGGCCAGGGCGGTGCTTCCCTGCCCCAGCCTAGCAATTAAGGGCATCGCCGCTGTGATTCTACATGAACACAGTTCACTCCGCTGTACCTGGGCTGGGCCGGAGGCCCTGGCTGCTGGCAGTGGCTGCACCAGTGACCGCTACAGTGGCCGGGTGCCGCTGGCTGCTCTCTTCTAGTCCAGACCTGCGGTTACTGCCACAGGCCTCAGCAGGGCCTGGTGACGAGCTCTGCACAGCCGGCCGGGAAGTGTCACTTTCCCGGATGAGGAGAGGAAACATGTTTCTTGCAAATGGGCTGTGCGCTTGTGGAAGAGCTCCTCTGCACTGCGCTTCCTCCGCTCCCAAGGGCCCCATCAAAATGGGGCTGGGGTAACAGCAGCCCCAGGTAAGGCAGGTGAGATTTTCTCTTACAGCAAGACACTGTGAGGGAGGGGCCGGGATCCCCTTCAGGATCAAGGTTTTCTTGCCCCAGCTGCTGGGGGCACCACAGGCAGGTGGCTCACGGCTGTCAGGCCCTCTTCTGGGTGGCCTATGTCTGACAACCAACGCAGAATGCAGGCAGGCCCACTCACCTCCCATCCCATCCTCAGAGCTCCCCAGGGCCGGCGGAGGTGAGCCTGACTTCTCTCCGCCCACCCCTCCACCGCTGACCCAGGGCTGCTCCACTCACGAGCAGTGTCATGACACCAGCCTCCGTCTCCGTCTACTTCCCAGACAGCCCACCCTGCAACAACCAGGAGAAGAACGCGCCCGAAAGGGAAGCGGGAGGACACGACACCGCAGGCTGCTTGTGGTGGGATGATGGACCATGCGGGCTGGATCACTAAAGGCGCACATTAGCCCAAGCGGAGCCTCTGACACACTCAGGGAGGTCAGAACCAGGAGAGGAGAAAAGCCGGAGTGTCCACAGTGACCGTCAGGAAGAGGGGCTGCGAGGCACCCTTGTGATGCTGTCCCCAGGCTCTCTGGGCCTCTGTGGATTGCGACATCACCTCATGATTCTCTAGTGCAACCGATAAGCACAGGTGAGGGCTGGCTCTGTGAGGCTCCAGGGAGCAGAGTCTGCAGAATAGCTGGCCTTTTTTCTGGGCAGGGAAGGGCAGCCCCAGCAACGCTGGGAGAGGCTGCAGCTAGGCCTAGACAAGGACCTTCTATAAAGCAGCACTGATATAAATGCTGGCACTCAGAAAACTTCTGAGGGGCCAGTCCTAGAAAGCAGTCTCTAGACAGAGATGTGGGATGTGGCTGCCCTGTGCCAACCTCGCCACGCGGCCTCTAGATGGAGAGGTGGGATGTGGCTGCCCTGTGCCGAACTCGCCACGCGGCCTCTGGAGGGAGAGGTGGGATGTGGCTGCCCCACGCTGGCCTCGCCACGCGGCCTCTAGATGGAGAGGTGGGATGTGGCTGCCCCACGCTGGCCTCGCCACGCGGCCTCTAGATGGAGAGGTGGGATGTGGCTGCCCCATACTGGCCTCGCCACGTGGCCTCTAGAGAGAGAGGTGGGATGTGGCTGCCCCACGCTGACCTCGCCACGTGGCCTCTAGATGGAGAGGTGGGATGTGGCTGCCCCATACTGGCCTCGCCACGCGGCCTCTAGATGGAGAGGTGGGATGTGGCTGCCCCACGCTGGCCTCGCCACGCGGCCTCTAGATGGAGAGGTGGGATGTGGCTGCCCCACGCCGGCCTTGCCACATGCCCCTCCCTGCACCTGTCCTCGCCTGCTCATCCCTCCTGGCTCCTCTCTGTGCTCTGGCTCTGGTCTTTGACCACGGACTCCAATGTGATGTCACTGTCTTTAACTCTGCGCAGCTGAGCACATCAGATAGGAGGTGCTTTTACATCTGGAGAAAACATACGCTAGAAGGAAAAAGGTTTCCATGGACTGATTCCTGGTAAGGGAACCTGCAAGTCTGGAGGCCCTGCCCACCCCGCTCCGAGTGCTCAACCGGCTCCCAGTGCTGAACTAGTTTTTGATCCAGGATCTGATGTGGCACTGACCCCTTCAGCTTTTTTTTTCTTTTTCCTTCCTCTTTTAAAATAAATGTATTACAATAACCTGTCTTAGAGGAAATAGAGACAGGATTTAAGGCCTTACTTTTCTTAAAGGAATAAGGCCATTTTGAGAATATACTCTTTCAAAAATGCTCTAAGTATTTATTTTTAAAAAATGTTCATTTTAAATATTTATTCTAAGTATTGCAAAGGCTTTTCAAACACCTGTCTCTTTTACAGCTCTGTTATTCATGGATTCGTGAAAAATAAATGTGCGGTGGTTTTATTTACACATTATTTAAATGGTTTACTTCAATTTCCTTTTCTCCTTATCAGGGTTCTCTATTTTATCTTACAGAGTCTTAAGAAGGATACAGATCATGCATGCTTTAACTTTTGCTGTTTAAAGTCCAAGTGCTATGCTGGGTATAATGTATTTTGATCTATCGCATATAAATATTTATTATAAACATTAAAAATTAGATTATTTCTAACTTTTCTGGAGTGGGTGATGGGTAGTGAGTTTAGATTCCTTCTTGCTTCTCTGGGTTTCCAGGGTTGAGGGAAAGTGGTCCTGTACACGTTTAAAAAGAAAACACAAAACACTAGCTAAAATAAACCTGGCCATGAAAATACGCCACATGATGGCTTCTGCGGCTAGGCATACGTTAATCGCTCTTTTAAAAATATTTGTGTTGTTAGGGTTTCTCCCATTGATGAACAGAAATATTTTTCCTTTGTTTTAATACCATTTTAGAATTTGCCCAAACCTGCTTGTTAGGACAGCCACAGAACAGAAAGAAACCAAACGTCTTCAAATATAATGTCTAGACTAAAAACAAATCACATTATTGTCACTGTTACTACTAATAGGAGTTGTATAAATAGTAGCAACTCAGCAATGGGAGAGAACTATAATCAATAGTCATAAAGGATTACACTTATGAGCGTTGTGTGTGTGTGTGTGTGTGTGTGTGTGTGTGTGTGTGAGAAATAAGCATAAAAACTAATTGATCATGAGCCCAACAGTTTAATTCTCCAGAGCGATCTTGCATGTGCTTCATAAATTCAAGTCAGCAAGTTATTTTCTCACTACTGGTTTCTAAAAGGTTAGAAACTCTCTTGCAAAGTGCTACCCTCCCGAGTTGCAGAGCTGTGAGGCTTCAGCCGGCCGCTGCTCCCGTGCAGTCCTAAAAGGCCCTCCAAGGCTTCTGCCCTCTGAAGGAGACCCCCACTCCTCTGTGTGGAGATCTCTGGGAGCCCTGCATTTAGCTTCACTTGTTAATGCTACACGGGGTCCCCAAGTTAGGTGTGGGGCCTCCCTGCCCAGCTCCGTGCAATTCCATGACATCACAGTGCCACGGAGGGCGGGGGAGCACGGCACCTGGAGGATCCTGAAACACTCACCACATGGCGTGCATGTACGTGGGCGGCAGACGCGGGCTGCTGACGGGAGTGCAGTTATACGACCTCATAATCCTTTCCGCCAATAAAAAATTTCGAAACAGACTAGCCACCAGCAAGTCCTGTCTGAAGAGCTTTTGGAAGAGATCTGAGGGCAGATAAAAGATAAAAAGGAGTCTACAGTGACTTGTGTCTAGCATTTAAAGCCAAATACACAAATTCACTTCTATCAAAAATTACTAAAGTTGGGACTAATATGCATATCTCCCATCAGCAACACACACACACGCTTAAACACACACGTACACACACTTAAACATACACACACGTGCACAAATGTACACACATGCACACATGCATACATACATGTGTGTGCACAGGTGTGTACCTATACAGATACATTACACATGGGCACGCATACACAAATACACGCACACACATACAGGTGTACACATACACAAATACACACACACAAATATGCATATACACACGTGTATGCATACACATGTACACATGTACACACACAGTGCACATATACGTACATGTGAACAAACACCCCAAATCAACCAATCAATAAAAAATACAAACAAGTCTTACAACAGCAATTCTGGTTTCCAGCCAGTGTGAATAATGCCGACGACTCTGAAGATAAGCCGCCGGTGCGCAGTAAGGGCTGTGCACCGGTCAGGGCCAGCGCTGACACGCAGTCTCTCCACACCACCGTTCTGAGAACCTGGCGTGCAGTAACTCACCCCCTCGCAGACACCTCCTTAGGTGGTCGCCTTCTACTTTTCAGCCCCTCCCACTGTCTTCCTCACTAGGGAGGCACTCACGGATCCTATCTGACTCCTCTCATGTCCGAGAGTCGGCTCCCCGCGCACTCAAGGCCATAGCCTCCCTCCCCAAGGCCCGGCCCGCGCCTCACCCCGGGGGAGCACGTTCCACGCGATGGTGTCTGTGATGGCTGTGAAGATCCAGTTCAGTTCACCCAGGGGCGTCCTCCTGTCGTTCAGGCGGCCAGGGATCCTAGAAAACAAGGGGCGTTCTCATGAGTGATGCCACAGCTCTGAGAGCAGGGAATGGAAGAGAGGTTGCAAGAAAAAAGGGCGCGGGCGGCGAAAGGCTCTGAGCGAGGGAGGAAGGCTCTGAGCAGAAGCTTGGCGCACGGCAGGGAGAATCAAACTCTCCATGAGCTCACAGCTCAGAGCTCAACCTCCATCTGCAGCTTTCCTCCTTCCCGCACATCTCCAAAACAGCTTCTTCCTCTGGTGTCCCCAGACTTACAGACCAAGCCCAGCTGGTCACACACATGGTTCCCATGGACCGATGACTGGACCCCAAGGGCAGTCTGTGGCACGTGCTGAAAGCAGTCCACATCATGCTCTGCAGGGTTATACCTCAGCCACCGAACGCTGTGGAAGTACACCGTCCATGCTGGGAGGAGTCTCGCCCGCAAGGTCTACTTTGCTCCCGTGTATTCAACACGCAGCTGATACCTGCGACAGGGATGTGGGGATTGCCAGCGCGCGCCCAGGCCCTGTCCTAAGGGTCTAGGGGGAAGGACAGGTAACAGGCAAATGAACAAGCACACATTAGAGGTGGCAAGTGACGGCAGATGACGCAGAGACAAATACGACAGAGAGTGGGCGGGGGGATGAGGCTGCTGCCATTTCGCATGGGGCAGGCAGCACCAAGGACCACTCCTCAGCCGTGAGGACAGAACCATGACTTTTGCAGCAACTTGGATGGAGCTGGAGGCCATTATTCTAAGTGAAGTAACTCGGAATGGAAAACCAAATGCCACGTGTTCAGAGCCATAAGCATGATCCCGCTGTCAAAAAGATTTAGCTGATCAGCAATTCCCACTGCAGGAACCATCTGATGGCACCGTCTTCATCAGAATAATATTCAAAGAGGCTATGCATCAGTAACACAGGGTAGCTAAGTTCAGTGAACTTCTTTTCTTAAACTGTTGTAGTGGAGTCCCACTGTGTTGCCCAGGCCGCTCTTGAACTCCTAGGCTCAAGGGATCCTCCCGCCTCACCCTCCCAAAGTGTTGGGATTACAGGCATGAGCCATCATGCCCAGCCTAAGCAAGCTTCTTAATGTAATTCTTCAACACATGCTCTTTCTTTCCTTTACGAACAGAAAATAACGTCTTATTTCCTCAAAATAGGTTCAGTGATAGGGCAAGAAAAAGGAGAAATTGAGAAGTTAGTATAATATTCTAAAGCAGCACTGCTGCTCAAACAATGCCGGAAGTCTCAAACAAAGATTTCCAAATTCAAGAAAAATTTCGACCTCCACAGTGGAGACCAGTTTACCCAACATCAGGGTTTTCTAGTCAGGCTGCTGGCCAGGACGGGGATGACGGAGAAGCCCCTTTCATTAGCTGTGTGGGTGGTGGAGGGCAGGCATCATGAAGGATTCCCACCATTTAAAAGAAACCCAGGCCTGGAGGCGAACACACGGCACAAGGACAGCAGAGACTCGTCTCAGCCCCTCCTCCTTCTCCCCAGTCTGCTCTCGCTTCAGAACAAGCATGTCCACTGTGCGCAGGAGGAATGGCCAGGCTGCCTGCCCTCCGACCTCCGAGCAGGGGAGTGAGGAAAAGCAAAGGTGCCCACCCTCTAACAACCTACGACAGAGCTTGGCCCCACGGAGGAATGTGAGGGTGGGGCACACCTCCCAAAGAGAAGACATTTCCTTATGAAATGCAAGCAAACAATCCAGGAACTCATTTTACCAGGTTGCTCATCTCAGCCCTCAAGCGCCAGCGCGAACAGGGGTGGCTGCCCGGGACACAGCCCTAGGAAACAGCACGGAGAAGGGGCACGGGGGGCATCGTGGGGTGGACATGGAGCCCCAACACACTTGTGTCTTGGGTCCCACACCTGCAGATGAGAAACACATATGCTGAAAACCGTTTTAATGAAATGACTGACAAGATCGTCAATAACTGTTCCGCAAAAACACCGCCTCTTTCAAGCTGCAGGACTGTCACCGAGCGCTGCCTGCCCTCCTTACCAAAGCCATGCAGAGGACAGACAGCGCCCAGACCACACGCCGAAGCTCTGTGGCCTAGGATCAGTAAACACATAAGTGGCCCGACTGTGCAAGGAAGGAGGACACGGGAGTTGCTGATCTTCAGCATCCTGTCACGGGTTCTCTCCTCTCTCAACATATCTGGAGTTAGTCAAACTATGAGGGCAGAGGACCGTCCCCAAGCCTCAGGAAGAGAGGCGCCCAGGGCAGGGTGGGGCCCAACACCAACTGCAGAGCTCAGGTCCTCGCTCCATGGGGTTCAGACATGTTACCCTCCCAGCACGACTGTAACAACGTGCCTGGAGCACTGCCAGCCTGGGAAGTGCCCGGAGTCTGTGTATTCAGAGTCACACAGACAAGACCGATTGAGTGACTGATACTGCATCACTCAAAGTCCACACTCTACGTTACACAGCTGGTCTTTCTGGTGTGCAGAGCCCCCATTCTAAGGCAGCTGGATGTGTCTGTCCCTGCCCTAAACAAAAACACTTCTATCCTGTACGAGCGTGCGCTGGCACTACCTTCTTTACCACATGTAAAAGTCGGAAAAATCTACATAGCTCAGTACATCAACTTCCAGGAACCAACCATACCTAAACCGGAAGCAAGATGGGGAAATGGGATGTAGGGTGTGTGGTGCTGTGTCATCTGCCATTGCAGAAAGCCCAAAATTCGCTCCGAAACCAATGAGAGGGAAATGATTAAACAAACCACGCAACAACCACGACGCAGCAGCTACAAGCAGTTAAACTGTTCTGAATATTTCAATAATATGGGACAATGCTTTATAACATTAAGTAAAGAAGCAAGACAAATACTCTATAGTCACGATTACATCAAACATGTGCAAGGAGAAACAATTGGAGGAAAAACCTCAAAATGCGATCATGGGGATACCCTTCCTTGTCTTTATACATCAACATTTACTGCAATGAGTGTGCCCACCTGAGTAACAGGGAACTGCCAAAACCCTGGCTCCTGCATCTCCTCATCCTTGGCCCTGGTGATGCTGGGGAGGGAGCCTAGGGGTGCAGCACAGCTCGAGCAGCTGGCGGGGGCCAGGGCTGCATTCCGGAAGAAGTGCAGGGACCATCACAAGCACAGACAGACCATTTGCCCGCAGGCTGTTTGCAAACCAGGACTAAACACATCCCTAACGTGAGCCCACGTATCCTGAATCGACTGAAGCTCATAGAGCCCCTGCTGTTCCCGAGTCTGTGACCACTGGTTAACAGAAAGCTGCATTCTGAGCAGCAAAGAGCTTCCCACGAGGTCCCACACCCCAGCACTGTCACTGGATGGCCAAGCCATCAAGATAAACGGAGGCCAGATAGGACCAGTGTGTACTTAGTTGTGTTTTTACAAATTGGTATCTTGTGATGATCACCAGTAAATAAATGCAAAGCTAGACTCTCCCAACATGGTCCTGAAAATCCCACTGGTCTCTTCCCTAAGCTCATCGTGAAACCAGACAGAGTCATCTGCCCAGCCGACTTCAGACAGACCCAGAAATCATTCAAGTCGATGAACCAACCATCCAGTGAGCAAAAGCTGATGAGGCTTCTTGATCCAGCAGGCCTGGTCCTACTGGGGGTGACAAGGTGGAACCGAGTCCAGCATCCCTCACTTTTCACGTCACATAAAATTAAATCCTTGCAGAAACGATTTGTTTCTGATTTCCTTTCTGTACCTGATCCTAACCAATGCTGAGTCTTGCCCAACTCGGGAGGCCACTGAGATCACGAGGGGACCACAGAAGAAGCCTATTGGTGTATGTTGTCCATGTCAGACCATGTTTCATTCTAGAAGTTTCTCTGAACCCTCAAAGGGTTAATGATCAAGGTGGCTCTTTTAAAATTTAAATTCAGAGTGTTAATCAAGGACTTCTATGTGAAAACTGTAAAAAGCTACAGTTCAGGAAAAGACTCCTGAATTGGGAGACAAGAAAACTCAAGCGCTGGTCCCAGCCGTGCTATGGCTGGATGACTCGTGGTACCTGTTTCTCTGCTGAGTCAACACAGCTGACCCTGATGCAAAATGGCGACTAAAATAAAACAGATGACACTCCAACAACAGATGTGGCAGATGCCGGGGTGGCCCCCCAACAGGGCCCGCGCCTCCTCAAACTCTCCTTCACTGCCATTGGCAGGAGGGTTTATCTCCACCTTCCCCCACACTTCCGGGCTCACCTGTGGCATGCGGTTTCTTGCCAGGATTTATCTTCCTTACTGCAACATCCAGGTCATCATGATGACCCCGGCCCTGCTAGACTCTGGCAGAACTTCAGCATCCACACCCCATTTGTGCAACCACTGTAGAGTGCCAGGCCAGCTCCGAAATGCCAAGCAGGTGCCCTTCCCCTAAGGCCCCTTCTTCTTCCCTGACACCCCTGGCTGTCCCCACCACCACCCTCTGCTGGGAACTTGTCACTCAACAAGAGCTGCTGTGTCTCCAGCCCTCGCCTTTGATTCTCCACCAGATGCCTGAGGGATCACAGCCCATCACAGTCACTCTCCCAAGGGTGCTCCCTCCCCCACCCCTTCTCCCGGACCTGCCCGGCTCCCTGTCATTTGCCCCATCACTCTGCCTGCTCCCCACTTCCAGCATGAGGTGCCACCCACTCCTTGGGGCCCTGTCCCTCCCCGGTTCACTCACAGGTGCCCACGTGGCAGGTGCTTGCCTCCCAGTCTCTCCAGGTTCCTGCTCTCACCTGGATTCTCGGGGGCGCCTTCAGCTCCGTCTGCACTCAGGAGACGCAACACATGATCTCCTCCCCATGGGGTGGCCGCCTCACTGCCGTCCCTGGCCCCATCCATGCAGAGGACAAGGACAAGGGGCTGTGAGGTCATCAGGATGTCTCCCCTGCAGAACCCCCAGCCTTCCTTTTCCTTCACTTCCAGGCCTAAACTTGGGAGCCAGACAGACGGGGGCTTGAATTTGGCCAGAGACTGGCTCTGTGACTGTGGACTAGCTGCCCAGCCTCTCAGAGGCTTGGATTTTCTTCAGCATGAACATTTACACTACCTCCACCACCGCTGCCAGCTGGGCACTCATGCCGTGCCTCCCGCTGTGCGGCTCGGTGGACCCAGGCCCCCAAGTCACCCACCTGCCAAGTCCACCAAGACTTCCTTCCCAATGCCCACGCCAGGCAGGTCTTATGTTCACTTGCTTTTCAGATGGAGAAACTGAGGCTCTATGAGGGTGTGTCTTCCACTAGAGACAAGTGGCAGAAACCAGACCCAGACCCCGCAGCCGCCTCGCAGGAATGGGAGGACCAGGGATGGGCCGGGGAGACCACTGGCTGCTGGGGCTCAACATGCAGTGGCCGCTGGGGCCTTATGCCTGTCTACCCTGGGGAAAACCCATGTGGCCCTGAAGCTGGCACTAGCTAAGCTCTCCTTGGCCCCCGTAGGCTCCTCTTACCTGCCATGCGAAAGCTGGTTTCTGTCCTCACCGCCCTTCCAAGCCACCTCCTCCCAAGCCCCCTCACTCCAGTGGCTGGCCAGCCTTGCCTTTCTTCATTTGCTGAATCTGCAAATCCTGACTGTCTCTCCCCTGGCACCCGGCTCCTCCCTTAGTGACCTCTGGGAGCACTGCGTCGCCAGCTCTTTTCACACCCCAGGATCTGCTCCAGCGGCAGCCCTGCTCCTTCCAGGTCTCACGACAAGGCGCTTCCCTTCACCCTCGGCTTGCCTGGCATCACAGCTCAAGCGGAACGTGTGTAAAATCAAGTGCAATGCCTCCATCTTCTCCACTGCTGGTCCCCACTCCAAGAGTCCCTGTGGATTCGCGTTTCACTGAGGCTCGAAACCCCGGAGGCCCCAGGCCCTCAGCTGCTCTCTGGTCCTGCACTGGGGCCAGCCAGGCCTCCCAAAGATGCCTCTTCCCACCTCCTCTGCGGCACCCTGCAGCCAGGCCTGCCAGGCGTCCAGACAGCATTCTCGGGCCAGGCCCTTCTGCCCTGGCTCACGCTACACAGGCTGATGGCTCTTAACACACAGCTGGGCCCCCAAACATACAAGGTTCTCCACTGATCATTGTGGTGGTTTTCCATTACTTTTTAGCTACTCAAACAAAATCTTATGCAGGACAAAGGAAAGCAAAACTCCTCTGGCTGGAGGAGTGAGGGCCAAGAGCCCAGTGGCTCTCCGACTGCCTGCGTAGAAGCTGTGTCCACGCCCCTCGGGTCTCGAGAATCGCTCCGTGGAAGCCACCTCGCCAGTCGGGAGGATGCTCTGCACGTGATGGACTGTCCAGCCCTGATTGACGGGGCACGTGGAAGCCACCTCGCCAGTCGGGAGGATGCTCTGCACGTGACGGACTGTCCAGCCCTGATTGACGGGGCACGTGGAAGCCACCTCGCCAGTCGGGAGGATGCTCTGCACGTGACGGACTGTCCAGCACAGGATGACAGCTGAGATCTTCCTCTAAATTTCTTTGGTGCTCAACGAATCCCTTACTTTCTTTTTCTTTTATTACCCGCCATTGTTCCACTGTTAATTTTCTGTGTAGCTAGATAAATTCCCATGGATAATGACTTGTTTTCCTTGACATAAATCAATCTCACAGCTCCCGGCAGCTCGTTAAGCACATGGTGTGATCTCCACAGTCCACAGGCCTGGGCCATGTCACTTCCCCACTTAAAAAACAGCTGCTCCCACTGATGCCGATGGCTGTCTGCTGCCTGTGGACACGGGGCTGGGCCCTTGGCAGGAAAAAGCGCGGTACAGGGACAGTCCCAGCTGGTACGCACAGGGACTGGGCCAGTGTTCAGATGAGGCCTTTCTCTGTTCTGGGTGGCCCTGTAGCACAGCTGAGCTACAGAGTCTGGCCACCTCCGAGTTGGAGTGGCAGCTCTCTCTCCACGGGGCCTGCAGAGGCTGGGCCACCTCTGAGTTGGAGCGACAGCTCTCTCTCTATGGGGCCAGCAGAGCCTGGGCCAGGTGTACATCAGGTCCAGCTTCTGTCCTGGCCTCTGCCAGGTGTTACATCCAACAAACCTTGTGCACCCCTAACTGCCTAGTGTCTGCTCCCCAGCACAGTCACGCGGCTGCCATGGTGGAGGCTGAGTAACTCAAGCATGTTTACCTTCCTGGTGCTATTTTCTGTTCCTCCCCATCTTTCTATTTCACCAAATACATCGCTTTCCAGCCATGTCAGACTTGTCATTCTCAAACATCCTGTGTGCTCTGCTCAGACCACCCTCCTGTCTTCTTGGCTTAGGGGACACCTATGGATCCTTTATCATTTGGCTCAAGTCCGGCCTCCTCTCAGGACACTCCCCTGGGGTCTCTCCCACACCAACCCAGGGGTTCCCTGCTTGGGGCTGCTCCTTTGATGCCTGCCCAGAGAGCTGTGAATGTCTCTGAGACACTGTTGCCTAGGCTGTGTCTAAGCTGAGGCTTGGAGCGCTCTGAAAGTGAGGACTACATTCTTTCTTCATCTTGCTGTTACGATGCTTAGCGTGAAAGTCGAATACAGAACAGATGCCGTGTACATATTTGATGGCATGAAACGTTGAATACAGAACAGGTGCCGCATACATACGATGAGCCAATGGGTGAATCCCCACTGAATGATTGTCAAACTGTATGTAAACAAAATGTTAAATGAAAAACTACGGTTTCCAAGAAATAGGACAAACTCACTAAAAGTACTCAAATGATGATAAAAAAGAAAACAAGATAATACAAATCATCCCAAATTCCATCATCTAAGAAGCTCGTGAAACGCTCTGGTGGCCATTCCCCTAGATTATCTCTTTGGGCACAAAATCAAAAAAATACCCAAGAATACACTTAGACAAAAGTCTGGAAGGGTATACACAAAGTGTTAATAATGGTTATCCCGGCATGCTGGAGAAAATGGATGATTTTAATTCTTTTTGCTTATGTGCTTAATAATCTACACGGAAAACATACAATTTACGTATTAAAGGAAAACAAAACTTTTCCCCCCTTTTTTTAAATAAGAAGGAGGCTACAGCAAGTTTCCTGAAAAGGGAAGATATTTCAAAACTGTCTTATGAAAAAAAAATTTTTTTGAGATGAGGTCTCCCTGTCACACAGGTTGAAGTGCACAGGCTTGATCTCAGCTCACTGCAACTTCCACCTCCCAGCCTCAAGCGATCCTCCCACCTCAGCCTCAGCCTCCCAAGTAGCTGGGACCACAGGCACATGCCACCACACGTAGCTAATTTTTTGTATTTTTGGTAGAGATGGGGTTTTACCATGTTGCCCAGGCTGGTCTCACACTCCTGAGCTCGGGTGATCCACCTGCCTCGGCCTCCCAAACTGCTGGGATTACAGGCATAAGCCACCGTACCGAGTCAAAACTGTATGATTTTAAAAATTTATATCATCTCAGATTAAATTCAGTTAAAGAAGGACACGCACTTAAATTTAAATGACTACTATGAAAATGACGGTGTAGAGAAGCTTGGGCTGGTTCACTTACTTACTGCAAATAATTAATTACTTACAAAGGTTCCATGCCAAGGTCAGGGGAGGTGAACTGAGCAATTTCTTTTTTGAAATAATTCTTTTGAAAATCCAGGTCAGTGCATAATGGCTAGGTTGCTAGTAAGAGGGAAGCTATATATGTCTATCTCAGACCAGTGGTTCTCCACAGTGGGGGCTGGAGTAACAGGAGAGTTACTGAAAGCAATCTGAGCAGGTGCAAAAGCGTGATGAGTTCATCCAGCTTCTCAATGAACGCTGCATTGAAACCTTACACATAAAGCACACACACATGTCGGTCATTGTAAAAATACAACTCTTTGGGGAAAGAAAACAATTCGAAGTGAAGATCAGGAAATAATGCACCAGGTGATAACTTTTCGTGAAACCAGTGAAAATACTTTTTCTTAAGCTAATATTGCTCTGAACCAAGGAAACGTGCATTCCTGTGATATTCTCGTCCAGCCTCTCTTTATTTAAAATGATGTACAATTCAGCGCTCTGTAACATTACCTGATGTTCTCACTACACAGTGCCCAATATTATAGCCATTTACAGACTTTGAGTGATCATAATTAAAGTCCATTTTAGCGTGCATAAAACCCATGGTTTACAAATTATAATACACGATATTGGTCTGAATAGTTTGCAACTTAAAGGTAGAGGAGCGGCCTCTCTGTCAGCTGGGCTGCAGTGCTATAGTCTGGAGGGCAGAGGGACAGGAACGGGAACAAGAGAGCCACATAGAGTCCCAGCTGGACATGGAAGGCTGGGGACGTGGGTCCAACTCTGTGCCTGCGGACCCTCACGTGCAGCCACTGGGCATTATCTAAAAAGCTGAGCCCACCAGATTCCAAATCACGTGCACAAATCTGGGGGCGTGTGGTTCCCACAGGTTTAGGGTTTTGAGAACAGCACGGGCTCCCTTGCGGGTAACGGCAGATGAGGTGATTCAGACCATTCTCACCTGGAGAACAGCTAGAAAGGCTGTGTGTATGTTCGGGAATATTTTAGAAGCAAGGAAAGGCAGCCAGGCTATGAGAAATTATGGGGCCAAGACTCGAGGAGGGGAAGCCAGGGGTTGAGCTTTCGTTTGGGGCCACCTCTCTTGGAAGCATCTGGCAACTCCAAAAAAGGGACCCAGCAGCAGGGACGCTGAGTAGATCACGGCAGGCTCATGGGGCTGGGGAACAACAGCAGGAGGTGATGCACTGCCAAGGAGAAGCAGATCTGGGGAAACTCCTCAGTTGTTGAGCTGAGACTCTAAAAGGCGCGTAGGAGGAAAAAGAAACTCAAAACAATTCAGACTTCACAGCCTCAAATCACCCCAAATACCTGTACAATTTCCGTTTTCAATTTGTAGCATTCAATTAAAAAAAAAAACAGGTAATTACTGGAAAACTGTATATATGTTTGAAACCAAGAAAAGCAGCTGACAAGACAGAGATAGAGGATTTGGATAATGGAGCCGCCAGGCACAGACTTGACAATCATCTTACTTAATATGTATAAGGAATTAAAGGACAAAGTGAACAATTTTGGAAGAAAACTAGAAGCTATTCTTTTTAAACCCTGGAAATTAAAAATTTAGTATATTAAGAAATCAAGGGCTGGGCACAGTGGCTCATGCCTGTAATCCCAGCACCTGGAGGAGGCCCCAGGTAGGGCTGAGGTTGAGGCCTTGTTCGAGAGGGTGTGGCTGTGTCCCGTGGGTACAGTGAGGTCGAGGCCTTGTTAAAGAGGCTGTGGCTGTGTCCCACGGGTGGAGTGAGGTTTAAGCCTTGTTGGAGAGGGCGTGGCTGTGTCCTGTGGGTACAGTGAGGTTGAGGCCTTGTTGGAGAGGGCGTGGCTGTGTCCCGTGGGTACAGTGAGGTTGAGGCCTTGTTGGAGAGGCTGTGGCTGTGTCCCACCGGTGGAGTGAGGTTTAGGCCTTGTTAGAGAGGGTGTGGTTGTGTCCCTTGGGTAGAGTGAGGTTGAGGCCTTGTTGGAGAGAGGCGGTGTCCCTTGGGTAGAGTGAGGTTTAGGCCTTGTTGGAGAGGGCGTGGCTGTGTCCCGTGGGTACAGTGAGGTTGAGGCCTTGTTGGAGAGGGCGTGGCTGTGTCCCGTGGGTACAGTGAGGTTTAGGCCTTGTTGGAGAGGGCGTGGCTATGTTCTGTGGATAGAGTGAGGTTTAGGCCTTGTTGGAGAGGGCGTGGCTGTCTCCCACAGGTAGAGAAGAACACATGTGAGATGATCTTCAATGAAATGCAAGTAAAATCCCGCAATCTATCCAAGGGTAATATACCATGACCAGCTGGGGTTTACCACAGGGATGCAAGACTGTTTAACATCTGAACATCATTCATGTGATGCACCATCTGAACAGGGTGAACAGCTGTACGATCCCCTCCACAGACACAGAGGAAGCCGCTGACGAATTCCAACAAGAACTCACGAGAAAAACTCTCAGAAAACTAGGTCTAGAAGCGCACTTCCTCAACCTGATAATGGGTATCTATGAAAAATTCACAGCACATATTATACTTAGTAGATTTAGATAAAATGTTCCCTGTCATTGATCCTTGACTCAGATCAGGGCTTCAACACCCAGCTGTATTGCGTCCATTTAACATTATACTGGAGACATTACGCAGTGCAACAAAGCAAGAAAAAGAAATTAAAGACATAAACATCGGAAATAAAGAAGTCAAACTGTATGTATTTTCAGATGACATAATTACACACATAGAGGATCTTAAGAAACCTTTCAAACAGCTCCCAGAGCCAATAAGTGAATGTAGCAAAGTTAGAGGAAATGAGGTCACTATGCAAAAATCAATTACATTTCTATATGCTGTCTTAAATAATTTTTAAACTGACATTAATTTAACAAAATATTTGCAAGATATGTACAGATAAAGCTCCAAGGCACCAAGACAACTAAATCAGTATGTGATGATTATGGAAGATGAAGCCACTATGTGCATGGGTCAGAAGACTCCATATTACTAGGATGGTAATTCTCCTCAAATTCATCTAGATTTAATGTAATTCCAGTCAAAATCTCAGCAGGCTTCTCGTTAGAACTGATAAACTGATTTTTAAATTCATATGAAATGCAAGGATCTAGAGTAGCCAAAACCATTTTGACAAAACAAAACAAAACAAAACAAAACAAAAACAGAGACTTACAATAAAGCTACCGTGATCAAGGTAATGTGGTATTCCTATCTTTATGCCAATAAAGATAGACACACAGATCAAGAGAATAGAATAGAACTATACAGTTATAGTCAAATGATTTTTGTCAAAGGCACCAAGGAAATTCAATGACAAAAAGATAGCCTCTTCCACAAACAGTGCTGGAACAATTTGGTATCTATATGGAAAATAATGATCCTTGACTCTTGACTATATTAAAAAACAACTTGAAACGGATCGCAGACTTAAAAGTTAATCATAGTTCACTAAGTTCATCATAAACATGAAAGTTAAAACTAAAAGTTTTAGAAAAAAATAGAAAATCTTCACAACCCGAGGGTTGGCAAAGATTTCTTAGGTAGGACACAGAAAGTACAAATCATAAAATAAATAAATGATGAAATCGGACTTCATCAAAATGAAAAACTTCTGTTCTTCAAAAGACTGTTTTATTTATTTATTTATTTATTTATTTATTTATTTATTTATTTATTTTGAGATGGAGTCTCGCTCTGTTGTCTAGGTTGAAGTGCAGTGTCACGATCTCAGCTCACTGCTGGACGGACTCAACGTCCGCCTCCCGGGTTCAAGCGATTCTCCTGCCTCAGCCTCCCGAGTAGCTGGGAGTACAGGTGTGTGACACCACACCCAGCTAATTTTTGTATTTTTATTAGAGACGGGCTTTCACCGTGTTAGCTAGGATGGTCTCGATCTCCTGACCTTGTGATCTGCCCACCTCGACCTCCCAAAGTGTTGGGATTACAGACGTGAGCCACCACACCTGGCCTAGACTGTTTTAGAAATAAAAACACAAGCCACAGACTTAGCAAAAATGTTCACAATGTATAGATAGGACAAAGACTTGTGTCCAAAACACATGAAGGGCTCTTGAAGACAAACACCACAATTTGAAAATTGGCAAGAGACTTGAACATCCATTTTATTAAAGAATATAAATTAATGGCCAATAGCAGCATAGGAAAAGCTGCTCTGTCATCATTAGGCAAATGTAAATTAAAATAATAATGATATTGTGTTATACTTCGGTAAGATGGCCGGACGCGGTAGCTCACGCCTGTAATCCCGGCACTTGGGTGGCCGAGGTGGGTGGATCACTTAAGTCAGGAGTTCGAGATCAGCCTGGGCAACATGGTGAAACCCCATCTCTACTAAAAATACAAAAAATCAGCTGGGCGTGGTGGCGCCCGCCTGTAATCCCACTTACTCAACAGGCTAAGGCACGAGAATTGCAGGAACCCGGGAGGCGGAGGTTGCAGTGAGCTGAGACTGTGCCACTGCACTGCAGCCTGGACAAGAAAGTGAGACGCCATCTCAAAAAATAAAATAAAAAAAACCCCGAAAAGGCAGAATGCCAAGTGTCGACATGGATGCGCCACAACTGGCACGCTGTTGTTACTGGCAGGAACTCAGGTCAGCAAACCACTTTGGAAAACAGTTGGACAATTTCTTATAAAGTTAAACACACACCTACCATATGACCAAGCAATTCACTCTCCGGTATTTATCCAGGAGAAATGAATATATATGCCCACACAAAGACTTGCACATGAATGTTTACAGCAGCTTTGTTCATAACAGTCAGGACAGGAACAATTCAAACGCGCATCAACAGGTGAAACAAACTGTGACACACAGGGTGACGGGCTGTTACTTATAATGAACAGGAACACACTACTGATACTCCCAACAAGGAGACATCTCAAAGGCATGATTCTGAGCCAAGGAAGAGACAGAAAAGAGCACATACTTTATCATTCTGTTTACAGAAAGTTCTGGAAACATCAAATCGAATGTATAGTGAGAAAACCCAGATCAATGGTTGCCTGGGCTTGAGGGATAAGGAGAGGGATTAACTGGGACAGGTACAAGGGGACACACGGGATATACGCTGACTGTGGTGTGGCTCCACGGGCACAGTGGTCTGTCAAACTCATCAGTTGTACAGCTCAAGTGGGTATATTTTATTGAATGCACCTCAAGAACGCTGATTTGAAAACGTGAAAACAAAGGAGAAATGATGGCATTTTCAAACAAATAAAAATGAGAACTTTTTCCCAGCAGATCTGTACTAAAGGGTACTCTGTTTTTGTTTCTTTTAGCAGATGGGGTCTTGCTCTGTCACCCAAGCTGGAGTGCAGTGGTGCATCACGAGCCACTGCAGCCACAACCACTGGGACTCAAGTGATCCTCCCACCTCAGCCTCCCAAGCAGCTGGGACTACAGGGGCATGTCACCAGGCCCAGCTGATTTTAATTTTTTCTGTAGAGCTGGGGTCTTGCTATGTTGCTCAGGCTGGTCTTGAACTCTTGGTCTCAAGCAATTCTCATGCCTCAGCCTCCCAAAGTGTTGAGATTACAGGTGCACACCATCATGCCTAACTTTTTTTTTTTGGTAGAGATAGGGTCTTATCATGTTGCCCAGGCTGGTCTTGAACTCCTGGCCTCAAGTGATCCTCCTGCCTCAGCTTTCCAAAGCATTAAGATTACAGGCATGAGCCACTGTGCCAGGCTTAGATTAGTTTTTAGCAGGATGCACGTTATAGTTTCTAAAGCAGGTCACCAAAACTATGGCCCAAGGACCACATCCAGCCAGGAGCATGTTTTCTTAAGGCCCCCAGGCTAAGAATGGTTTTTACATTTTTAAAGAGTTGTAACAATGGGAAGACTATGAGACAGAGACCTTACATGGCCTGCAAAGTCTAAGGCATATACTATCTGGCAGTTAATGGAAAAAACAGGATGCTCAAAGTATAGTAAAGAATATAAAATTAACAAGCCAACAGAAGAGAAGAAAGGTGTAATAAAATTGCTAAATCAACTCAAAAGATGGTAAGGGAGGAGAAAAAAGAAAAGTTAAAAAAAAAAGGGGCTTGGCCGGGCACAGTGGCTCATGCCTGTAACCCCAGCCCTTTGGGAAGCCAAGGTGGGCGGATCACCTGAGGTCAGGAGTTCAAGACCAGCCTGGCCAACATGGTGAAACCCTGTCTGTACTAAAAATACAAAAAATTAGCCAGGTGTGGTGGTGTGTGCCTGTAATCCCAGCTACTTGGAAGTCTGACGCAGGAGAATCACTTGAACCTGGGAGGTGGAGGTTGCAGTGAGCTTGAGATCGTGCTATTGCACTCCAGCCTAGGCCACAAGAGTGAGACTCCGTTCCCCCCGCTCCAAAAAAAAGGGTGGTGGGGTGGCTAGAATAAAAAGCAACAGGAAAAAAAAAGGATGAAGCAAGTAGGAGGCAGACTTAAACCCAAATATATCAATTACTACACTAAATGTAAACAAACTAAATACTTTAATTAAAACCAAAAATGTTCTGTCTCTATTTTAAAACAAAACTAAATAAAAGCTAACTATATTGCCAAAAAGAGATCTACCTTATATACATATGGATAAAAAAGATGCATTCTGCAAACACTAACCAAGAGACAGTTGTTCAGCTACGATACTTTAAAAATGTGGACTCTAAGGCAAAAGGCATTACCAGAGATAAAGGGTGACATATCTTGATGATAAAAGGTTTGCTTCATTCTCCCAAGAAGGGTGAGTTGGTACGGTTAATCTGGCCTTCTTCAGTTCTGAGGGTTAATGCATGTGGTCAAAAGGGAAATGAGTTTTTAATTTAAAGTAAAATGTAAAAACTTGTCAAAATTATTTCTTCAACAAGAAAAGAAGAGGCTGTTAAGATATATGTATAAGCAAAAGAGAATTTAAAAAAAAGAAAAAATCAAAGAAAAAAGATATACGTATAAGCAATATTCCTAATTAAAAATGGGACAGATTATAGGAAACCATAATATGGCACAAGGCTGATGATGGTAGAGCAGGGATTTGGGGCAAGGTTGTTCTTGGAAAACGACTAAGTATTCACAACACTGATGGTAACTAAAGTATAGGCAATTAAGGTGGTCAGTGTGTCTAGGTCCCCAATTAACATAAGAGTAGAGATCATTTAAATAAGAAGCTTTCCAACTTGTTTGATCATGAGCCCTAGGAATATTTTTGGTGACCAGACAAACACACATACACAACCACATATAAAGATACATATTCACAGGTTCGTACCCTGTCCATGCCTCCAAACAACAGAAACAAAAAAGCAAACCAAAAAAGAGATACATGTTCAAGCAACAGGACCACGGAACACTTATCTTACTATGAAAACAATGACATTTTCTTCTTTTTTAAAATGCTGGCTGTGACCCACCTAACTGGTTTCATAGCCACTAATCAACCATGACTTGAACTTTGAAAAACATTGACTTAAAGGAAGCAGTTGTTAATTTCTCCAGGAGGATATACTGGCTCAGGGTTACCGAAATGGTTTGGAGTGAACATGGCACCCGAGAGACAATAGAAACTAGAAAGTTCCATAATTCCACCCCTGCATAAGCTGACTGGCTTTTTAAAAACCACCAGAGGCGGCTTGTTTTTTAATGATTTTTAAAAATCTCTGCTCGGTTTCTAAATCACATGGTTCATATGCACAGTGCTGCCATCTCTTTGGATCCTGTCCTTCCGTATTTAATGGTTCCCCTAGTACAGACTTCTGCTCATCTTTACTTGTGAAGTAAATGTAGGGTTGAACTCGGGAGGAAGTTTCCCTGACTTAACAGTAAGCAGAGTTAATATTACAGGAGATAATTCACCTTTTACCTGACTTACTATAGAACGACAAATTATTGCCCCTTCCTGGAGTCAGTCAACAACAACAATGGACAGGAATGGCCACTCTGGAGGCTGCAAACAAAAACCACAGGGAGAGATGGGGCCACAGCGAGGCGAGGGGTAATTCCCCATTTTCTTATTCAACATGTTGATGACATAATGAAAAGCAGATTCTTTTTTATTAAACAGGCAGATTCCAAAGCCCATCAGAAAGACATCTGAGCCCATGTTTATTTTTGAAGCACTTCTGCAAAACAGATTTTCTGTGGGCTTCCCGGTGTCAGGGCCGACCTTCAGACAGACCTTTCCTGAGAGGCAGCTGCAGGAGTCACATGGGAGAAGCCACCTCCAAGCAGAGTCTCCTGAGAAGCTGCTGAAAGGCCTGCCACATCGAGAAAAGCAGCTCCTAAAATAAGGGGAAGCAGGACGGGCTCCAGCAGAGCCGGGGTTGGGGAGCACTTCCCTCCGGAGGCACTGGCCGCCTCCAGGCTGTCTCCAGACGCCACTCTCACCTGCACGCTGCATCTCATCAGGGAGCTTCTCTGCAAAAATCTGGCCTAAAGAGGGTGGGAGGGGAGGAGGGTGAGCTTCCAGGATGGGGCGTGGAGCTCTCCTGCTGTGGAAGTATCTTCAACGAACACTCCACGGTTCTGACAGAGATTGCCACCACCTTCCCCCGACTGTCCTGAGCTCATCTGGATCTTTCTGTCTCTGAAAAGATGCTGAAATCCCAGAGTCACTTCCTAGCCTGGTTGTAAATTGTGTCTTCCTGTGAATTTGTTAAAACACCCTAGGAAAGACAGTTTCCAAATACAGGCAGCCTTGTGTGGTTATGCCTGATTTCTGGGATAATCCTCTGAGGTTTTCCTGGTGGGCATGCATCACACAGAAGGTCAGCACTCCTCCTACCACTGGGCACCCGGGGCTTGGGTCAAAATAACCGGTCTCTCCTCCCATGCTGTACACATCCCCTCATTTTGTCAGGTCCACATGGAACCCGCCCTTTGAGACCAGGCATCTTGATGCAGAAAACTCATGCCACTTTCCTCAGAATCGCACTCACAAACACGCAGAGGGACGTGAAGGGATGGACGTCCTTCCACACGCCAGCCGATGCAGAGTTGGGGGTGGCATCACACAGACCCGGCTCTGTCCTCCAGGCTCGGCCACTCCTAGCTGTGCGACTTTGGGCAGGTGAGTTAACCTCTCTGAGACTCAGTCACTTCATCTAGAAAATGAAGGAAACACCTTCGCGTGGGCCTGGAGCTGTCTTCGGGGCTTGCTGCTGTCCTCCCTGGGACGGGGCGGGACAGGATGCCTTTGTCTCTGTAGATCTATGTTTTGCTTTAGGGAAACAGAAGGCAGGAAAGGAGCTCTCTTGCACTTGCTTCTTAATTGTCTTCAGCCCAACAATTCTTCATATTTCGGGGAGGCACATTCTGGTCTCCAGAAACAGCTAGAAGACACAGCAGCTACACACGCAGCCACACTAAATCTGTTTGGGTCATCATCCATGGAAATAATCGTAGAGATCTCTTAGCCTCTTCTAGCAAAAGGAGTGCTCGCCCGCCTTCTCAGGTGAGAACACCACGGCCCTCCTGCTGGCCGTCAGTCGCCCCCACCCCCTCTGCAAACGGAGCCACTAGTCAGGCTTGTGCCACTGCCCCTTCTGCGGCCACTGCGGGTCACGCCACTGATTCATGGAGCAAAATGTCCTCTGTAGGTAGCCATCAAGCTCCTAAGTGCCTCAGTTTCCCCATCTGATGCAGTGGTCTGAGTCAGACTCACACAGGCCCCTGTAGACCCATTAAGTGCTGCCAGGTTAGCGGTGTTAATTATAAATACTGAAGCTACATATGCCTCTTTCAAAGAAGGCCCTTGCCACACAGCCCAAGCTCGTGCCTGGCTCAGAGGCTGTGGGGCTCCCCGTCTGGAACGCTGCCCCTGGTCCCGGCATGGCTGCTCCCGTCTGGCCAGGTGGTCTCAGTTCCAGTGTTGCCTCTTCATGGGCCTCATCAGGCTGCCCAATCAAAGAAGCATCCAGGCACTCTTGTGTGCGATCACATGGCTCTCCTGGTACATTCACACTCCTCTTATGTGCGTTTCTTCCCCTGATCAGGATGTAAGTTAACGAGCAAGGACTTGGCTCCAGAGCCTCGGACAGGCCCTAGCACACAGCCAGTCCGCAGCAGATGTCTGCTGAATGAACGGTGAATGAACAAACGTGCTGAGAAACACACGCGGGGTCTGAAAAGTGCGCTCGAGCCTGGAACCCGAGGCCCCGCTGACGAGCTGGCCACTCACGCAAAACATACTGGCATCGAGGTCAGAAGACAACACACGCACATCAGAACGGGGAGGCCTTTCTCTGAAGGGCCACAGGGCACAGCGACCAGGCTCTGACAGAGGGGACTGTGCAGCACGGAGCAGCAAACTGAGAAGCCAGCAGCGGCGGCTGGGGGCAGACACAGCAGGACGGGTGGGGGCGGACACAGGCTCCGCCACCGACAGGGGACCCTCGTGTGACTCTCTGTGACCCTGAGCAAGTCTCTCCACCTCCCTTGCCTCGGTTTCCAGAAGTTTAAATGGAGATGGCCTCAGAGGCTGCTCGCCGGGTGGCTGTGATGAGCACCGGAAAAGCCACCACACACCCGGGGTCCCCGGTTATGCTGGCGCCTCACGCCACACTGCTTTATCACCGATTGCAAGTCTGCAGCCACGCACATAGGAACAACGGCAGGGCACTGAATCCTGCAGGATAAACAGATCCAAGGAGGCACCCCTGCCAGAGGAGGCACTCCAGGCACCCCACCAGAACCAGGGGTTGTGAGGAACCGAAGGGCCGTGCGGGCAATGGAGCTGGAGCAACAGACTCTCAGGGAAGGTTAAGGAGAAATGGCAGACTGGACGGAGGGAGGTGCACCTGCTGAACTACGATGCGTCTAGAGAAGAGGCATCAATGGGGGCTGAGCCTCATCCCGGTTATGCGACCGCAGTGACGTGTGCCTCCATAGGTACTGAGCCGTCTGAGATGACTCCTACACAAGAGCAAAGGCCAACATCAGAAAGGACGGCCAAGGGGCACTGACCAGGCACACGCTCAGCCTCACTGCGGCCTCTTCCTCGCTCTGCACCTGGGAGCCTGCCTTCAAGGAACGGAAGCTGCCCTCCAATCAAGCTGTGCTCCTGCATCTCCGCAGAGCGAGGGCTTCCTTTAGAGATATCCAGACACATGCATTTTCTTTTCCTTTTCTTTTTTTTTTTTTGAGATGGAGTCTCACTCTGTCGCCAGGCTGGAGTGCAGTAGCATGACCTCAGCTCACTCACTGCAACCTCCGCTTCCTGGGTTCAAGCGATTCTTCTGCCTCAGCCTCCCAAGTAGCTGGGACTACAGGTACACGCCACCATGCCCAGCTAATTTTTGTATTTTTAGTAGAGACGGTTTCACCATGTTGGCCAGGATAGTCTCGATCTCTTGACCTCATGATCCGCCTGCCTCAGACTCCCAAAGTGTTGGGATTACAGGTGTGAGCCACTGCGCCCAGCCCACGTTTTCTTTAGGATGCTGGGAGGTGCAGAGCCGTGAGGAGGTGGAGCGAATGCCACAGATGTTACAGCTCCGTGCTCTGTGGCGCAGGCCTTTGTTTTGATGACAAATACCAGGGTTTGGGTACCACTGTGAAGGAAACGGAAGATCTCCGTGCTGTGTGCAGGTTCCCTGGGGTGGCCTCTGAACCTCTCACATTCCCCCTTGGCTGCACGTCTGCAATTTCATCTCAGAACCAAGCCTCCTCCACCCCTACCAATCCGGATGAGCTAAGGAGGCCTTGCTGGGGTGCACATCGAACACGAAGGGGACCCGGTGCCCGTCTTCCCTCTGCCCGTGGGGGGACCTTAATGAGAGGCGCCCGGGCATAAGGACCCCCGTGCAGCACCGTGCGCCCTGGCGTGGCGCGCACGGGAACGCTGAGGTGGCTGTGCTCGGGCAGGCAGGGGTGATCTGCTAGGTGGCGGCGGTCCCCCGTTTCCGCCAATCACTCACCTCCCCCTCGCTCGGCGATCTCTCGGGTTTTGCTTCCACCTCTTCATTTCTAAATCAGCGTCTAGTGCCTCGTTACTCATCTCAGCAGTGACTGGCAGACGTTAATGAATTACTGATTTTCACCTTTACCAGCCAATATTGTATATTTATGTTGGAAAGAAAGGTATTTTTTGAATCAAGACTGGGATCTTTTGATAGTTTTCCTTTCAAACATAATCCATGTGTATGACTTCCCTCGATGAAGTGAATTCTAATCACAGCCGCTGTGCCTCTGACACGAGTGCTGCCCCCCCAAACCCTGTGCAGACCTTCTAGAGGTCTGGGCTCCTGTTGAGGAGCCCGTGCTCTGTTCACACAGCCCATGCCGAGGGGAAGGAGATGCAGGCTCCAGGGAGGCTGCCAGCAAATCCCTGTCCCAGCTTGTCCTAATGGTGTGGTGCTTGGCAGGCCCTGTGCTTGCTGGGTGCCTCAGTTTCCCCATCTTTTAAAAGGTAGATAACAACAGCACCCACCCTTGAAGGGCTCCAGGGAGGACTTACAGGTAATGTTTGTAAAGGCCTCAGCACGATGCCTGGCACCATGGGGGCTCAGTAAATGCTTCCTACGGTCACTATCATTCCCCAGGAAGCACGGATAGCCACGTGCTCTCAAGCAGCAGCTCCCAGGTCTCCTTACATTTTCTGCACTGCATCCCCAGGCTCAGATGAGACGGAAGTCCCACAGATGGGAACCAGAGATCAGCTAACACAATGCTGAAGGTTTCAGAGCCAGAGTCAAACCCAAGCTCCAGGGCTGTGGGGCTGCAGCCCCGCACCTGCTGTCCCTGGGCCACACGGGGCAGCCGTGCTACCAGAGCCTCGGAAGCAGCAGCACACAGAGACTCACTTATTCACGACAATGGATTGTTAGCGGTTTAAAATATGCTGTGTACACAATCAATGTTAATCACGAGTAAGTTCTGGGTACGCTTTGAGCCTCCAGTGATCAGAATACTAACTAGCAGCCTCGTGGAACAGGTTCACATCTCTCAGGTTCCCCGGAGCTTTCTGAAAACCCTAATATTTCTAGCACTGTTTAAGTGTTGCATTACTTTGTTTCAGGGCTGAAAAATGTCCCTTAATTTCCAGGCACGGATCTTATTGCCACTCTCTCAAAGGATTCAGAATATAAATATGTACTGCAGCAGCAACAGCTTATTCATCAGGCTGCTAGGTTAGCATAGATAATTAGAAACTGGGGGGGTCGCTCGAGGAAGGTTCACTATAATTTACTTCCAGACACAGCAGCTTAATTAGAAAACAGATTCCTCTCCTAGTTTTAAAGACTGCTAAATAATTATGCACAAACTGCCCGATCTTCTCTCCAGTCTTGTGCTGAGATGCTAAACAACGTGTTTTGCCCATCTGACAAGGACGGCGAAAGCTCGGAAGGGGTTAATACTGGATTTCCTGAGGAGCCTTGATTTTGAGTGCTGCTGTTTGAAATAAACCGCATTTATTTTGGAAGACATATCGTGCAGCAGTTCTGAGGAACGAAACCTCCCCACGTCTCCAGTGCCGACAAAGACGAGGATAATGATATGACTCGGGTTGGATTTCTGACCGTCTGGGGGCAGCAGGGACGCTATGCCATGAAACTGCCATTGAGCTGGTGAGGAGGCCAGGTCGCAAAAGCCAAGCCTTCCAGAGGGCATGAAAGTGGTGCTGTGCCACACTCAGCCCCCAAACCCCAGACAGCGGGGTCCTGAGGCTCTCGGCCAGGGGGCCACCTGCCGTGCACTTACCCAACACGGACCCCTAGAGAGCTCTGGCCTGGCAGACCTGGCACACCAAGGGCCAGCTGTTGTAGGATGAGGGTACATCCTCTCAGATGGCAGCGGGCAAGGACACATGGGCATGGGGCAGGTGCCTACCATGCAGGTCTGTGCGTGACAAACACACCTGCCCATCTGTCACGTTATGTGCCGATCACCACCTGGCACCTGCAGCCTGCACTCAGGACCATCCTTCACACGCTCCCAACGAGGGTCGCCGGGGAGGGAAGGGGTGTGCAGGGCGGCCGCTGGGGAGGGAAGGGGTGTGCAGGGCGGCCGCCAGGGAGGGGAGGGGTGTGCAGAGCGTGAGGCAGACCTGGTTTTACTTCCTGCAGGTCATGAAGCTTGACGGAAACAAAAAGCCCGAGAACACAGGCCCGTTATTCTCCTTGCGTCACGTGACTCGTCACACTAGTCAGGTGGGACCCAGGAACCAACGTCGTCCTCACACTTAGTGGCAAGAGAGGTATTCTCAAGGGCAAGAAATTTCCATGTGGTGAGTTGAGACAAAAGAATGAAACAGCTAAACTAGGTCTTCAGACTCCCTAAAAAGCTGGCAAAAGCTAAAAGCAGATCAAGTCCAGCCCCAGCTAGTGTATGCGCAGGTACTGCAGACTCCCTGACATCTGCACATCCACACGATCTGTTCCGAATGTGCGTCACTCGAGATGTCACACACGTGTGTTCTAGGTGCTGTGTTGTGGTGGGGTTTCCACGCCCCCGGTCTACAGTCCTTAGGATTCTGTTTACAATAATGAACTGCTAAAACGTAAATGAAATCAGACTAAGCACGAGAGCCTGTTTCTGCCTGGTCTTAAAACTATAATTAAAAACAAGTTATCTCACCATTAACCTGGATCCAAGATCAGTTCATTTAACGAAGGCAGGGACGCCCAAGCAGGTTCTCTGGCTCTAGGTTCAAAGGTCATATCACGCTCGGGAGGGTCTTGGCAAAAAGGGCAGCAATGCAAACGCTTCCCCAGGGAGGTCATGCCGGCACAGATGTGAACGTGATGGATGACTGTGTACGTTTTAATGTAGGTGTGACTCAGGGAACCCAGAGTTCCATCTCAGGTGGACAGGAGGACAGTCATGGTGTGTAGGGACACGGGGGTGTCACCCAGACAACCGTGTGGCTCTCACCCAGCACCCACTGACAGCTCTGCCAATAATGCACAAACGTTTTTATTAAAATCTCTCAACTATTCAAAAATTTATATATTTTTAAATATTCCCTGGGTACTTATAAATAAATTTTTTAGACACACGTGCTGCCTGGAGGGAGGCAGTGCCTTGGCCCCCCCTTGGCTCAGCCCTGTGGCCAGGAAGGCCACTCAGGTGAATGCGCATCATAGGGTGTCGCTTCCAAGACCACACCCCTCCTGCTCCCACATGCGATGGGAGGAGTGGTGTTGGAGGAGCGCCATCCTGCTGACTCTGGAGCAGGGGTCAGGCGGTGACCCTCCAAATGTCAGCCCCGGAGTCTGGGAGGAACAATTCCCAAACCCCCTGAGGGACTGGTGTCCCAAGCAGGAGCAGGCAACTAACTTTTGATCACTGCATTTTAGGAAAGTGTTGAAAAAAACATACAAAAACTCAAAAGGTTTTGTGCATGTCAGATGCCTCCCTGGGAGGTGGCGTGGCCCTGCTGGCCACATGCTGTGACGCATGGGTGCCCTAACCGTGGTGTCCTTCTGTGTGGCATGGGCAAGGCGGCTCCAGAGGACATTCCACAGATGGTGGACACTGCTACGCTTCCAGCCCTGTAAGGAGGGAAGTTGGTTACAGGGTTTGCTTCCAGAAGGTAACCTCTGGGCTTCCATGTCAGAGAGGTGACTCCCTTGCCCGGGGCACATTGGTGACAGGCACAGCCTGGAATTGCTGGGAGCTCATCCTCAAGCACCCTGGTCCCAGCGTCAACTCAGGGCAAGGGACACACAAGAACATCACAAACATGGCTGACATGTTCAGTGAAGGGAAATAAGGGGGAACTCAGTCTTGGCTGCCTGGAACACAGGGGCCGCATTCATCAGTAGAGCTTGATGATGATCTGTTTGTCTCTCAACTGTACCGCACGGCTGCTTTCCGAGTGGATCTGTCTCCCCTGACACGTGGGCTAGCGTTACGGGAGTTAACATATGTTGGTGGGACCCCCGTGGGAAAAAGGGGCCCTGAGGTAGTAGAAAGGCTGGCCAAGAGGGTCTGAGCCACAGAGGTCACAGTAACCAAGATCAACATATTTCAAGAATAAATCTTCAGAAAATGATAAAGTATAAAAATAACGAGGTATTTTTTATAGGAGTGTCCTCTGACTGTAAAAACCACAGCGGCATGGAAGACACTATTAAACATAGATGTGCTGAATTTTCTGCCTCACTTTGTAACTGCAAAATCAAATCTACTTATTAAAAACTTTTCTTTGGCTGGGCGTGGTGGCTCACGCCTATAATCCAAGCACTTTGGGAAGCCAAGGCAGGAAGATCACTTGATTAACAAGATCACTTATTTAAAAAGTAACTCATGTCCTTTGTAGATAATACAATATGCAAAAGACATGGCCGGGCACAGCGGCTCATGCCCATAATCCCAGCACTTTGGGAGACCGAGGCAGGCAGATCATCTGAGGTCAGGAGTTTAAGACCAGCCTGGGTAACACAGAGAAACCCTGTCTCTACAAAAAAAACCAAACAACCCAAAATAAAAATTAGCCAGGCATGATGGCATGCACCTGCAGTCCCAGCTACTTGGGTGGCTGAGGTGGGAGGATCACTTGAGCTCAGGAGGTTGAGGCTACAGTGAGCTGAGACGGCACCACTGCATTCCAGCCTGGGCAGCAGAGCGAATCCCTGTCTGGAAAAACAACAACAACAAAAAACACACAACCAAACAAACAAAAAACTTTTCTTATGAGACTTTAAACATAATTGGGGAACAAAATCCAAAAATTAAAAAAACATAAAAATAGCGTTTTTAAGCGGAGAAGTCACTGTGTCTATGCAAGTTAAAAACTGACGTCCACTTGGAAATAGAGCTAATGGCAGCTGTGGCTGGGCACCTTTTGGAGCAAAGATCTGGATTTCTCCATTGCTGTATAATTCTAAAGTTTGGAATTTGTCCTGGCATAAAAAATGTAAATATAATTCAGCCACCCGCAATTTAACCTCTGTCACACTGTGAGGCGGAGGCACCACGGGAGTTCACCCTGTGAGTGCTGACGTGGATTCTTAGTGAAAGACACTAAAACAGGTGCTTTTGCTGAACTGCATTCAGAGAACAGTGACTCAGACCCAAATCCACACACTTTAAGAAGTTATTCTCAATAAAGACTGAGGTGGCTACAGCGACTGTGATATGGTTTGGCTCTGTGTCTCTACCCAAATCTCATCTTGAACTCTAATACCCATGTGTTGAGGCGGGGACCTGGTGGGAGGTGACTGGATTATGGGAGTGGCTGTTCTCGTGATAGTGAGTTCTCACAAGATCCGATGGCTTAAAAGTGTGGCACTTCCCCTTCCCTGGTGTGCTCTCGCTCTCCTGCCATGTAAGACATGCCTTGCTTACCCTTCCCTTTCTGCCATGACTGTAAGTTTCCTGAGGCCTCCCTAGCCATGCAGAACTGTGACTCAGTTAAACCTCCTTTATTTATAAATTACCCAGTGTGATGGTTAATACTGAGTGTCTCCAAGTTCTTCAGCTTTGGGAGTCAGACTGGCTTCCTTGCTCCGCAGCTTGCAGATGACCTATTGTGGGATCTTGTGACCGTGTGAGTTAATATTAATCAATAAACTCCCCTTTATATTTATAGCTATCCTATGAGTTCTGTCCCTCTAGAGAACCCTAATACACCCAGTCTCAGGCAGTGTCTTGACAGCAGTGTGAGAATGGACTAAAACAGCCTGCTAAGCCATTTGTCTCAGCAATGGGCCTCGAGAGCACGGCCTCTCTGGCGCCTTGCCATCTCTCTCTAACTGTGGTGGGGCCAGGGCAACGATGCCTGGGAGTCGTAGGTGCCTCAGCTGATGGCAGATGGAGAGGCGTGGGAGACGCTTACAGAACTACAGGAATGTGGAGTGACAGCAGCCACCATCCAAGCTGCAGCTCTGGGAAGTGCTGAGAAGGCAGAAGTGTCTGGCGGGAGGCGGACACGGGCTGAGAGCCAAGGTCGTGTCAGGATGTGTGATGCCCTCGGCACTGCTGCTGCCCGATGAGAGCCGAGTGGTGTCCATTCTGCAGGACAGAGACAGACCCAGAGGCAAGGAGGTGCCCAGTGAGTGTGGCTCAGAAGGGGTCAGGAGGGCCAGATGGAGCTGCTCGGACTCCAACGTCCATATTCTTCCCACCACACTCTCCTCCTCGTACCCCGAATCCCTAATCAGGGTGTGTTTTGAAAACTGCCTACTATTAACAGTTAATTGTCTCTTTTAAATTAAAAAAAAAAAATAAACCTTTAGCATTTAGCCACCTTCATAGCATCACTTGGCACAGGAGAAGGGGAGATGGAAGAAAGACGAGAACACTGCCCTAACCTCCAGCTGTCTGATCGCACTGGCTGAGAAGGGCCTTTGGTGCTGGGGAGGGAGGGGATGCACTGGTTCTGGGAAGAACACGAGTGGCTGCAAACGCTAACATCGTGATTTAGGGAAAGGGCGTCTGATGAAAATGACTAACATCCCACGGTGGATGGGGAAGGGTGTTTGCTTCTCTTTTTCAATCCTCACTCAATCCCATTTTAATAATAAGAGTGAAGGTATCTTCCCAGAAACAACAGAGCATGCTGCTGTAGAATCCACTTCCTTTCCCAAATCCAGGTCTCTGTTTCCCTGCACCCCTCGCTCCCCAGGCCCATGGCCTGTTGTCCGCAGCGGTGGCCAGCCGTGTGCTGCATCTGCTCTGCACTCTCCGGCCTGCTCACTCTCGTGGTGTTTTTTTCCTCCCCTACATTATGTATTACTTTTACTTCAGTTGTCAAATAGCAAAATGACTTCTGCAGGTACACATGCTATGGATTGGAACGTGTGGGTGGATCTGTGGAACCACACCAGCATCAAGACATCACCCCCAGGCCCCTCCCGCTAGCCCCTCACAGCCACACTCTCCACCCCTCTAATCCCTGGCAACAGCTGATCTGTTCTCTGGCCCCATGTTCTGTCTTTCCCAGAAGGTCACAGAAAGGGAATCGGACCATGCGCCACCCTTGGAGATGGGCTTCTGACACTTAGTGTGATACTTCTGGGAACCGCCCAAATGGCGGTGTATATAGAAAGCCTGTCCCTTTTTCCTGTTGAGCAGAATTCCATCATACGGATGCACCACAGTCTGAATTCATTTGCCCTGGGAGGGACATTTTGGTTGCTTCCGGCTTGGGGTAATGAACAGAGCTACCGTAAACATTCACGCACAGGTTTTTGTGTGATCCTAAGATTTCCCTCTTCCAGGGTACATATCCAGGAGTAGGAATGCGGGGACATGTTGGCAGGTTTATGGACATTTATGAGAAACCGACAGTTCTTCCAGAGTGGCCGCACCATTCTGCATTCCCAGCAGCTGTGATGTGAGTTCTCAACACTGCGTTTGGTCAGTCTTTAAATGTCATCCGTTCTAATAGGGACAGTGCTGTCTCACTGTGTTTTAATTTGCATTACCTAATGGCTAATGATTTCCAGGATCTTTTCATAAGCATATTTGCCATCCCTAAATCCTCTTTGGTGAAGTGTCTCTTCATGTCTTTGGTCTATTTTCTAATTTTCTTTTCCCCCTTATTTTTGAGTTTTGAGATATCTTTATACATTCTGGATACATGTGTTCTTTGTCAGATATGTGACTTGCAAATATTTTCTCCGAGTCTATAGCTTGTCTTTTCATATCAGCGTGTCTTTCAGAGAGTAAACATTTTACATTTGGATGAAGTCCAATTTACCAATTTTTTTTCTTTTGTGAATCATGCTTAGGATGTCATGTTGCTGTGCACATTTTAAGTTTTGGAAAGAAACAGGGAGGCAGCTGGTTGTTCTGACACCAAAATCTTGTTCAAGGGAAAACCTCCGTGTGTTGGGCAGACGACAGTGGGGCTGTCCTGAGACCTGAGCTCTAGGCCAGCCCTGCCCGAACCAGGCAGAAAAGGCCACCCAGGAGCTGAAGTGAACTAAATACCAGGTTCTCTCTCAGTAAAATAAGGTAGTTTGACTCAATAACCTAAAACAAATTTTTGTTGTCATCACTAGGTGATTTTTAACAGACCTTTTTGCTCTAGAGATGTGGAGCTTGTGGCGCTGTCTGAGCTCATGTGGCTCAACACGCGCTGGCAGGGCTCTGTCCGGAGTAGCCACAGACACAGGTGACCGGGGGGCTCTGTCCGGAGTAGCCACAGACACAGGTGACCAGGGGGGATGGGACAGCACACAGCAGCCATCCAGGATGGAGACGAGACACTGTCCCACACGGAGATGGAGGCGTGGGTAAGGCTTGGGCTCCTGCTACCAGGCGGAGGAGAAAGGATACTGCGGCCCTCCCACCTCCAGAGGAAACCATGGAAATAGCCACAGGGAGGCACGACAAACAGAAAACACCAAGACAGTTTTCACCCAAGAGCTGCCTGAATAAGCCAACCCAGCAAGGATAAAATATAACTGCTGAAATATTAATGGATATGGTTTATTTAAGAAATTAGATATATAATATATATACACAGGTTAAGTGTCCCTTTATCTGAAATGCTTGGAACCGGAAGCGTTTCGGATTTCGAATTTGTTCAGATTTTGGAATATCTGCATTATACTTACCAGTTAAGTTTTTTGGATTTATCACTAATCCGAAAACATGAAGTCCAAAATGCTCCAAAGAGCATTGTTTCTGAGTAGCACATCAGTGCTCAAAAAGTTTCCGATTTTGGCCTGGCACGGCCAGAATCACTCACGCCTGTAATCCCGGCGCTTTGAGAAGCGGAGGTGGGAGGATCGCTTGAGGCCAGGCGTTCAAGACCAGCCTGGCCAATACAGCAAGATGCCCTATTTTTTTTTAATTCATTAAAAATTTTTTTACAGTTTGATGCATTCCTGATTTTGGATTTTTAGATTTGGGATACGCATCCGGTGTGTGTGTGGGGAGGGCGCAGGGGTGGCGGGGGCAATATATACGTTACAGGTAATAGAGAGCTCTAAAACTCAGAAAACAGAGGGGGAAATAAAAGCCCCAAAGAAAGCGCACAGCAATACCAGTAAACAGATCTCAAGAACAGCTTCGCAAAACTGCAGTCTCGTCAGGGAACCAAACCAACCAGAAGGGGAGGGGAGCACAGATCATCTAGTCCCATTTTTTTTTTAAAGTTATTTTCCACGTGATGCTTCTGAGAGCCTCCACTATCTGTTTAGCCTTTGGAAACAGTCTTCTAAGTCACAGCTTGCACTGTTTGGAAAGCCTCTGGGCACTGAGCTCTGTTAGGTACCCATGCTGAGGACTGCTCACTTAGCACATCTGGTAGACCACTCCACATCAGGACCAGTGTCGCTTCCCCGGCCTTCCTGTTGGCCACACAGCCACCTTCCACGGTGGGAGTGAACCACGACGGAGCTCACCGTGCCCTCATGAACGTTTACACATAATATTCTTGCATTTTTCCCCTGATACACAAGGCAAGCACGTTTTTACAAGAGAAACTTGGAAGTGGGGTTGCTTTTCCTGCCTAATTTAGTAAATTCAGGCCCTAATATTAAGATATAACTTTGTATATTAAGATGTAGAAAACAATTATCTTGCATGTTAATTCTAGAAGAAATGGGGTTCTGAGCCAAAGGGTTTAAAATAACTCCAAAGTTCTTCCATACTGCCTGGATGACTCAGGATGAGTCACGATGAATCCGGTGCACAAACAAACAGAACAAGGCAGTGCAGGCCACGCTCCGGGTCCTGAAACACCACTTCAGATCCAAAAAGATCACGCGAGGGACAGACGGGTTGGCCAATGGGACTGGAAGGATTATGGGAGGCAAGTGCCATTGACTCTTCATAGGCCTGACTAAATCCCGTCACTTCATCGCTCAGGTTCTGAAATCAGTTTGCCCTGAGATAGTAAAATGGAAACTGGATGGCGACAGGGGGGGAGGGGATGGAAAGTTACAGAATATTAAAGGGACAGTTTCAGAAAATAAGGTAAGAGCTAGCTATGATCTAGCTATCATTTCAGTGGCAGCAGAAATGATTTGTATGCGAAGTGGTATGTTCTTGCTTTGGCTTAAAGTCTGGAGACTTTTTAAATGTTCAAAGGAATTCAGCTTTTTATTATTTTTCTTTTCATATGGCCCATGTTTGGTTATCTCCTGCACTAAGCCCCAGTGTGACAATCACAAACACAGCCTTAATCAGAGAACAAAAGAACACAGCCACATGAAAGGGAACATGCCATGTTGATAGAAAGTACTTCTGAGAAGCAAGAGCCTTCAAAAAGGAAAAGAAACTCATCAGATCCAGAGAGCCACAAGAGCTTAAAAATCCTACTTACTTTTCTATCAAATCCAGTGTGACGCCAGGCACCAGACTGACACATTTCTGCATGCAAAACCTGCAGAGAAAGAAAAGAATGTGAACGGCATGAATGGAACAGTCACCCAGGAAATTCAACAGGCCTGCAGAAAAAGGGAAGAGTTAAAGGTGGGGACAGGGACTACCACGGTGAACAAGTACACTCAGATTTCCTTAATTCGGCAGCTTTTAGATTTGTAAAGAAAATCTCATTGCCATTCTGTCAAGGCGTGAGACTACAGAGCTGCCACAGTGAGTTGTCAGGAGAAAGGAGAGAAGCCGTTTGCAGCCACATGAAGCCCGGTCCCTGGAGAGGAGCGCCGAGATGCTTAATAAAGCTCAGTCTCCAAACGAGATGCTGGAGTGGACTGGACCTGCCACTTCTTTCCTTCTTAAGGAAGTGAGCTGGGGAGACTGCTGGAGTAGAATAAATGAGTAGCCTCAAGACACACAAAAGAAATGCAAATTCAATTATATCATGTTCATAATCATAAAATCCTACAGGTCAGAGCTGGGTTCATGTCTGACGCAGGTCCATCCTTAGGAGCGCGTGTGGAGCCGGACAGGCTTTCTCTAACGTGGCGCCAACAGGAGGTAGGAAAGCATCTCTCCTCCCATCCGGGCTACTGGCATACAGTGGGCAGAATCGAGGCAGCAGAGTAAAAAGGCAATGCAGTATTTTTAGTAGGAGAAATGCAAAATGTTTAATTCACCTACTTTTAAAATTAAGAACAAATAACACCCCTTAAAAACATAATGGCAGGTGCAGAGCAAGTATGCACATCTCCAAAACACACTCGCGGACTGTTGGCTGGAAGTGAGTGATGGCAGAAGTGTTGGCTGGAAGTGAGTGATGGAGAAGGACAGTGGCCCAGGGGAGGGTGCAGTGCAAGGGTCAGGCACGTTCGGGGGAGACGTGGCAGTGACTCCTCTATGGGGGATGGTGGACCCAGGAGGGTACCCATAGCAGTGGGATAGGAAATGGGAGAAAAAGACACAGAGGAACTGAGAGATCCAGAACCAGGAAGACAACGAGCCAGAGGTGTGAAGACAGTCTCACTTTTGCAGCCCTGCAGGGCGAGGGGAGGCTGAGCTGGTCATCCTGGACCCCATGCATGGCTGCCAGCCACACTCACTCTCTCAAGAAGTGATACCTGGCTCAGCCAGCAGAGAGGAAGTTATATTCTTGGTTGTGGCTGCAGTAGTCAGTGTTTTATCGTTCAAAGAGCTGAGAAAATAAAAGTGAGGCCCACGTTTGCCTGAAGCTACAGAGCAGCCCTTTCCCACGGCATCAAGTGCCCCGTGTGGCCCCAGTGCTTCCCCGAGCCAGTCAGTGCCACTCTGAGTGGTCTCCTCTGCTGGCTTCACTTGCAGATGCTCTCCTCAGCCATGCCCAGACACCTCTGCACCAGCACAGACACATGCAGCTCCTACGGTGGTCCCAGGCAAACCAGAATTTCTCTGTGGATAAAAATGATCTACAGGAAATGCATTTTCAAATCTGAGTCCTATGCGAACCATGCTACTTTGTCTTTTTATCCATAATGTACTTACTGATTGGGATTTCTAGAGTCCAGTAATGACAGAATCACTTATATCAGACTCATCCTTTTGCCAATAATGATAAGCTCTGGACAAAATATTAAAAAGCCATTTGAAAATTCTGAACAACAAACAAATGCAGGCAGGAAGGCAGGAAATGGAAGGGCCGTGACCCTTAGAAAATGAGAGTAACTCTGCATGAATCACTTTCATCTGGCTTTTCCCAAGGGTGCTCCTCACTCACAAGTCATGTGGGGGTTAGCATGCGACTGAAAGGCAGCAGCCTTACTGGGTTGAGACCATGCTCAAGGCTGCCTGGATATTGCAGGCAAAAGCCCTAGGAAGAAGGGAGCCAAAACCCTCATGTAAACCTTCCCCGAGTCGGAGGCTGGCTCCTGAAGGGCACGCACACAGGATAATATTCCCAGGATCCCCGTGGAGGACAGCAGGAAGGTTGAAAACGCAGAGTAGAGATTTTGACATCTGCTTGCCACTGTGAAGACAGAGAAGATCAGGTCCTGCCAAACTACAGGGCTTGATCACATCTGAGGACATGGACACCCCAGAGGGATTATGAACCACACCTTAGAACTAAGATCAAAGCCAAAAGAGCCTAGTCCTATAACGAAGCCTCTACAAGATCAGTGTAATTGCCCAAAAGAAAATAACAGAATCTAGAATGTCTACAATGCCTCATCCACAACAGATAGTATACTATCTAAAATCAAGAGAAAAAAGTCAATAAAAACAGATTCATAGTTGGCCAGATATTGGAATTAGTACACAGAGACTTACACATTATAAAAATAATTATTGGCTGGGAGATAAGCATATTATAAATTCAGTGAAAATATAATGTTCCCTTAAATAAAAAATTAAAATGGGAATATCATGCAACTTTATTATAGCATGGCTATATGAATAAGCGTAGCATGGATATATCAGTCACTGATAGTATGCAAACTTCATTTTAGCCAAAAATGTAAATTCTCTTTATACCAGAATTGCTAACAACTGGTTTCACATTTTATACGATTTCTTTCATTCACCTACATCAGAGTGTTGCTGAGCAATGAAAGGTCAAAGAGTGGGCAAAGGCAGAGGTAATAAAAATGGCTCAAAAAACCCACAAAGCTGAATATAATGATAATATAACACAGCTGTTGCTTATTTAGTGCTTATTATTTGGCGACCATTGTTCTGTCTTTTATACTGATTTTTTTAATCGTCACATTCTGTGAGGTCTTATGATATACAGAGGAAGAACATCATAAATTAGGTACATCATAGTGAAGATCAAGAATATTAAAAAGACAATGAAAATACATACAAAGCTTCCAGAAACAAAGAGTAGATCACATTCAAAGAAACAAGAACCAGATTAACACAGGATGCAGGAAGACAGTGGAGCGGTGTTTTTATTTTTATCAGATTAACACAGGATGCAGGAAGACAATGAAGTGGTGTTTTTATTTTTATTTATTTATTTTATTTATTTTTGAGACAGAGTCTCACTCTGTCACCCAGGCTGGAGTGCAGTGGTGTGATTTTGGCTCACGGCAACCTCTGCCTCCTGGGTTCAAGTGATTCTCCTGCCTCAGCCTCCCGCCACCATGCCCGGCTAATTTTATATTTTTAGTAAATGTGGGGTTTTGCCATGTTGGTCAGGCTGGTCTCGAACTCCTGAACTCAGGTGATCCACCCACCTCAGCCTCCCAAAGTGCTGGGATTACAGGTGTAAGCCACCACCCCCAGCTGGTGTTTTTAATTTACTGAAGAAAAGGAAGCTAAAACCTAGAATTTTGTATCCAGCCAAACTGTCATTCAAATGTGTGAGCATGACAAAAATACTCTCAGAGGCACATATGGCCTCAGAAGACTTGTCACAAAAAGACTCATGAGGAAGACACTTTCAGATGACAAGCTAAAGTTAGAGGGGAGAAAACTCCAAGAGACGCTGAAGGGGATCTATGAAGTAATGATGACACACAAACTTGTTAACATTTGTAGTCGTCCTAAAATGAAAAGCAAAAAGGTGGGGGCAATATCCATCATAACCAGGATTGAAAACCTAGATATAAATCCACAAGAGCATTAAAAATCCAATAGAAAAATGGATGAACAGACATCTCAAAGATGAGGACATAACTATGGCCACTGAACGTGAGGAAATGTTCAACATCATGCGATATGAGAGAAACGCAAATCCAGGCTACACGAGATATCATTCTAAACCTACTCAGCAAAAATGTACAAGAATGGCAATGCCAAGAACTAGAAAGGATGTGGATCATAGGCTGTCTCCATCACCACTGTAGGAGTGTAAAATGGCACAACCACTGGGAAAGCACCTTACCATGATCCCTTAAAACTGAATGTTCCTATACACTATGATCCGGCAACTCTGCTTTTCAATATATAAGAAATTCTTGCATGTGTTCAAAAGAACACACAGAAAAGAATGTTCAAAGTATCTCTGTTGGTAATAGCAAAAATAAAATACAATACACCAAAGCAAAGCAAAACAAACAAATAAAGGAAGAAGCTGAAAAAGCTCAAGTGTCCATTAAGGAGTAGCAGGTGCACACAGTGTGGCATATTCGCAGAGTTAGACGGGGGTACTCTAGCTAAACACACATCAATATGGAGGAACATGAGCAACACAATGCTAAGTGGGAAATGTCCACATTCCAACCAAAAGTATTTTTTTAAAAGAGTCCTCAAAATCACATTCAGCACTAAAGCCTTTAATAAATTTAAAATCTGAAAGAAAAGTAATGGTCTTAATGAATACACACAGATGCATAGTAGCAATGTAGAAAGGGCATGGAAGGGATGATGAGCCCGGCACTCAGGGCGGTGGTCACAGGGCGGGGGCGGCAGGTGCGTGTGCATCAAGGGCGCCCTGCGTGGTGGGCGCAGGTCATCATCAAGGGCTGGGTTTTGGTTGGGTGGTGGTTTGAGGAAACCCATTATGCTATAAAAATACCTGTTAATTAACTGCTTAAAAGGAGGCCAAATATGGACTAGTGATGAGTGTGGCATGAAGCAAGAATTGTGACGGATCCAGGCTGGGTACGCAAACAAGTGGCTTCAAGATTTTTATGATGTTAAATTAAGTTTCGCCTAAAGGCTGCCTCCGTACATGTTTTATGTTTGGCCTAATGGTTCCATATACATGGTGAACTGTAACCCAACCTGATGTATAAACAGCCTGGTCTTGTGACAGGCAGCTGAGTCTCAGACTACCACAGGCAGCCAACTGTTCGAACTGGGCTCAAGCAAGGCAGACCCCCTGCGGTAGCCAATCCAGCTGCTGCGGCTCTTCCATTCTCCGGAGTCACTTTCGTTTCTGCCCATGAATGGTATCCAGCCACATGGCAGTGCCGGTGTCACTCTGAACCTACTCTGGTTCTGGGGCTGCCTGATTCAAGAATGGTTCTTTGCTCAATTAAACTCTGTTGTATTCAATTTGCCTAGAGTTTTCTTTTAACAATGAAGAACAAATTAATGTTCAGCTCGGTAACCTTGTCAAATATCATACAAATAACTATTGAATGCTGTTTTCATTTTTGAGAATGAAAATTCCTTTGTTTCCTCCTAATTAAAAAAAAACCCACATGTATTTACCATAAAAAAGTGAAAAATTTGTATAAACCCACCATGTTGAGATAGCTTAGCATTTTCATATTTATCTTTTACACAACACTGAATCATGCTGATTTATTTTAGAATAAAAGCAAATGGCGGTCACTATAAAAACCCAAATCATACAGACATGTGTCACGCAAAAGTGCGTCAGTCTAACTTTCACTCTCCCACCCCACTGTGCAGAAGCGGCCTCTGCTATGACCTTCAGGACTTGGTCCGGGCATATACAGTCATCCCTGGGTATCCCTGGGGGACTGGTTCCGGGACACCACCACCCACCCCACCTAGCCACTCCTCTCCCCATGGACAGACGCTCTATGAAAACTCCTGAACAAGGAGAGCTTCCCGGTTAGAAGGTGAACACACGATGTGCTGGAGTGTGGCACCCCCCTGCTCTCGCCAACATGCAGAGTCCCCCCTTCTCTAGTGGTGAAGACATAAGTGGCTTCCCTGGAGGTCTCGCCATCAGCATTCCCTGTGCAGTTCCTCGGCAAAGGAGAGGAAAAGGCCCTCAAAACACATCCCCATCATGACTGTCATTGTCACTGTGAGAGCTGATCATACAAACTGGGTCATTCTTGTCATACCCAACTCAGTCAGAGTCAAGGGGCCGGGGGAAAGCACTCGGGCCACAAAACATTCCTCCAGCAATGTAGTTCTCTGCCAGCCTGGCCGCGGAAACTGCCTGCTGCCACTTGAAACCAGTTTTCACTAATGGCAACCGACACAACCTGCTGTGATTCGAGGACTCATTTCACCCACTCACCAGTCGGGAACCTGCCAGCTCCCCAGAAACCTCACTAGTGCCGAAGAACCTTCTCAAAGAGCAACACGAAACAGTTCTCCTCTTTTTAAAACTGCCAACCTTTTATTTGTTCATCAAGATATACTGAAGACCACCTGGTCTGCCTGTATGCCTTCGACTGTAAATCTTGCTTCCCAAATAAAATGTTTTACATTTAGAGATTCATCACTATATTTTATCTGACTTTGACTCCAGTCCCTAATATCCCTGCTCATTTTTAGCCTTTGGTAGTTGCTTTTCTGTATCCTGACCAGAGCTTTTCTTTGTAATGAGCGGGACAGAGAGGCTGTAGGTGGCTTACTTCACCTTAGCTGGCACGTGAAGTCTCTAGAATTTACACTGATGAAGGTGTCACTGAAGCTTTCACAGACTTGTGCATTTTAACCTAGTCATACAGAGATACAGCAAACTGCTGGAGGTGTCTGGTTTTAAATATTCTTTTTCACAAAAGGAATTTTCAAATATAGCTCAGAGTGGCAATAAATACACAATTAAAATAGCACTTTGGGAGGCCAAGGCGGGTGGATCACCTGAGGTTGGGAGTTCGAGACCAGCCTGACCAACATGGAGAAACTCTGTCTCTACTAAATAAACAAACAAAACAACAACAACAAAAAAAACCAGCATTAGCCAGGCGTGGTGGCGGACACCTGTAATCCCAGCTACTCAGGAGGCTGAGGCAGGAGAATCACTTGAACTCGGGAGGCGGAGGTTGCAGTGAGCCGAGATTGCGCCACTGCACTCCAGCCTTGGCAAAAAGAGCGAAACTCTGTCTCAAAAAAAAAAAAAAAGTAAAATAGGCCGGGCACAGTGGCTCATGCCTGTAATCCCAGCACTTTGGGGGGCTGAGGTGGGCAGATCACCTGAGGTCAGGAGTTCAAGACCAGCCTGGCCAACAAGGTGAAACCCCATTTCTACTAAAAATACAAAAAATTAGCTGGGCATGGTGGTGGGTGCCTATAATCCCAGCTACTCGGGAGGCTGAGGCAGGAGAATTGCTTGAACCCAGAAGGCGGAGGTTGCAGTGAGCTGAGTTCGTGCCATTGCACTCCAGCCTGGGCAACAAGAGTGAAACTCCATCTCAAAAAAAGAAAAGAAAAAGGAAAATAAGCCAATTTCTTCAACTCTCAGCATTTCATTTAATCCAGCAGGTTAAAAAAAACCCAAAGAACTAAACATCCCCACATGAAATTAATGTGCCAAATCATGCGATATTTGTAACTAAATTTAAAAGTATGTGTTTTTTTTTTTGGCTCATGCCTGTAATTCCAGCACTCTGGGAGCCCAAGGCAGGAGGATCACTTGAGGACACGAGTGTGAGGCCAGCGTGGACAGCACAGTTGAGTCCCCATCTCCACAAATAAGTTAGCTGGGCATGGTCAGAGGACTCGGGAGGCTGAGGCAGGAGGATCGTTTGAGCTCAGGAGGTTAAGGCTGCAGTGAGCTATGATCGTGCCACTGCACTCTAGCCTGGGTGACAGTGAGATCCTTTGCCTTAAAAAAAAAGTATGCCTTTTAGTATTATTAGAAGAAAACCAAGTAGAAGCGACTTTCCTAACTTGCAAACGTTAAACAGCTGCACTTTGTAATGTACAGAAAAGTTTACTCTATTTAGGAGCTTCTAGGCCGGTAAGCAGGACAAGATACAAATTAAGTGCAAGAGTTTGCTATTTCATAGTGGCCCTCCGTGCTACAGAAGCAAGCTAGCAAAAAGGAAAAACAATTATTCCATTGGTAAGAGAAATACAGATGAACACCTCATCGGAGCTTTCTGCCAACCCACATAATGAGCCAATCCCATCTGCCTTGTTCTGGGCTACGGCCCCATTGTCAGAGCTGGCTGGATATCGGAGGAGCCCCTTAGGCGCCTGCTGGATGCATGAGCCTGGCCGGCAATGGAATACACCTTCCACGGGAACAAGGCTAATTGCAAGGGCTCTGCCATTTGGGTTCAAAAGACATTAAAAAGTTAAGATAATTTGGTTATAAGAAAAATGTCAGTTTTTTAAAAAAGAAATGATTAAGTATTTGGGTGGTAAAACATCATGTTGTCTGTAATTTAGCAAACATACCCACAAAAACAAAACAACAGAGCAAATAATTGTAAAATGTAGGTGATTTAATATATACAGGGTTCACTTTATCATCCTCTCAACTGTTCCACAGAATGGTTGAAAACTGTCCTATAATAAAAAGTAAAAGGGATGGGGACAGAGACGGAGAGAGAGAGGGGGAAGAGAGTGTCAACACAGGCATTCCTACATTGATGAGTCAAGTCGGGAAATCATTTAAGGAAGCCACCTTCTATTTTCGAAGAATGCCAAGACTGAAAGGGAGGCTCCTTGCCTGTCCCTTCTCCACTGTCCTTGAGATGATCAACAGTTGGTACAAATTTGCAAAAGCAGAAAACCAACTCTTTCCTAAAAAGGTAAACCTCTTCCACGGAGGTAACGCTTATGAGCATCAACCACAGGAAACACACACACAACACACAGCAAGCTTCCACCTCCCCCAGTAGCTCTGGGGTGTGCCTTGCCCTGGAGGAGCCCATTTACAGCCAGCTTGTTTGCGACAACTTCAGATTCTCCGTGCTCCTTGGCCCGATTCAAATATTAATGTGTTTTTACCTAAGAAACTATCAATAACATGGACTGTGTTTATACTACATACCGACAGAGCTAAGATGGGAATAATACTCAGGCTGCCTGAAGGAAGCCAAGCTGTCAGGAAGTGGGACAGCCACAGAGGACTGGAGTTTCTCACGTGAAAATGCCTGCAGAACTCTGGTCCTCTCACCCCGTGACCCCTTGAGAGCCAGGGCTGCTCGGTTCTAATTCAGTACAGGGCTTCCACGACTGCGGTGCTGAGGAACAGCTATGGGGCAACGGCTGGGGCTGAGATCCCCGGAAACCAAGGTGTTCCAGGATCAAGGGAAAACAGTGCCTGATGGCTGCAAGAGGCATTAGTTTCCCGCTAAATACACCGTTTATTTTCACATGCGACTGCTGGGTCCTCACCTATTCTTATTCTTGTCGGGGATGTAGAATGGCTTTGTGGCAAACCCATAAAACTCAGTTCTTTAAAAAAAAATAAAAATAAAAAAATAAATAAATAAAGTGATTCTTTTAAATTACAAAGAACCAATACTTAAATGACCCACCATTATATCTTTCCTGCCATCTGACTTGTTCTTTCTATATAAAGAAGCCATGCCCTTGACCCAGAGCCTTCCCCTACATCCCAGAGTCCACCGTGTCAATTTCCACGTGTGTTCACAGGGTGGAGGAATCACTGGCCAGCCAGAAACCAGCCGCTGCCTCTGCAAACAGGGACAGGAGGGCTCAGCACTTACTACTCAGTGACAACCCCCGAAGAGCTGACCCTATGTGAAACACAGGCCAGCGATACCCTGGGGGAACGGTGCTGCTGTAGGCTCCAGGGCCGCCTCGCGCAGATCATTTAAGAATCAGTCAATCCCCGTGACAGGGACAAAACCGAGGTGGCTCCAGAGCTCTGACATGGCTGCACGCCTGGTGACCCAAAGCCAAGCCCTGACTCTCTTCCAAAGTACAAGTGAGAGAAGAGATCAGCTAGAAGGAGGTCTAAACTGGGCTGGAGACCAAGATAAGCCACGCACAATCATAGCCCCTTCTGCAACCCAAAGACGCAAACAAAAGTCCCTCCAGCGCAGTGCAGGGGCTTTGCTGGAATAACGCAGACATTAATTTCTCTTGCCTTCCCATAGCAATAGGTCTCTCCCTATAAGGAGGTTTCTGAAAGCTAGAGTTGGGATCGAAATTTAGTCAAATGGGCGATCCAAGCCCAGTGTATTTAGATTCTATCTCAGGCGAGGTTTTACTCCAAGTCTTGAAGAAACTGCCAAACGTCTCAGCTGCTGCAGAGGCCCCACGCGAGACAGCGTGGCAAAATGTACTCTTAAAAATATCCACAAGAAGGGGCCCTTTTTGAGTAAGTTCTGTGTATTTTAGACTTGGGAAATTCTTCCTATTAAAAATTTTGGAACCTTTTCCTGAGTTCCTTTTCGGCAGCACCAGGCCTAGCTCGTTGGTACCCTCCGGGAAGAAGGGAACCGCAGGGCGGCCACGGGGAGGAAGTGTTGTCTTGGGGTGGCAGCCACGAGCTGACCCTACGATGAGGGAACCGAAGGCAAAGCTGAAGATTCTATTTGCCAATTTAAAAAATCCCTCTAAGTTATCTTGTCAGTTAAAAAAATTAATTAAAACAAAAAACTGAAATGCACAGTCCTCCATCTGCCTAAGTCCTCACCCTTCCTCCTAGCTCAGGCCACCCGGCAATGTCACCGGAGGATCTGAGAAAGATTTAGACTATGGGCACAATTATCACCCTCCCCGCTTAGATGTGTGTTATTATCCTTCCTGCCCTGGAGGGGAGACAGTTGAGGTTCAGAAGGTTCTGAAACTCACCCCCAGCTACCCTGCTGGCTAAGTGGCTGGGCATAAGAACCCTCCTCTGCACCCAAAGACCACAGTGGGCTGAGGCAACAGGATCCTGGTGCATCTCAGCCACATAAAAAATCACACACAAGTGTGTACCCCTGACAACTGAGAGCGCACGCTCAATGCACTGACTCAAACTCAATTAGGGAAATCAGGAAGAAAAGAGGAAAACAGAGTAAGGTGAAAGCTCATAAAAAGAAAGGGAGCCGGAGGGGCTGTGTGAGTGAGGCCCCCCGGGGGGAGGGTGAGGGGGGAAGGGAGCTGCAGGATCCACCCTGCCACAGGCTAAGAAGGAACTTCCTCTGTGACTCTTACGACTCACCTGACGTGTGTGCAAATTCCTAATATGTAAAATAAAGACAATCTAAAAATAGCATAAACGGCAAAAATGAAAAGTATACGTATCACAGGTCACGGTTCCGCTCTGACTGGACAACATCCGCCTACAGCAGCCCTGCCGAGATGTCCTCCACTAATCCCCTTCTAGCCCGGACCGCCTCTGAGGGTCAGAGGGTGTCAGCAACTGTTTTTCAGGACAGATGAGTTCAGAATCAGGGCTAGAAACAAACCACCGTCTATCCAGTTGTCTTCCTAAGCATTTAAACCGTGGTGGTTTCTGCACCCAATATGTAAAGTTAAACAGACTTCGTGTACATCCCTGTCTCTCGCTGGACCCCTCCCTCCTACCAACTGAACTCTCCCTTTCCGCTCTTCTCCACCGACGGCTCCAGTTGTACTTAGGGAAGCTGACGTGCCCAGAACACCATTCTGGAAGTCATTGCACAACAGCATTTCAGCTTCTTGTGATTGCGACATTTATCAATTAAGTCGTCTGATAAGAACCAGACTTTTGATCCAGCTGCTTTATGGGCCGTGTGTCTGTGCCCATTAACTTAATAGAAGCAGATGGACACGATGAGAACACCGCTGGCTGAAGGCTACTGAGCAGAAATCCAGCCAGAGGCGTGGAAAATGTCCACGAGGAGCGAGTTTCCCACAGCAGATGAGAGCCGCAACAGCATGGAGTCGGGCCAAGGAGTGGAGCCTGGGTACCCCCGACTCCTGCAGAGCCTTAAGCCACCGCAAAAACTGGGGGCTAAGGAAGAGCACCCCGAGAACGGAGCTCACTCCTGGCATTCTGGTGGCAAACAAGTGAACTCACATAGATTTTCCAATGAACTTGGAAATGCACACTGCGTTGTTCAACATGCTTGAAACACAGTTTGTCCACAGACTCCTGAACTAGCTGGGGGGTGGGAAACTATGCCAAGAGCTGGTTCAATCTGTCCCACTTGCTGCTTTTATCTGCTTGTGTTCCTGGTCTATGGTTGCGACGCTAGGTCAGCAGCCTCCAGACATGCGCCACTGAGGGTCTCTCCCAACCGCCCTTAAGAGGCTTCCGCAAGCAGATGAACCCCACTGTGTCGGAGGGGCAGTGCCTGCGGTCACGGAATTGCACATCTCAATGTTCACACAGGAAAACTCCGACCGCGACGGAATCTTATCCCCCACCTGTGACGACGTCAGTGCACGTAGGCACGGCAGAAGCATGAGGAGATCCGCACGCTGCTTGCGCCAAGGAGTTCCTCGCCGACTGCAAGTCTCTCTCTTCGGTTCTCCCAGAAAGCCACGGAGGCGCCACACTTTCACAGGACAAAACAGTTGCCTGTTGACCTGGCCAGAGCCCTCAACAAGACACCAGACAATGGGAGGACAGTGAGAGTGTCCTGGGATGTATTTTCATTTACCTCATGGACAATTTTGGTGTTTCTACAGGCAGAAGTTGAAACCACTGAATGGAAAGCCAGCTTACGGGCGCACACATGAGCTCCAGCCCTCATGCCTAGTCCGGCAGGACCATTCAGCTTGGGGTCTGTGATGAGGCTGAGGACAGCCATGGGCTCAGAAGGTGCATCTCAGCCCACGGCTGTGTTTCTGTATCAATTAACAGCACGGCTTCTCCAGTGACTATGACAGGTACAAACTGTATGTCTTGGTTTTGTGCTAAACCACAAAGATATGGTCCAAACACCTGGCGATGTCCAGTCCATGCCAGCACACAGATGTTTGGTTCCAAGACAACCAAGAGCAAAACCCATTCGCAGGCGCCGCGGCCAGACACCGCACATGAGGTGCCACGACAGTTGTTCCTTCTCTGAGGTCTCGTGATTTTACCGTCCTGATCCTCAGTCAATATTTTATTCTTTTAAGAGACCAGGTCTTGCCCCACTCTGCTGTGTGGGCTGGAGTGCAGTGGCATGATCTCAGCTCACGGTAGTGGTGAACTCCCGGGCTCTAGTCATCCTCCTGCCTCCTTCTCCCGAGAAGCTGGGACCATAGGCGCACCACCATACCAGGCTAATTTTTTGAAGAAAGTTTGGTACAGACTGGGTGTTGCTATGTTGCCCAGGCTGGTCTCAAACTCCTAGTCTCAAGTGATCCTCCCGCCTGGGCCCCTTGAAACGCAGAATGACCATTCTTTAATCGTGTGGGGTGTATGGAAAATGTGATGAAGAAAAACACAAAAGAATTAAAATGGAAGGAAAACTTTAGAAAGACTATTTCTTTGTGATTTTTCTAACTGCTGCTTTCAAATGAGATGGGAAAATGACTGTTCCAAAGGGTGCCAAGCAGATAAACAGCTGATCATTTTCCTTCTTCAGAGCTCCTGGGTTGCATTCGGTTTGCTAAGGAAGAACATAGGATTAGGGGAAGCAGTTTCACATACCCTGAAGGAGGTTAATTTTCTATCTGACATCAATTTTTATCTGTCATTAACATCAGGCTCCTAACAGCGGCTCCCAAGATCAGAGATGTCACTGGCCTAGCACCTTGCGGCACAGAAAGAGTGACTCGGTGTGATTTTAAAGTAATGTTGGTAATTTGATTAATCCATGAAAAACAGTATTTTTCAGAGTTGTTATATGATCAAAGTAAAATGGCAAACTTTTATGGTATGGAGTAGATACAAATGCCCTTAGGTTTTGTCTTTTCCCATTTGATAAACTGCATAATGAAATAACACTTTAACCCCAGCCACGGATGCTCGCTACACAGAAACCTGCTAGGGAAAGAGCTCCTTCCCTCTTCAGCCTCTGGCGTTCACCTTTTCTTTATACAGTTCCAAAGTCACTCCAGCAATACATCTATTTCTGCCATTCCTGCAGAAAACATTCTCAAAGTTAAAAATAGATCCAAAAGTCCAAGCTATGCTTATTTAAGACTTCATCACACCATTTACAAAAATTAACTCAAAACGGACCAAAGGCCTAGACGTAACAGCTAAAGCTATAAAAGTGCTGGAGTCGGCGCAGGCGTCAAACTTCATAACCTTGGATTAAGCAACGGCTTCTTAAACATGACACTAAAAGTACAGGTGACAGCAACAACAAAATAGATAAGATGGACTTTACCAAAATAAAATAAAACTTTCCCACCTCAAAGGACTCCATCTCAAAAAAAAAAACAACAAAGGCCAATAAGCCCATAAAAAGATGCCTGATGTCATTAGTCGTTAGGGAGATGCAAAGCGGAACAGTGAGATACCACTTCACACACAGCAGGACGGCTGGAATGAAGACATACCAGAGACACTTTCTCTAGTCCTGCTTGAATATTCAAGTTTTTAATAGTTTTCAACCACATATCTAAAATTATCCGTAAATTTCGAAATAACATGAAACCAGGTGATCTTTACTATCCAGATGACCTTTCCTGTCTCTTCCTCCCACACTGGCCTCCGCTCCCCCTTCACTTTCTTTTTTCTTTTTTTTTTTTTGAGAGGGTCTTGCTCTGTTGCCAAGACTGGGAGTGCAATGATGCCATCTTGGTTCACTGCAACCTCCGACTCCCTGGTTCAAGCGATTCTCCTGCCTCAGCCTCCCCAGTAGATGGGATTACAGGTGTGCACCACCACGTCCAGCTAATTTTTGTATTTTTAGTAGACAGGGTTTCTCCATGTTGGTCAGGATGGTCTTGAACTCCCGACCTCAGGTAATCTGCCCACCTCGTCCTCCCAAAATGCTGGGATTACAGGCGTGAGCCACCACGCCCGGCCTCCCCCTTCACTTCCTGATCAATAACTCAGCACTTGGGTTCACCAAAAAGATTTGGTCCAGATGTCACACTGTGGGGCCTTCTCTGTCTCCGGCCTTGTAATACTGGTCGGTCCAGATGTCACTGTGGGGCCTTCTCTGTCTCTGGCCTTGTAATACTGGTCCTTTCTTGCAGTCACGTACAGGACCTGCAGAATACAGTCTTTCCCCTGCAATATGCAAAGTAAGGAACATTTTCTCTCTGAAAATAATGTTGTGTTGAAAATGACACTTTCATATATGTGTGATTTGGGGCCGTGTAATTAGAGCAACCTTTTAGTAAAGAAGTTTGGCAGCGCCGGGCACAGTGACTCACACCTGTAATCCCAGCACTTTGGGAGGCCGAGGCGGACGGATCACAAGGTCAGGAGTTCAAGACCAGCCCGGCCAGCATGGTGAAACCCCATCTCTACTAAAAATACAAAAATTAGTATTGGGCATTGTGGTGCACACCTATAGTCCCAGCTACTTGGGAGTCTGAGGCAGGAGAATCGCTTGAATCCAGGAGGCAGAACTTGCAGTGAGCCGAGATCACGCCACTGCACTCCAGCCTGGGAAGACAGAGTGAGACTCCATCTCAAAAAAAAAAAAAAAAAAAGGAAGTTTGGCAAAAGATATCAAGAGCTATATACTTTGACCTACTGATCTTATTCCCAGAAACATATTCTAAGAAATAGTCCAAAATAAGAAAATATTATTATTTTTTTCTTTTAAGAGACAGGATCTTACTCTATGCTATGTTGCCCAGGCTAGAGTACAGTGGCACAATCATAGCTCATCATAACTTTAAACTGTTGGGCTCAAGTGACCCTCCCATCTCAGCTTTCCACGTAGCTGAGACTACAGCTGCATGCTACCATGGACAGCTAAGGAAGGTTCTATGTACCGCAAAGATGAACAGGAAAAAACTCCTTGCAAGCACTATAATTTTATGAGAGGGAAATGATTAAGTAATACTGTCTATAAATGTGATGGAATACTAAATTTGAAAATATCAATAGCAATATAAAATCAGTGATCTTCAAATTAAAAACAATACAAAATATATTTAATTCCAAGTAAGTAAAATTATGTGCATATATGGACAAATGTATGAAGAATATGGAATAGCAAAAACAGTGGATTCTGGGTAATTTTTCTTTCATTTCTTCCTTTTCATTGTTTACTGTTATAATATTATTTGTGCAATAAATTAAAAGATAGCAAAGGCTCCCTCTGGGGTTCTTACAATGATGGCTATTTCTGGGTCATGTGGTTTGACAGCCAAACGTGGGGGCTGTCTGTTTTTCATCCTGTGCCCAACAATGCTGCACCTTTGATGGGTTAGGCATAAGCCAGTATTTCTGAGCTAAAAAGAAATTTGATCATCAGTGGGAAACCAGGGCTGGCTCTGCCTCCTTGCTTCTGCTGCACTTTAGTATTTTCAACATTCTCAGCTACCCCCTGAAGCATCTGAGAAGAAGAAAACAACTCAAGAAGCCTAAACTCAAAGTAAAGAAAAGAGAAGACTGGCTGGGTATGGGGCTGACACCTGCAGTCTCAGTACTTTGGAAAGCTGAGGCGAGAGGATCGCTTGAGGCCAGGAGTTTGAGACTATCCTGGGCAACATAACAAGACCGCTACCTGTTCAAAAGAGAAAGAAAGAAGACTAAGAACAAGTCAAAGGGGAAAGTCTCAGGAAGAAAGGAGAAAAACAGCACAGAGAAAATGGCTGAAAACAAGAAGGAAGTGGGAGTAAAAGCCCTGCAGAAAAGGCTTTCCCATCTTCTCCACTGCAGGAAACAGGTGTTCCACCTTTGGGTTGAAGCAGCGGCTGGAAGCCTGGCCCCGGGCCAGGCTTGTGGGGCGGCTGAGGGGCCAGACTTACACCATGAAGATGCAGACAGCAAGACAGTGGAGGACGGACAGACACAGGCCCAGGAGCCCGAGGGAGGAAGGTGCAGAGACTCTGCCAGAGCACGACTACGCACAGGCGGGGCCCGTGGAGGAAAGCTGCATATAAGCAAGCAGCTTAATTACTTGAAAACCTTCCACGGCAGAGGGGCAGAGAAAGGGAATGATGAATGACTTGAGGACAGACACTGTGTCCGCAGCCTCCTTGATTTCTCTGTGGCATCTTACGGTCCCCTGCACACAGCGAGTCCTCAGGAAACACTGCGGGATGTGGCGCCGCAAATGCTACTTTGCACAGCTTCCCAGGGGCCGCCCCCATTACTGTCCCTGCCGAAAGCTCTGTAAAGTCCCCAACGGGAAGCTGGTTCTCGTGTAAAGTACGGCACGGCATCAAGTAAAGTGATAACATGTAATAACTTCAGCTCACGTTGGTGAAGGCAGGCAGCATGGAATAGTGAAAATAATACGGGATTTGGGATCAGAAGATCCGGGCTCCTGTTTGGCTCTGCCATAAATGAAGCTGTCCACCCCAGACGGCCGCACGCGGAGCATCTGGTACCTCATCAGTAACACAGTGATGTTTTATGCACTACGTCTGCTTTGACAAGTCCTGGGTTATTAGTAAGAGCAAATGTGACACCATAAGGGAGAATACTCTGTGGATTGTGAAATATGATACAATTCATACTCAACAGCTTACATGACATTGCGGCTTCCACTTCCAAAGCACTCTCCCGTGCAGCTCCCGCGCCGTCTGTGTCACACCGGAGCGTGAGCATCATCATCACACGGGCGCTGTCGAGAACCGAGAACTCAAGGCGGGTGGAGACGGGACCAGCTTGACATCCAGACTCCCAGAGTCCCCGCTTTCTCAGGATGTCACAGCGCCCTCGAGTCACACCAACAGGAGAGGAGCCTTTTAAAAACTTGAGGTGTTTCTAGTGAACACAATGATCAGTGCTTCTTTCAACGAAGAAATAGAAAAACAGGGAGTGATGGTTTACATTAAAGCCTGACTCAGCCTCGTCCTTTCTGACAGCCCGAGAAGAGGGCCTTTGTCAGGATTCAGCACCATAGCCCCCAGGGCAGGCCGCATAGCCCTGCGTGTCCACCGGGAGCTGTCTGGAGGGAATCAGAAGCGGTCGACGTCTGAGGGAGCTCTGATGCACAACAGAACACACTGAACACACCCAGGCACCAAGCGTTCCTCTTCCAGAAAGAACAGTTTGCTGGCAGCGCCACAGTGACTACACGTCCCCAGCAAGGCTACCCATCAGTCCCACCAGCCTGCCCAAGCGCCTGCCTGGAGGAGGGCCTGGTGCCAGAGGAAGCAAATCCAAATAACATCTAGGAGCCAGCCAGCTCAGAACAAGGCTGCGGGGCTGCCTTGTAAACAAACAGACCAGCCAGCCACTGGTTAACGGTTCCAACCAAGTCCTCGGTGTAAAAAATGCCCCCAGTGGCCTGCCTTGGAGCAAAGCACAGGCACAAATCAAAATAAAGGAAGGGCCTTTCCAACAAACTTTAAGTCCAACAATTGGCAAGGGAGTGAGAAAGAAGAAGAAAAACTGACCTATAAAAAGCAGAGACATTTTAAACGACTGTCTTCCCAGGCACCCCTAGAATATACTGCTTCAACAACCAACGTGGATATTAAAACCCACTGCCAGAGGCGCTATTTACCAGAGTGTGATGTAGCTGCAACTGCAGAGTCTCTGTGCGAACAGAGAAGTCCCCACTAGCTGTGTCTCTACCACAGTCCCTCGGGGCTTTGGTGACAAACTGCAGGTGAAGGGACAACATCCAGGGACATCAACAGCGCCTGCCCACCTGTCCCAAGAGTGGTGGTGCCGCTCCCGGGCAGCCCTGTGTCACTGGCTCAGCCAAACACACTGCTTTCTCCAGTGGGAGAGACCCAGGAACAACTCTGTGCCTCCCAATAGCCCAGTGCCAGCGCATGCCACCTGCAGACACACGGCTCTTTGAGAAAATCTCATTTTAAAAGCCCTGCATGCATGAAGCCACTTAAGTGGTGAGAAGGAGGAGGCAGAAGGTAATGAAGAGAAGAGCGCTCAGGTCAGAAAACCCCGGTTCAAATCGTAGCCCTGGCTCTGCCCCTGTACAGCCCCAGGCGAGTTCACACCTTGATGTCCGGCTGCCACCACTTACCTTTCACTTACACGATGAGGATAATGGAACTATAAAACAGGAATTACTGAGATTAAAAGAAACAAAAAGTCTTAATATGTACCTGGTACATAATGAAAATTAAATACACATTAGTCTGTTCCTTAAGAAGATTTTTGCTTACAAACTCAATAATGACCTCACAGTGCTAGAGCTGGTGCTTTAGTGAATGAAACAAGGTCCAAGCCATTGGATGAGCCGTGTGGCTGGTGAAGCTGCCGCAGGAGAATGGGGGCAGCTGCCCCTCATCAGGGAGGCACTGAAGACCAGACAAGGGCGGGGAGGGTAGGGGTGGGGGACCAGGCATGTGGGGGGGAGGGGAAGGGGAACAGGGCATGTGGAGGGAGAGGAAGGGGGTCCAGGCATGTGGAGGGAGAGGAAGGGGGTCCAGGCATGTGGGGGGAGAGACAGGGGGAACCAGTCATGTTGGGGACAGCACTGGTGGTCCCTGCTGGACTGGGGTCAACCCAGCACCATTTGGGTCAAGTGACAGGGAGGTCTAAGGGCTGCCCAAAACATCGAGGTCTTCTGAAAAATTGCTAGTATTGAGTTTTTGGATGTGATATTAAGGAAGACAATCCAAGACAAAGATGTACATTTATTTTTTAAAAGCAGCCAAACAGTGGCAGATTAAGGCAGGTGAACAGATTTCGACTCTGGCCTGTGTGGTCCAGGCACTCATTCACTACCCTGATACCCGAGGTGCCTCCTCACCTCTATGTGCAGAAATTAGTGTCAGGCCTGTAATCCCAGCACTTTGGGAGGCTGCAGTTGGAGGACTGCTTGAGGCCAGAAGTTAAAGACCAGCCTGGCCAATATAACAAGACCCCATTTCTACAAAAAATGTGAAAAATTAGCCAGGCATGGTGGTGTGCACCTATAGACCCAGTTACCAGGGAGGCTGAGGTGGGAGGATCACTTGAGCCTAGGAGGTCGAGGCTGCAGTGAGCTGTGACTGCCTCGCTACGCACCAGCTGGGGTGCCCGAGCGAGAAGACGGGCACGTCAGATCCAGCAGCAACAGCTTCCCCCATATCGGGGGCGAGGCCTGGAGCTGGGCATGGCGGTGGCTGGCTGAGGGACACGAGGGTTCAGAAATCCTGGGAGATGCCAGCTGGCCTCCACCCACCCCCACCCCACCCAAGTCTGAATGGAGGCAGCAGGGTTTCCTGTGTCATTCCTAAGGCCTCTCAGGTGATACCTTCCTTCCATTACACAGAAAAACAAGAAACACAAACAACCAGGGTAAACACCTGGGGCTGGGAAGGAGAGGGGGCGTTCTAGGTTGAGGAGACCTGATTACAATATTGAGGGCTGGACAGGAAGGGCAGAAAGGCTTGGGAGGTACCCCCTTCCGTCCTGAAGCTTAACTGCACCTGGAGAGAAAGAACTAGGCAATGAGGCCCAGGAGGGCCAGCGGGCGGCGGGAGTGCCCTCTTGCTGGGGTGGACCTTTTGTTTCAGGCATGAGAGGTTTATGCAGGTGTATATGACGAGGAAAGCGCTGGCAGAGGGAGAGCGTGAGGAAGGAGGGATTATCTCAGAGGGGTCAGGATAGTGATCGCTGGATGAGCTGCAGTTTCTCACAGGCAGAAGTACGTCAAGAGGAGGGCCAAGAACACAGCCGTGGGAGAACATACGTCCAAGTGCAGGAAGAGAGGCTGGCCAGAGAGTGGGAGCTTCAGAGAGGCAGCCGCAGACCCCAGGGCAGGGAAGGAGGTGCTGAAGGGGGTGTCCCTTGCTTCAGCTCTGCAGCGGACTCTTCAGGGGCAAGGATTAGGGACAGGCCAGTGAGGCTGACGGCTCAGAAGGCAGCGATCACCTCGATGGTTCCGGGAGAGCTGCTGGAATGGCAGGAAGGCAGGGGACTGCCCCGGGCCAGGAGAGGCAGCACACGCTGTATGCTGGGAGAAGCTGAGTGGTGACAGCAGCGCAAACCAGACACTCTGTCTAAGGGGAAGATGCCCGATTTAAGGAAAGAGGTGGGTGGGCTTAGGTCAGCTGCTTTCTGTGCTTTATTGCTGGTTCTGCTGGGGAAATTTGAGTACAAACATTTGTGGATTGGAAGGTGGGGATCTTGCGGACAGCAAAAGTGAAGACAGGAAGCGTTTGAGGCGGGTAAGTAGGAATTGCAGGTTGAAGGTGCTACCAGCAGTGCGATTTTCCTCTTAGAGAATGCAAACAGCATGGCTTCTTGAACAGTAACAGAGAAGATGTGTTCACAACTGATGATATCGTTGTCCTCCATTAGAAATGGTAGGTGACAGACATACCTGGATCCTGAACCTGCATGTCCATCCGACAGCCACCGCCATGCCCAGTTCTAAGCCTCACCCACACAGTGAGCTGCCCCTGCTGGATGAAATTTGCTCCTCTGTGTCCCCAAATGCCCTGGGCACCTTCCTCAGGAGAGCCCGGACCACGCTGCTGCTGAGATACGAACATGTCTTCTCAAACAGGCTTTCATTTCCCAGAGGGCTGCTACGCTGAGAAGGCACGTCCCTCCTAAAATTCCTGTTGGATCTGAGGACCCGAAGTGACAGTGCTAAGAGGTGGGCTTTAGATGACGGTTACATCCCAAGGCTCCGCCATCCTGAGTGGGATTTTAGCAACCTTATTTAAGGCGGGGGTGCTGGAGGAACATAGCCTCTGCTGCCTTCTGCCTTCTGCTATGTGAGGATGCAGCAGTCCTCCCAGGAGGACACGGGAAAAGACGCCACCTCGAATGCAGAGAACAGCCCTCACCAGACGCCAAACCCACCGATGCCTTGACCTGGGACTTCCAGCCTCCAGAACCGGGAGAAATAACTCTGTTCTTTATAAATTACCCTGTTTCAGGGGCCTGTGCAGCAGCACTAGTGGGCTGAGACAAGGGTGGAGACCCCCGTGTGACTGGCTCTGCAGGCCAGGCCAGCCCTGCAGCTGCACAGCACCTACCACAAAGAAGGCACTGCCAACAGAAGAAATTCCAGCTCGAGCTTCATGGTCACGGACCCCGCCCTCCCTCTCGTGTCCTGGCCACCATCCTTCACTCAGATGCCACACTGGGCTGCTGGTCGAGATGCGTTCAGGCCTCTGAGCAGGTCAGGGTGAGTGCCTCACAATGCCTTTCTCCACCTCCTCTTGCTGGTGAAATTTCACTCATCATAGCGGGTGATACGAGGACACCCCAACAGCAGTGATGCCGCCTCTGCCTCCAAGGCAAGCAGAAGGAGTATCCCTACTCCCTCCTCTGTCTCCAAGAAGAGCACTGATGAGAGGGAGCACCTCTCCCTGGAGACCCTCTTTTCCGGGCACACAGGGACTGTGTCTCATAACCTTCATGACTTAGGTGTTTACTGGCTACCTGGGACAGGATGGGAACTCAGAAGTTCTCATTGCACAGAGTCCTTTCAACCTGCAAGTAAGCAGCACTCGGGCTGTTCTCAGTGACTGTGGTGACAGTACTTAAAGCAAGGTTTAATGCCCAGTCTCAGAGTGCACTGAAATGGCTTCTGAATCCAGTTTAAATTGTTCTATGTACTGAACATACATATACAACATTTACTTAGCAGTACAAATAACGAGAAACCAAAGAAGAGGCTAACGTCTCCTGGATTAATTCACACCATTTTACAACAAGGCTGGCAACACCATGCCACCATCCTTATGGGTCTACTTGCCAGCTTGGTTCTGGCGTGGGACACCATGCCACCCTCCACACAGGCCTACATGATGGCATGGCTCTGGCGTGGGACACATGCCACCCTCCATACAGGTCTATGTGACAGCACGGTTCTGGCGTTCCAACAATGATGCCATCAAGAGGCATTATCGATTCGATCTCAGCACAAGTAAAATGAGGATGAAAATGGCTTCCGCAATATACTGTCCAGTTTAGCACAAATCAAATGATCGCTTTTTTATTTAAAAAAGGGTCATGAATGCCTGCTATTAAATACGGAGCTGAATGCACTGACAGTTTTTGCATGCAATGTGACCTAACGTCACTGATTAAATATGGAGGCATGAGCACGCTTAGGCACATAAATCAAACAAGAAGCCAAACTGCCACTAAAATGCCCAGAAGTTTAAGAAGAAGATACAAAGAGGCAAATAAGCAGTTAATATGTCACCGTGTGATGGGGATATAAGTCAGTCGATTAGTAGGTATGATTTCAAACAAGTCCTGAAGCTAATCTGGAACATAGTGATGATGACATCAAGCAGGAGACAACAAATGACTTTCTTCCCATGAGACACGGACAGTGAGGAGGCCTGGGACAGGCAGGAGTGAGGCCGGGGCTGAGCACTCTTTCCCGTGCAGTATTTCACCCAAGCTGATTTCCGAGGATTACATGAATAACTCAGTAGCTATGAGAGCCCAACTGTGGGCTGAACTGCACAGTCTTAATTCTTTTCTGAATGCTCCTTTTATGTTAAAAGGATACTCTGTGTATACTTGCTACCCTTGAGTCCTCCAGATACATTACACACGGATGCATTCAAACTCTCACAAAAGTCTTTGGGACTCACTAAGCGGCCTACTGAGACCCCAAGTGAGATCACGCACTCCATGGTTCTCCCGTTAGACAGACATGGGAGAAGAGGAAATGTGAGCCAACAGTAAATGACTAGAAGGTAAGTCCCAACGTGAACCAAAAATATAAAGGCAAGCTGCTCTTAAAAAAAAATTCACGTGGTCAGGCGCGGTGGCTCACGCCTGTAATCCCAGCACTTTGGGAGGCCGAGGCGGGCGGATCACGAGGTCTGGAAATCGAGACCATCCTGGCTAACATGGTGAAACCCCATCTCTACTAAAAATACAAAAATTAGCCAGGCATGGTGTTACGTGCCTGTAATCCCAGCTACTCAGAAGGCTGAGGCAGGAGAATCACTTGAAACAGGGAGTCAGAGGTTGCAGTGAGCTGAGATTGCACCACTGCACTCCAGCCTGGCGACACAGCAAGACTCTGTCTCAAAAATAATAAAATAAAATAAAATCATAAAAAAAAAATTCAAGTAACACTTTTTCTTAGGGAAGTAAGCTGATTTGTAAAAGGCCCCAGGTGCATAAAATTTGGTCAAATTAGTCAACAGTTAGGCAGTAACCTTGTAAAGATTTTCTTAGCTTTTACCATTACTAATTACACCGAGCCTTGGGACAGCAACTTAATATGGTCAGCAGATATTTAAACATTTCACAAAGGTTGTCTGTCTATTCTGTTCATCTTAAAGGTTTGGTAAAATTCACTAGTAAAGATATCTGGGTGCGGGGTTGTCTTTGAATGGTTGTTAACCAGAAATTTAATTTACTTAACAGATATATCCTATCCAAATTTTCTTTTTATTCTTCTGTCAGATTTGATAACTTGTGTCTTTCACAGAATTTATCCATTGCATCTAAGATGAAGAATTTACTGGCATATGGTCCTTCATGATTAAAATGATTCCCTTATTCTCCTTTTATTTACTTATAATTTTCATTTTTGGAGACAGGGTCTCACTCTGTGGTCTATGCTGGACCACAGTGACGTGATCACTGCACTGCTCACTACAGCCTCAATGCCTCCCAGTGATCCTCCCACCTCAGCCTCCCAAGTAGCTGGGACTACAAGCGTATGCCACCACGCACGAGTAATTTTTATATTTTGTAGAGATGGGGTTTTGCTATGTTGCCCAGGCTGGTCTTGAACTCCTGGGCTCAAGCGATCCACCTGCCTCGGCCTCCCAAAGTGCTGGGATTATAGGCATGAGCCCCCGCACCTGGCCCCTTATTCTTTTAACATCTGTAGGATCAGTAAGGATGTGCCCTCTTTCATTTCTGATGAAAGTCATTTGTATCTTCCTTCTATTTTTCTTGAGCACTCTAGAAAAAGTTTTGACAATTTTAATGAACCTTTCAAAAACTATCAACTAGTTTCATGAATTTTTACAAATTTTGGGGTCAACTTCTGTTTATTTTTGCTCTTCTCTTTATTATTTCTTTTCTTCTACTTACTTAGGGTTTAATGTATTCTTTTTTTTCTGGACTTAAAGAAAAACTTAGACCATACATTTGAGAGTTTTTTAATTAAAAACTACAAATAGCATTAAATTTTGAGATCAATTATTGCCGGTACATGAACACCTAGTTAAGTAATGGTGCCTGTTTCTTTCCCTAGTGACAAACAGTGAGCTTACAAACAGCAGTAAGAAAGGGTACAGTGCACACCTCTAGGTGGACCTTTGCAAGCATTTCTATACACTATTAACAAAGGAAAAGAACTGCCAACTAAACAGGTATGTTACTTATTGTAAGATGCTTCTGGACCCCAGATATGTTAAGTGTGAAAACGCACATGCTGGGATCAGGCGTGGTGGCTCATGCCTGGAATTCCAGCACTTTGGGAGGCTAAAGCAGGAGGATCACTTGAGCCCAGGAGTTCAAGGATGCAGTGAGCTATGACTGTGTCACTGCACTCCCATCTAAGTAAAAGGGAGAGACCCTGTCTCTATTTTTTAAAAAAGGACCAGACATGGTGCCTCATGCTTGTAATTCCAGCACTTTGTAAGGCTGAGGTGGGAGGATCTCTTGAGCTTAGGAGTTCGAGACCAGCCTGGGCAACATGGTGACACAGTCTCTACAAAAGATACAAAAATTAGTCAGAATGGTGGCATACACCTGTAGTCCCAGTTACCTGGGGGGCTGAGGTGGGGGGATTGCTTGAGCCCGAGAAGTTGAGACTACGGTGGGCCGTGTTCACACCACTGCACTCCAGCCTGGGTGACAAAGCAAGATCACGTCTTAAAAAAAATTTAAAAAGTACATGCTAGAATCAGTGAACTATGTTAGATGGCCCTTACTGTAAACAGATAATTACAAATGTTCACATTCCTTCTGCTGGTTATGGAGTTATCTTACTGGGGGTCAGGAATTCTAATACTGTTTTAGTGCGAGAGAGAATCTTTGCCTTGTTCCCAGCTTCGAAGGGAAGACGTCTCCAGTCTCCCCACTAGGCTGGTTTGCTGAAGAGCTCTGATGTAGCCTTTACCACGTTAAGTAAGTCGTGGTAACCTCTATTTAGACGTGACAGACTATAGATGATAGTGATCTCAACTTCCTCCATAACGAGAGAAAAAGAACAGGACAAGGACGGAGAGCCCCAGGAAGGAAATCATGGCAAATGAGAGACGCTGGGCAGGAGAGAGAGAGGCGGAACAACAGAGTTGAGGCTGTCAGTTCGGGAGCCTGGGCACCCAGCTTTGAATCCTGACTCCACCAGCTACTCTCCAAGCAACCTGAACTTCCTCATCCTGAAAGCAGCACTAACGCCAGTCCAAACCTTACAGGCGTGTGGTGTTAGATGAGTGCATTAGTGGAATGGCTCCAGTGACGCTCGACAAATGCTAGCTACTGTTATCCCTGTAACTGTAAAATGTCAACCAAACGTTAAGAAACAGTTGGACAAGCGTAAGTGGCTCAGCAGAGGTGAGAGAAGTGAAGCCTTTGACCTGGACGGTGCAAAGTCAAAATGAAGCACTCACCTCCCAAAGCCTGCTGTCAGCAAGTATCAAGAACTGAGACAACTGGCTCTCTGAAAAGAAGAACTGAGAGCAAGTGCCCAGATGAAAATCTGTGAGAAGAGTGTTCAGAGGCCCTGGACGCCCCCTCCCACACTGGCAGGACTCCCAGGAAATGAAGCAGAGACCCTATGGATGCAGAGATGCGACGGACAGCGTAGGGCTGCCTGTATCTTTCAGATTCGCTCTCTTCATTTTGTTTTTCATCTGTTTATTGCATTTTTCCCCTGGCTCTTTAAGGCAAACATTTAATTTTTCTTGTTTTTTTAATCTTTGTTTTCTGACTAAATGTATTAAATCCTCGCCTGCTTTGGCTACATACACCCCACAAACAGCAAATGTGCTATTACTAACATTTGGCTGTGAGTATTTTATCAGTTTTAAAGTATTTCCTCTTTAGAAATGCAAATCAAAACCACAATGAGATACCATCTCACACCAGTTAGAATGGCAATCGTTAAAAAGTCAGGAAACAACAGGTGCTGGAGAGGATGTGGAGAAACAGGAACACTTTTACACTGTTGGTGGGACTGTAAACTAGTTCAACCATTGTGGAAGTCAGTGTGGCGATTCCTCAGGGATCTAGAACTAGAAATACCATTTGACCCAGCCATCCCATTACTGGGTATATACTCAAAGGACTATAAATCATGCTGCTATAAAGACACATGCACACGTATGTTTACTGTGGCACTATTCACAATAGCAAAGACTTGGAACCAACCCAAATGTCCAACAATGATAGACTGGATTAAGAAAATGTGGCACATATACACCATGGAATACTATGCGGCCATAAAAAATGATGAGTTCATGTCCTTTGTAGGGACATGGATGAAATTGGAAATCATCATTCTCAGTAAACTATTGCAAGGACAAAAAACCAAACACTGCATGTTCTCACTCATAGGTGGGAACTGAACAATGAGAACACATGGACACAGGAAGGGGAACATCACACTCTGGGCCTGTTGTGGGGTGGGGGGAGGGGGGAGGGATAGCATTAGGAGATATACCTAATGCTAAATGACGAGTTAATGGGTGCAGCACACCAGCATGTCACATGTATACATATGTAACCTGCACATTGTGCACATGTACCCTAAAACTTAAAAGTATAATAATAAAATAAAATAAAATAAAATAAAATAAAATAAAATAAAATAAAATAAAATAAAATAACAAAAGAAGTCATACGGTCAGGACTTCAAGTTAGTTAAAGAGATTTTAGGTTTCTCTGCTATATATCAATAATCAGTTTCTAAAAAGACATCTATAGTAGCTATGTGCTTATATAAGTCAATTTTCCCTGTTCAGGTTGATGTCAGGATGAAACAATATGTATAAAGAGATTAGTTATTGGGATTAATGTCAAAGTTCTACAATGAAGTCAAATAAATGTGTAAGTGTGTACATGTAAAAAAAAATAAAAAATATAAAATATTTCCTCTTTAATCCAAGGATTTTAAGATTTTAGTTTTCAGACTTTTGTTAAAGCTGTCCTTTCGTTACTGAGTTCTAGCTTCATTGCGTGTGGTCTGCCACGGAGTTCACACGATGCTGATTCTTCCGGATTAGTAAAGCTTTCTTTGTAGTCGGGCGCATGATTTATTTTTGTGAATGGTCCACATATGTCCACATTCCCTGTTGGATGTATGGTCCTGTGTGCCTCTGTGAGGTCTGGCTAATTAATTCGGTGACAAAAGTCGTATTTACGTTGCTTCCTTTGTCTGTACTTGGTGTCTCTGTATCTAAGCACACTTCTCATTCATCTGCTTCCATCCACACTTCAGCTCCCATCTTATCTCGTTCGAGGCCACGTTGTCAGGTGCACACAGTCATCATCAGTATATACCTTCCTGCTTTCCTGTTCGTTTTACCACAATACAACATTTTTCTTTGCCCCTCTCAATAATTTATCTCAGCTTCTGCTTTAAGTCATATTGGGACTGGCCACCCCAGCTTTCTTTTAGCTCGTATTTCTCTTTTTCATCTTCTGATTTCCAACCTTTGAAATACATGTTCTTATTTTTTATTATTATTATTTTTTTTTAGAGACTGGGTCTTACCCTGTCACCCAGGCTGGAGTGCAGTGGCACAATCACAGCTCACTGCAGCCTTGAACTCCTGGGCTCAACTGATCCTCCTGCCTCAGCCTCCCGAGGAACTGAGACCACAGGCATAAGCCACCATGTCCAGCTAATTTTTAAATTTTTAGTAGAGACAGGGTCGTGCTGTTTTGCCCAGGCTTAAACGTTTTGCTTTAAATCTGTGTCTCATGGACAAGAGACTGCTGTATCATGATTTTAACCAACACAAGAATCATGGCCCTTTGAGAGGTGAATTCAATTCGTTTACAGTTACAACTTTATTTCAAAACATTTTAGCCATCGTATCTCACACTTTCTATTTACTAAGCCTGTCTTTTCTCCTTTTCTACGTTTTTTTTTAGAGAGAAGAAAATGTTATTTCCTAGATATTTAAACTTTGTCTCTGCCTCTCATGTTTCTCCCCTTCCTTCTAGCTCCATCCCTTTGGTGGGAACTCCTCAAACAAGCTTCTCAGCTTCCTGGTTTATTCTTGGCTCTATCCATAATGTTGCTTTTCAATCCATCTCTTCAATTATTTCACCAATTATATTTTTTATACTTAATGCTTCCAACTGGTCTTTCTTCCTGTTTCTTCTTCATATTTCCAATTGTCTTTTATCACTTTTATTTATTATTGGATTACTTCTCTTTTCACAAGGGCGGTAGGACAAACTCTTTCTTTCCACCCTCTTATTTTCCATCTTTCTGAGCCCCAGACACAGCACAGCAGGCCATGCCTATCAAGGGCAGTGGGAGGAGAGCCGAGTGCCCTCAGCCTTGCCTGCACCCTGGGGCCCTCGCCAGCTCCACTGTCTCCTCCGGCCTCACCCCTCACCCCAGCCCCCAGTGGGGACTCAGCCATCTCAAGGGACCAGCAAAGTCTCCGGCTGTGCTGCTGAGTGGGCTCCCTCCAGGATCATCAATCTCACTCTTTCCTGCAGCACCCGAGGACGGGGTTCAGCCGGGGAGTCAGCAGCCCGTGCCCCTCCATCTGCTTCAATTCCCTTTCTTACCGCATCCATCAGGTGGTTTTTACACGTCATCTTTTAAAACGGGAGCTCTATTACAATACATTATGATATTCATCTTAATTGAGTATATGTCAAGAGACTGGAACAGTGAGAGAACACTGTCTTGTTTGGGGAGAAAAAATATTTTCCTCTGGAAACGGCCTGGAAGCTGCCGCGGGGACTGTGTGAGATCCATGATACTGAGGCTCTACTTGGAAACGTCATAAAGCCGTTTCTCCAGACGCAAATTCCAAATTAAACTTGCCTACGACTAAGGTCTAAGATACAGAGTGGGATACTACAAAAGAGCATTTTATTCAATAATGTGTCCCGGTTACTTCACCCTCTGGGAGGACCAGTGAGCTCCTCTCCCTTCGCACATATGCAGGAAGACAAAGTCATCGGACTGTTGTTGAAAGGAAGCGGCAAAAGACCCGAGAGCACTGAACGGGCAGAAGAAAGTGTGTTCTCTGGCAAAGCAGATGTATTTTAGAAGACTCCTTGGAGAACACATGGTTAACTCTATCATCAAAACCACAAGAATTTATGTTTCTAAAGGTAATTCTGAATGATTCTTGGTTGAGTCATCAGGAAAAAATACGAAGCAAATGTCACAGCAAATGTCTGAAATGAGACAGGCACTGCAAACCACTTAGCCTGGCCAGACAGAGCCACGCTGAGCCTCCACCCAACCTGCGCGCCAGGAAACCCATGCATCTTCCGTCTCCTGCGGGCAATGCAGGAGCGAAACTTTCCACGCTGACAAATACACGTTAATGCTCTATCATTAACATTTATAGTCCTGGAAATCCTTCAACTTAATTGAAAGAAAGGAAGTAAGTTTTTTGACCTCTATTCAATCCAAAATAATGTTTATCATTTTCATTAATAGACAATACTAGTGCATGCAGCACAGTGCAATAGACATCAATCTGTTTTATAGCAAGTCCCACAGCAAATGAAGTCCCACTGGGTTATAATTTTCAGTAGTATACAAATAGACGCGTAATAAATCTAAAATGATATTATGCCACTCAATCAAAGAAGTAGAAAACAGCCAAGGGAAAAAATATATTTTGGATTCTTACAGTGTATTGATGTATATGGTGAGTAAGATAATCATTTATGTGGAAAGTAATGTCATTGCTCATTTTGGAATTATTGAAATCAGTTTCCAAAAATGAAAAAGACAGGCAAAAATGAAAAAAAATTAGAGAACAATGTCTTCCAACAAGTTCATCATCAAATAAGATTCATAAATACGCTTGCCACCAAGTACACATGTACACATTTTGTCCAAATGAAGCAAAGCTGTATGTTGTTTACCCAGCACACCGCATTCTGTAGCAGCTGTGCCAGCATAATGAGGGCAGCGTGCTTAGAAACCGTTTCTCTTATTTACATAGTAAAGGGAGGGAGGGAGGGAATCCACCTTCCCGAGCATCGCCCTTCTCCAGGTCACCTGCAGACCGGCAGACACGCACAGCCGTCATCTGCAGCCCAATCCTAGTTCCCTTTTCTGGAGCAGGAAGTGCCAAGCTATAGCTCCTGGGCCAAATCTGGCCAACTGCCTGTTTCCTTAAAGAAAGCTTGACTGAGGCTGGGTGCGGTGGCTCGTGCCTGTAATCTCAGCACTTTGGAAGGCTGAGGCGGGCGGATCACCTGAGGTCAGGAGTTTGATGCCAGCCTGGCCAACATGGTAAAATCTCATCTCTACTAAAAATACAAAAATTAGCCAGGCGTGGTGGTGGGCACCTGTAATCCCAGCTACTCGGGAGGCTGAGGCAGGAGAATCGCTTGAACCGAGGAGGTGGAGGTTGCAGTGAGCCGAGATCACGCCACTGCACTCCAGCCTGGGCAACAGTGAGACTCGGTCTCAAAAAAAAAAAAAAGAAAAAAGAAAAAAGAAAGCTCGACTGGAACACAGCCATGCTCATTTGTTTATATATTGCCTGTGGCTCTTTCGTGCTGCAACAGCAGACTTGGGACTGTGTGGCCCGAAAAGCCTAACCCAAGTGCGTCTGCCCCTTCACAGAACCAGGTCTGCCGACTCCCATCAGAGTGCCAGGCTGAACCTTCCCACCCGCATACTCCTGGCGCCTAAATCCCAAAGCCCTACGCTCCGGCTAAATAAAACATGGAACTTCAACATAGTGAAATATAAAATGATACTTACTAAGAGTCTCTAATGATCTAGGGCAGGGAACTCTAGTATAATGCGAAGGGTTAAGGATATGAAATCGTAAATTCTGTCCACTTACATCAGTGCAAAATGTACATGCACAGAAAAAAGACCAACAGGCAATACATCAAAAAGTGAACACTAGTTGTCCTTAGATGGTAAAATCTTGGATGATTTTTTTCTACTTTTAACTTTTTAGTAATTTTCTGAAAAGAATGTATCTTTCATTTTTAATTAGAAAAATTGACTTTTCAAAATGAAAAAATAAAACTAAAACCCTAAAAACATACGTAATTACTGTCTGACAAACTATCTCACTCTTCCATTAAAAAAAAAAACCCTGGTGGTTTTTAACTTAGCTCACACAAAACTACACATTTCACTTGATAATTCTTTAATGAATATAGTCCATTACCACTCACAGGCCATAGACACCTAGCAAAATGTCATGTTCAACCTAATTTCAGCACTTCAATATGGGAGAAAGCAGTTTATTGTAAAAGAGCCGCCACCTGAGACACCGCTCAATTGTTCCAGGCAGTGGTTATCTGATGACCACTGTCTGCCACTGTGGCATATTGATTTCAAAGTCCCTCTTATGGTAACTGTATCAGTTTGTTTTTCACTGCACTTCCTACTAAATGCTTACTTTTAAAAATCTGACTATGTCCTAACTCCTACAAGGATTTCAGGGGCTACTGGGATGACACATCATGCCTTGGTAGAGAGAAAGCACATTCCCTACTCAGAGGGCAGGCACCCATTTTAGAAATAACGAGGCCAGCAGCCCTCAGAGTGAAAGCATACTTCTTTATTTTACTTTTTTTTACAGATGGGGTTTCCCTGTGTTCCCAGGGCTGGTCTCAAACTTCTGGGCTCAAGTGATCCTCCTGCCTCGGCCTTCCAAGCAGCTGGGACTACAGGACGCACTGCCACATCTGGCCCAGGCGTCTTTGGGAGTGCACAGCTGTGCGCGGAGGGAAGCCAAGTCCTTCCCACTCATGGCAGAAAAACAAAATGCCTGAGAGAAACCCGTCAACTAGATGAAGTGCACTGGGTTTAGTGACAGGTAGCTGGAGTGGGGCGGCAGGGAAGGCACAGGAAGGTAGCGATGTCATTTCCGGTTCCCCTTGTGCTTTGTCTTTTTTCCTCCTTCCTTCACTGCTCCCCCACCCATCTGCCTGAAAACTTGCAAAAATGCCCCAGAGGGTCGCACCAAATACAGTATCCAGCCCAGAGCCTCTGGGCAGAGTCTAAAGGCAGAGCTGGTGTGGTGTTGATTCTGGAGTCAGGGGGCACCAAAGCAGTCATGCAGGAAACCGGGAGCGGGGACGGGAACATGGGAGAAATGAGGCCTGTTTCTCGGCAGTGTCCACTGTGCGTCTACAGAAGCTCCAGCCTACAGGCCCCTGGGTGATTTTCTATCTTTCTGCCCTAATCTTTTACCAGCTCAAGACCGCACTGATATGATAATGGCCTAATGGTCACCAAGGTCTCCCTATCATCACTTGGATCCTCTTTCTAAAACACGGTTCTGATGAAGTCATTTTTCTACCCAAACAGCTTCAGGGGCTCTCTTGTGCCAGAGTCCCAGGAGAAGTCAAGGTCCTCTGGGCAGCATTCAAAGCACCCCACAATGGACTTGGACTTCAGTCCACTCTCTGAGCTCAACCGCACTCCTGACGAAACCTTCCTCTCAGGTTCCACCTCCTCCAAGCAGCTTTCTCAAACCCTGTGGCCCTTAGCCATGGTTCTCTGTCCTCTGGGAACACAACAGCCCTTGGTGCCATAAGGTCACTTGGTCTTTGATCACACATTGCCTTGAAGGGTTCAGATTTTCATCTTGCATGAAGCATCCATTGAAATCATGAATTTTCAAGCCACATCTTATCTCCTCAACCAGAGGAGACATTTGTTGAGGGCAATATGCTTCTTAGGATCTCCTATAGTGATTAGCATGGGTCTTATTACATACACAGTCGGGACTGAATAAATTAGTTTTTGGGCAATGAATGGATGAACTCCTGAGTCAGGTGGACCAATCTCTTCCTGGGGTAACGTGAAATGGGCACTCATAAGCCTCTTTGGACAGGGATCAGACATACAGTACAGAGAGTTAAAAAGAACACTCATAAAGGTGAGAGGCTGCTGAAGCCCTACAATATCCTGGAAGACTACAATGAGGGGCGCATAGGAGGCCGTGGGAAAGGACAGAGGTGGGAAACAGAAAAGCCAGGAGATGCAGAGAAGAGAAACAGAGGCCCCAAAAGACCGTCTCTTCAGCAGTCTTAAAAAGAAAAGATAAATGTTTCAGGTGATGGATATCCCAGTTACCCCAATTTGATCATTAATGCATCGTATACAGGTATCAAAATATTGCATGGACCCCCCAAATATGGACAACTATGATATATCAATTTACAGAATACAAAAAATTGTCATTTTAAATTACCCAGTCTGTTGTATTCTGTTATAGTAACCCAAAACAGATTAAGACAAACAAGAGAAAGTAATGCGAAAGGAGAAACAAGCAGAAATAGAGGTAGGCACACTGTAACGTGTGCCTCATAAACTGGTACGTGAAAAGAGATCTGCGTTCAGAAAGGACTTCGACATTACAGAGCAAACAAACAAGGATGGAGAGCAGTTCAGAAACAACGTGGCGTCAGGGAAGGTGCCCTCAAGAGGGTCTTCCGCCTCACTGGATGTGCTGAGGTCGGAGGTCTCCCATTAATTTCTGGTTGGCACAAGCCCTCTCAGTTGGAGGGCTTCCAGCTTTCCCAATTTTGGGGAGTGCATTTCCGAGATCTTCAGGTATTTTCAGCTCTGCCATATTCTTGTTCTCTCAACACGGGATGCCCCCAGTCTGCATACTGGGGCCTCTATTTCCCTTCTCTGCATCTCCTGGCTTTTCTGTTTCCCATCTCGACCCTTTCCCATGGCCTCCTGTGAGCCCCCACTGTAGTCTTCCAGGCCATTCATTTGGCTCCAGCAGTGTCTCTCCTGCTATGGGTCCTGTCTACTGTGTTCTTTATTTCAAACATTACAGTGCACCTACCCCTATTTCTGCTTTGTTCTTCTTTTATAGTACTTTTTCTTGTCTGTCTGTCTGTTTTGTGTTGCTATAATAGACTACGACAGACTGAGTAATTTATAACAAATTTTTTTTGTATTCTTTAAATTGATATATGATAGTTGTATGTATTTTGGGGCTCCATGTGATATTTTGATCCGTGCATACAATGCGTAATGATCAAATCAGGGTAACTGGGATCTATCCAACTCATACATCACCTCAAACATTTATCTTTTCAAGACTGTTTTTTCTACCTCTCAGTGCCTCTTTCAGCAACATGAAGCTAAACTGGGTACTATGAGCGCTCACCTAATTTTTGGTTCGTATGAAGGTGCTTTCTGTGTGTGCTGATAGTTGTTACATTGGTATCCTTGCTGCAGGAAGACTGGTGGAGGCTTCTATTCCACCATCTCACTCCACCTTCTATCTTTTGTGTTGGGGCCATTACAATTCTTCTCTCCAAGCTATTTTGAAATATCCAATAAATTATTTCTGTTAACCGTAATCTCCCTACTCTACTATGGAATACTATAACTTATTCCTCCTACTTAACTGTATTCTTGGACTTTTCAAGCAGCTTCTCTTCATCTAAGTAAAGAAACTTCTTTCTTACAGTTCTGGAGACTGGGAGGTCCAAGGTCAAAGAGTGGCATCTGGCAAGGACCTTCTTGCTGTGCCATCCCATGGCAGAAGGTGGAAGGGCAAGATAACACAAGGGGCTGGGCTTGCTTTTATCACAACCTGCTCTCACATAACTAACCTACCCCTGTGACAGTGACATTAACCTAAATGTGAGGGCAGAGCCCTCATGATGCAATCACCTCCCAACACTGTTGCGTGGGGGATTAAGTTTCCAGCACATACATTTGGGGGAAGGCATTAAAACTGTAGCATTGTTCTCACATCTTGTTACAGGTGTCTTCCTTTATTTCTTTGATTGTATGTATTACACTTGTTTTACAATAACCCTGGTTCAGCTTTCTCTCTGCGTAGTGGCTGTGCTACTCAGGTGTCTAGTTTTGCCAAGTGAGCTCTGCTCCGCTGGGTGCAGAGGACAGTGGCCCTTTCAGGCTAAGTCTGCATCAGCCAGGTAAGGTGGGGGTACTGGCTGGACAGCAGAAACACTGCAGATCCCTCTCTGCTGCCCCCTCCAGACAGCTCCTCTCCCCTCTTTTTTTGTTTCTTTTTTTTTTTTTTTTTTTTGAGACAGGGTCTTGCTCCGTCACCCAGGCTGGAGTACACTGGCACAATCTTGGCTCACTGCAACCTCTGCCTCCCAGGTTCGAGCAATTCTAGTACCTCAGCCTCCTAAGTGGCTGGGAATATAGGCATGTGCTACCACATCCAGCTAATTTTTTTGTATTTTTAGTATAGACAGGGTTTCGCCATGTTGGCCAGGCTAGTCTCGAACTCCTGGCCTCAAGCAATCTGCCTGCCTCACCTTCCCAAAGCATTAGGGTTACAGGCATGAGCCACTGCACTTGCTATTTTTCTATTTTCTTTTTAGAGACAAGGTCTCCCTATGTTGCCCAGGCTGGTCTCAAAACTCCCGCGCTCAAGGGATCCTCCTGCCTCAGCCTCCTAAAGTGCTAGGATTACAGGTGTGAGCTACCACACCCAGCCCTCTTCCCTTCATCTCCAACTATTTTGGGGTGAGTAACACTAAAAGGAGGTCTCTCCCTGAATGGAAACCTGTAGCCCTCAAGTTTGGTGGGGAGGCCTAGGGACAGTTAATGTGAGGGCTGCGCTGCAGTCACCCCAACATCATGAACCCCCAGCCCTGGGGTCTGGGATCAATTTGGACTTGGCTGCAGAGGCAGAGCAGGAAGGCCAAGTTTTCCTCCCCCCTCAGGCTGCCCTGCCCCTCTGGCCCCTCCCAGGGTGTCCCTGGGGGCCCTTACTTTGCTGTGCTGTTAGCTCCCCGTGTCCGCCCAGGGCTGTGGGTGAGAAGGCAGGAGACTTGTCTAGAGTGTTAGGCCATCTTGACAGAAGCCTCAAGAGTGTCCTCGGCCGACAGCACGGTGTCTGCTGCACAGCTGCACCATTCGCACGGCACCTCAAGGGAGAGGTATTTATCTACTAGCCGGTAACAGCCACGACATATAAGCTTTTCAGCAAAACATAAAATGGGAAAGGAGATATTAAAGACTGGCAAGATGGTCTAGGGGAGAATATTGGATTTGGAGGCAGGAAACACACATATCCCACTGTGCGTTCTGCTGGGGATGTTGGGGCTGAAATGCGGCTTCTACCATCTTGGAATATCACACACATTTCTTCAGTTATGTTCCCGACGGCTATAACTTAAAAAGGATGGAGACAGAAAAATCATGGCTCTTTTTTCATTGCTAAAAATACATTGAAAGATTACGCTTCAACTCAAGCAAGGAATTAAATGACTTCCTTTTTCATAACAGCCTTTTCTTCCCCTGAAAGAAAGTCCAGTTTCCAGTATGACCTATCCTGGTACTAAGACGCCTCCGCAGTGAACAAAGGTAAGGAGAGGGTGTTCTTGGAAATCGCAAAGCAGTGAGCTGCCCACGAACAGATCAGAAGGAAGAAGGATCTTGAGCTCTCAAAGAGTAGAACCCAAACCTCCACCTGGAATCCCGAATGACACAAAAAGAAGGCGGGGACACTCATGTCTGTCACGTGGGCTCCTGGGACCAGGTGAATGCCTGGGGCCCACATGGGTTGGGGTCCCTGCGGGAGAGCCCAGTTGAGTGGGTCCCAGGGGCACAGCAGGGGCCACTCACCAGCGCAGGGCGATCTTGATGGGGGTGGTGAGGCAGGAGGTGAATAGGTCAGCCGGGAGGTCGGGGATCATGGGCAGCAGCTCGGTGGCCTCGCAGGCTGCCAGCTGGATGCAGTTTTTCATCGACGGAGGCAAAGGCATCTGAGCAAGAGGGTGATTTGGGTTGATTGCAGCTACCTGAAGGGCAGAACATTCGGGAAAAGAGAGTGTGATTTAGCTGCTGGTCACAACCAAATAGTAAGCTGCAGCTGTAACACAGAAGGAAAGAATAAATCAACTCAGGCTGTGAGTTTTCACTGGAAAGTCCTCTGGAGAGAGGCGTCGCTGCTGAACTGTCTCCAGAGACAGACTGTAAGCCTGGAAACCTGGCCGTCTCATTCCCAAGGCCCTTCTGATGGCACAGCCTGGTTGTGTCTCTGTCAACTCTGTTTTCTTCCCGGTTTTCCTCTTTGCAGGACCCTACTTACCCCAGGATTGTATCACTGTCCACCAGGTCTTTCATGGTGTCTTACGGTTTGTTTTAAACGTTCAATCTTTTTTTTTTTTTTTTTTTTGAGACGGAGTTTCGCTCTGTCGCCCAGGCTGGAGTGCAGTGGCGCGATCTCGACTCACTGCAAGCTCCGCCTCCCGGGTTCACGCCATTCTCCTGCCTCAGCCTCCCGAGTAGCTGGGACTACAGGCGCACGCCACCATGCCCGGCTAATTTTTGTATTTTTAGTAGAGACGGGGTTTCACCGTGTTAGCCAGGATGGTCTCGATCTCCTGACCTCGTGATCCGCCCGTCTCGGCCTCCCAAAGTGCTGGGATTACAGGCGTGAGCCACCGCGCCCGGCCTAAACGTTCAATCTTAATCTATCCTAACCTTATTTTGTTGTGTTTAATGACATGGGAAGACGTTCAGGTTATATGATGTGAACTCCATCACCAACACAAAGGCAAACCACAAAATGTGAGTTTGAGTGGGCTGACTAAAGCGACCCATCAAAAGAGACTGAAAAACAGACAGAGCGAGCACTCATCCCCGAGTGGGGGATTAGGGGGATTTTATCTCCTCCCATCTTCATCGGATTTCTCTAAATGTTCTACAAACAAATGTGCATTAATTTTGTAATCAGGGAGAAAGGTGAGGTGTTTTTGAATTCAAAATTTAATCTCTCTTTAAAGTAGGGATAGTAATGCCGGTTGGTATTTATTTCAATGAGACTTGTCACGTAAAAGTATCATATGTGAAGCTGATATCACAGTGCCATTTTAGGAAGAAAGGCACTAAGTGAATTGTTGTTTACTACTAAAATGCACAGAAAATTTCACTTTTTACCAAATGAAATCTAACTGAAAGTGTAACTCTTCCTTCTTTTTAAATAATGCATTACATTCAAAGGTTTAAAAAATGACAGGACTGTCTGATACACGAGTTTGCTATACCCTGCCATGGATACCAGGTGGGTTCCTGTTTTACCAAAAAACCACAGCATTCAACAAAACAGGATCCTTATACCACCAAGGACTAATTATACTAGCACTGAGATTGTGATTCCTTTCCCTGGCTACCTACGTTGCCTGCATGTGGCCATTTCGGTAATCCACAAGAGGTTTTGCTGTCGTTTTCAGAAATAATGAAGTTCACAAGAATTCCTGGCATTTTGGCCAGTAAAATTTAATAAGTATAACACATGAGGGATTATGTACACACACTGCTCTGCCTGCTCCTGGAAATAATTGAGAAGAGCTGGAAAATATCAGAACCAGTTCCACCAAACAGAATGCTTTCAGCTGGGGGAGGCACAGCAGCTGCGCACAAGCAATGCCTCCCTTCCGGGGATGCAGAGTCCTCAGACACTGTGGGCTGCATGCAGGGCCCACCTGCTGGAAGGGAGGCCCCATGGGCCCTGGGAGAGCTTGGCTTGCAAAGTCCCTCCTGCACTATCATCAAGGCTGGTCCTTTGTTGTGGGGAGAGGGGAGAGGGGAAAGGGTAGCAGGAAACAAAGGGACAGAAAGAGACAGGGAACAGACAAAACAAGAAGAACACACCACAGGCTGTGAGATGGAATCTGCATTGCCTTCTCTTCAGTTACCCTGAAATGTGATGCCTGGGCATGTCATGTAGATAGCTAAAGGAATGAAAACAGAAAACCCCAAAAATGCCGATCATACCGGGCCACACAGCTTGCAGAACTCCTTCATTCACGTGTCTACAAATACCTATAATTCGGCTGTAATGGAAAGCATTCTGCTGTAGGGGCCAACCTCATCTGCCCATCTAGGCTGGGGATGTGGAACAACAAGGTACAGAATGAGGCTTCAGACTGAGAGCGCCACCTGCTAATGCGGGGTCGTGGACCAAGCGGTCAGCATGAGGGCTGGAGCATCGCATGACAGAGACTGGTCGTCCCAGATCCAGGGCCTGGACGCTGTTTGTGACTTACACAATTCCTAGGGCTTGTTTTGTGAATACCACAGGGACAAGATCACTTTTGTTTACTCAGACTGTGGCAGGCCTCCATGAAGAGGAGGCGCTATTGTAAATGAATATTGTAAGTGACGATGAATATGGGTGGGGGTGAGATGTGTCCAGAGTGTGTGGCTTTTAATCACCGAGGGCTGCGATGCGCTCCCCGGCTTGACGGGGAGAGAATGTGTCTGTGTCTGCATTTTTGCTCCTTCCTTGCTCCTTACTTTTAGTTGCGTAGTTCTTAGTATTTCTCACGGCTCTTCACATATACTATTTCATCTGCTTTTTACCAACCCCATGAGGTTTCAGCTCCATGTTAAAAGAGCTGTGACGACGAGGACACAGAGTCCCCAAAGATGACACGGACTGCCCTGCAGCTGGGCCAGCACATGCGTCCAGAGTGCCGGGCACTGCCCCTGATTTTAGGGCTGCTTTTGCCCCATTATCCCATCTGGGTCCTTCTGAATCTCCACCAAGCACCTACGACGCCAACACGAAAGCTGCCGAGCCCTCTCCAGACAGCACGCCCAGTGCTTTCGGAATGAAATACACACAGAGCTGTATTCACTCACAGCCACCTCGCACCACGGTGATGGTACAGAACGCACTGTCATCTGACTCTGACAAACTTTGTTTTTAACATCTCAAATTTCTCAGCTGGAAGGTACTAATGACTGCTAGTTTTATTAATAACCCATTCTACCACAGGAACATTAAACCCAGAGTACAAATCAAATTCTCATATACTTAATAATAAATATAATTTAACTTTTTCAATAAAAACTGCAATTTCTAGAGGAATGAGGTTTTTTTTATGATGATAAATTACCTGTAGCATAAAATTTGCCATGTTAACTGTTTCAAATGTACAGTTCGGTGACATTAGGGATATTTACATGCCACGCAACAATCACCAAGAACCACCAAGGAGTGGGTTTTTTTAAACAAGAGGGAAGAGGGAAGGCAAAATCATGTTTAAAACCATTTCCTGGGCTCTGGGCTCCATAAGCTAAAATAGCATCGGCAATGCAACCTGCTGTACACAGAAAATTAGTTTCCAGGTCTGCTGTGACAGGCCCACTAAGCCAGATGATGGGTCCAGGAACGACGTGGACCTGCAGCTACTCAGACCCGCGTCACAACAGGTGGATGGGATAGGTGGGAGCGGCCATGTGTGCCTGGTGCTGGGAGGGCACGGGAAGGCTATGAGGAAGTGCTGACTCCTGCGCTTGGTGGAAACGCACTCTCCCTGGCCTCCGGAAAGGGGCTGGGAGGGAGGCATCTGAGGCAGACCTCCGTGGAGTGAAGCACACAGTCCTGAACTGTGGAAGGCGCCATTTGCGATGTCTGTCTGGGACTGCTGGCAGACTTGTGTTATTTTAATCAGCACCACTACCACTGGCCACGTAAGAATGGCTGGCAGAGGATTAAAAAGGAAACAACTTTAAGTGGGAGGAAATGGCCCTTTACGCAAAAACTAAGTTCAATATTCCTATTTTCCTTTTCAAAAGGACATGTATATAGCAGAAATATAGCAAAAAATATCAGTGTGGTTTACTAGTTTTAGGTTTTCTTTTTATATAACCAGGTGTGGTGGCTCACATCTGTAATACCAGCACTTTGGGAGGCTGAGGTGGGAGGATCACTTGAACCCAGGAGTTCAAGATCAGCCTGGGCAAGATGGAAAGACCCCATCACTCCAAAATTTTTTTTTAATTAGCCAGGTGTGGTGGTGCATGCCTGTAGTCCTGGCTTCTCAAGAGGCTGAGGTGTGAGGATTGCTTGAGCTCTGGAGTTTGAGACCAGCCTGGGCAATATGGCAAGACCCCTGTCTCTACAAAAAGTTGTTTAAAATCAGCCTGGTGTAGTGGTGCATGCCTGCAGTCCCAGCTACTCAGGAGGCCGAGGTGGGAGGATCCCTTGGGCTCAGGAGTTCAAGGTGGCAGTGAGCTGTGGTGGCACCACTGCACTCCAGCCTGGGTGACAGAGCAAAGCCATCTCTAAAGACAAACAAAAAAAGCCCCCAAAATGAAAAGCTTTTCTTTTTGTTAAGTTGCTCCTACGTTAAATTTACTTTCTAACCAGTCCTGAGAACTGAGCAGCAGGCTCTCCCGCCACAGCCTCCAAACACACACCGCAGCCCCTCCATCCACCCAACAGGTCCTCCCGCCACAGCCTCCAAACACACACCGCAGCCCCTCCATCCACCCAACAGGTCCTCCCGCCACGGCCTCCAAACACACACCGCAGCCCCTCCATCCACCCAACAGGTCCTCCCGCCACGGCCTCTAAACACACCCCGCAGCCCCTCCATCCACCCAACAGGTCCTCCCGCCACGGCGTCTAAACACACACCGCAGTCCCTCCATCCAACAGGTCCTCCCGCCACGGCCTCCAAACACACACCGCAGCCCCTCCATCCACCCAACAGGCCCTCCCGCCACAGCCTCCAAACACACACCGCAGCCCCTCCATCCACCCAACAGGTCCTCCTGCCACGGCCTCTAAACTCACACCGCAGTCCCTCCATCCAACAGGTCCTCCCGCCACGGCCTCCAAACACACACCGCAGCCCCTCCATCCACCCAACAGGCCCTCCCGCCACGGCCTCCAAACACACACCGCAGCCCCTCCATCCACCCAACAGGTCCTCTTGCCACGGCCTCTAAACACACACCGCAGTCCCTCCATCCAACAGGTCCTCCCGCCACGGCCTCCAAACACACACCGCAGCCCCTCCATCCACCCAACAGGCCCTCCCGCCACGGCCTCCAAACACACACCGCAGCCCCTCCATCCACCCAACAGGCCCTCCCGCCACGGCCTCCAAACACACACCGCAGCCCCTCCATCCACCCAACAGGTCCTCCCGCCACGGCCTCCAAACACACACCGCAGCCCCTCCATCCACCCAACAGGTCCTCCCGCCACGGCCTCTAAACACACACCGCAGCCCCTCCATCCACCCAACAGGTCCTCCCGCCACGGCCTCCAAACACACACCGCAGCCCCTCCATCCACCCAACAGGTCCTCCCGCCACAGCCTCTAAACACACACCGCAGTCCCTCCATCCACCCAACAGGTCCTCTCGCCACGGCCTCTAAACACACACCACAGTCCCTCCATCCAACAGGTCCTCCCGCCACGGCCTCCAAACACACACCGCAGCCCCTCCATCCACCCAACAGGTCCTCCCGCCATGGCCTCTAAACACACACCGCAGTCCCTCCATCCAACAGGCCCTCCCGCCAAGGCTTCCAAACACACACCGCAGCCCCCCCATCCACCCAACAGGCCCTCCCGCCACGGCCTCCAAACACACACCGCAGCCCCCCCATCCACCCAACAGGCCCTCCCGCCACGGCCTCCAAACACACACCGCAGCCCCCCCATCCACCCAACAGGCCCTCCCGCCACGGCCTCCAAACACACACCGCAGCCCCCCCATCCACCCAACAGGCCCTCCCGCCACGGCCTCCAAACACACACCGCAGCCCCTCCATCCACCCAACAGGCCCTCCCGCCACGGCCTCCAAACACACACCGCAGCCCCTCCATCCACCCAACAGGTCCTCACGCCACGGCCTCTAAACACACACCGCAGTCCCTCCATCCACCCAACAGGTCCTCCCGCCACGGCCTCTAAACACACACCGCAGTCCCTCCATCCACCCAACAGGTCCTCCCGCCACGGCCTCTAAACACACACCGCAGTCCCTCCATCCACCCAACAGGTCCTCCCGCCACGGCCTCCAAACACTGCAGTCCCTCCATCCAACAGGTCCTCCCACCATGGCCTCTAAACACTGCAGTCCCTCCATCGCTGCCAACCATTTGTGCCAAGCTTCTGAAATCTAACACTTTTCATACCAACCCACCTTTCTTCCAAGTCAGCACTAGAACATAGGATGGCATGGGGTGGTGGGGCGAGTCTCCAGTGTACAGGAGCCACATGAGAACTCAGCAGGTTTGAAGGGGACTTCCTTAGGGACCAAGAAGTCTGTGTCTTGTCCGGTGGAGAGACAAAGCTCCCGTGGTCCAGACGCTGCTGGGTTTGCATCTGCCGTGCCTATCTCAGCCTGCACCCTGAGATGCACGGGCGCTTGGCCCAATGCCTCCTGGAGCACACTGGACACTGGAAGCATTCTGTGGTTGCCGAGGGAGCAGTCGGACAGGTAGATGTAGAAAGAGCTTTATCCCAAATATGCCTACTAGAAACTTCATTTCCCCATTCAGTGTGATCATTGACAGAAACCCCACCTATTTAAGAAGCCCCCCAAAGTACGTTGATGTATAGACAAGAAGACATGCCCTCTGGCTGCAGAGGTTCCAACAGCAAGTGACAGGCAATGACAGTGCTCCACTCACCTGGTACCTGTCTGCCAGGCCCAGGAGGAAGCATGCTGAATTCCTTCTTTCCCACCACACTACTGGGTGCATGGACGAGTACACAGGAGAGCTCTTTGCTTTAGGGGTATTAGAACCAACAGGTTTTGTTTTGTTTTGTTTTTGTTTTTGAGAGGGAGTCTTGCTTTGTCGCCTAGGCTGGCGTGCAGTGGCGCAATCTTGGCTCACTGCAACCTCCACCTCCAGGTTCAAGCGATTCACCTCCCTCAGCCTCCTGAGTAGCTGGGATCACAGGCGAGTGCCACCACACCCAGCGAATTTTTGTATTTTAGTAGAGACAGGGTTTCACCGTGTTGGCCAGGCTGGTCTCGAATTCCTGACCTCAAGTGAGCTGCCTGCCTCGGCCTCCCGAAGTTCTGGGGTTACAGGCCTGACCCACCGCACCCACCCAGAACCTAGCATTTTTAAAAAACATCCTGACATTCAAGCCAAAGGGTTCTGCCAATGAACGTTCTTCAGGATTGCTAACCCAAGGGAAAAAAAAAAACTATTTCAACAGATGAGTTATTTCCTATACACTGTTTTGGTTTTGCATCTACCTAAGATATTGACCCCGTAATTGAAACTATCTTTCAGAAACAGGCCTGCGTGTAAGGCTGAGTGCTTGTGATTGGCCAAGCTTGTGAACAGTGCCCAGGCCTAAAAGTGACCAATTCCAGCCCAGAGCCATGGTTTTCCCAAACAGCAAGCCTAAGGTGAGCGTGCACCCAAAGGGGTTTCTCCGGGGAGCCTAGGGACTCAAACACAAGAAAGACTCTCATCTTCCAATGCTCTCCAGAGTCTTCTGGAGGATTTGGGAAGGATCCAGAAAAGTCTTGCGATGCGATACACAGCAACCGGATCCAAAAAAGACATCTGCTGCATTGTTCCCACGTGTGGGTAATGTGGAGTCAGTGCACGCGCAGTTCATGAGGTAAGCGGGCAGCACGCCCCAGGCCTGCCGTCCGCTCCCTGCAGAAAGCACCGCTGTGGGGGCGGTGGGGATCACCCGCAGAAAGCACCGCTGTGGGGGCGGTGGGGATCACCCGCAGAAAGCACCGCTGTGGGGGCGGTGGGGATCACCCGCAGAAAGCACCGCTGTGGGGGCGGTGGGGATCACCCGCAGAAAGCACCGCTGTGGGGGCGGTGGGGATCACCTGCACTGCACTTTTTTTTTTTTTTTTGAGATGGAGGTTTGCTCTTGTCACCCAGGCTGGAGGGCAATGGCACCATCTCAGCTCACTGCAACCTCCACCTCCTGGGTTCAAGCGATTCTCCCGCCTCAGCCTCTCAAGTAGCTGGGATTACAGGTATGCGCCACCACGTCTGGATAATTTTATATTTTTAGTAGAGACTGGGTTTCACCAATGTTGGCCAGGCTAGTCTCAAACTCCCAACCTCAGGTGATCCACCCGCCTTGGCCTCCCAAAGTGCTGGGATTACAGGCGTGAGCCACCGCGCCCGGCCTCACATTTTCTAAATAAAACGTCAACACTGGGCTCCTTCTTTCCCTTCTCAAATACATATAAGAGGCATCTTTATAATGAGATACGGTACTAACAACTCCAGAGGAGTCTTTACCAAGTAATTTCTGAAAATAGCATCTCCTCGGTAACACTTTTAGCTCTGCCTTAAAGTAACTTTTATTCTCAATTCAACAACACCTAATTACAATGGCCATGTTTGCAAAGTTCAAAGAAAGGCTGAGGCTGCTAAAGGAGTCAGTGTATTACTTATCCAACTCTATTAATAGTCAAAGATATTAATGTGGCATCTATCATGTGACACACAGTGTACCAAAAAGAGCAGATGCAAAGCAGAAATCATATTTTTAATATATTGTTGATAGAATTATGTATATCAAATATTAGATTTTAATTTAAAAACCAAGTTGCGCCTATTGCTGGCAACTATCACATCCAGGCTGAGAGAGCAGAAGGAGCTCCTTCTGGTGGATGGAGACTTCCAAGGACGTGCAGAAGCCTCCAGCCTGCCCTTCCAAGGCTAGCTAAAGCCCCTTCATAACAACGGTTTGTCACAGTTACCCCGAGTTCCCCCAAATGAAGCATTCATTATTTCAAAGCCATTTAGCTATTAGCAACCCACAGCTTCTAAATGCTCTGTGATCATTCTACAACTCTGTGAAGATGGTCAATTAGAAATTACACTAATTTCTCTCACAGTCAACTAAAGGAGATACTGGAAATTCTTCACCCTCTATATCAAAAAGTGATTTTTAGGGGGAAGGCTTAGCTGACCAGTGGCAGGAGGGGGAGAAAGAGCTAACTCATGGCATATTCTTTGGGCAGTCTCTAGCAGAGGTGTCTAGTAGCCAGGACTGTGCTAGTAACCAAGGCTGTGCTAGTAACCAGGGCTCTGCTAGAAGCCAGGGCTCTGCTAGTAACCAGGGCTCTGCTAGTAACCAGGGCTGTGCTAGTAGCCAGGACAGTGCTAGTAGCCAGGGCTGTGCTCGTAACCAGGACAGTGCTAGTAGCCAGGACAGTGCTAGTAACCAGGGCTGTGCTAGTAGCCAGGACAGTGCTAGTAGCCAGGGCTGTGCTAGTAGCCAGGACAGTGCTAGTAGCCAGGACAGTGCTAGTAGCCAGGACAGTGCTAGTAGCCAGGACAGTGCTAGTAGCCAGGACAGTGCTAGTAGCCAGGGCTGTGCTAGTAGCCAGGGCTGTGCTCGTAACCAGGAGAGTGCTAGTAGCCAGGGCTCTGCTAGTAACCAGGGCTGTGCTAGTAACCAGGACAGTGCTAGTAGCCAGGGCTGTGCTCGTAACCAGGACAGTGCTAGTAGCCAGGGCTGTGCTAGTAGCCAGGGCTGTGCTCGTAACCAGGACAGTGCTAGTAGCCAGGGCTGTGCTAGTAACCAGGGCTGTGCTAGTAACCAGGACAGTGCTAGTAGCCAGGGCTGTGCTAGTAGCCAGGGCTGTGCTAGTAGCCAGGACAGTGCTCGTAACCAGGGCTGTGCTCGTAACCAGGACAGTGCTAGTAGCCAGGGCTGTGCTAGTAGCCAGGGCTGTGCTAGTAACCAGGGCTGTGCTAGTAGCCAGGACAGTGCTAGTAACCAGGGCTGTGCTAGTAGCCAGGACAGTGCTAGTAACCAGGGCTGTGCTAGTAGCCAGGACAGTGCTAGTAACCAGGGCTGTGCTAGTAGCCAGGATAGTGCTAGTAACCAGGGCTGTGCTAGTAACCAGGATAGTGCTAGTAGCCAGGGCTGTGCTAGTAACCAGGGCTGTGCTAGTAACCAGGGCTGTGCTCGTAACCAGGACAGTGCTAGTAGCCAGGGCTGTGCTAGTAACCAGGGCTGTGCTAGTAACCAGGGCTGTGCTAGTAACCAGGGCTGTGCTCATAACCAGGACAGTGCTAGTAGCCAGGGCTGTGCTAGTAGCCAGGGCTGTGCTAGTAACCAGGGCTCTGCTAGTAACCAGGGCTGTGCTCGTAACCAGGACAGTGCTAGTAGCCAGGGCTGTGCTAGTAGCCAGGGCTCTGCTAGTAACCAGGGCTGTGCTAGTAGCCAGGGCTCTGCTAGTAGCCAGGGCTGTGCTAGTAGCCAGGGCTCTGCTAGTAACCAGGAGAGTGCTAGTAGCCAGGGCTCTGCTAGTAGCCAGGGCTGTGCTCGTAGCCAGGACAGTGCTAGTAGCCAGGGCTGTGCTAGTAGCCAGGGCTGTGCCCTCAACCCTTGCTGCCGAGGGCAAAGTAGCAAAGTGAGTTAATTAAAGTAGCATCTGGGTTTAAATTACTACTTGGCTTTATGATTTGTTCCATGATTTCTAGCCCACGCAGGCACCTTTCCCAAGAACTGATGACCTCTTTCAGACCTGGCAATGCCCAGCACTCCGAACGCGCTGCTGGAGCTCCCCACACAAGTGGGTCACGTGTTCTCCTGCCTCTGTCACTGACATGCCTTTCCTACCTGTCTTTATGCTGGCAACTTCTTACGTTCTACGGCTCAGGTTAGACATCTCCTTCAGGCCTCCCTCGGTCCTTGTGGCTTCTTCTCTGCACGGCGGAACCTGCAAGAGCGCCCTGCCCCCTGCCAGATGGGTGCCTTCACCCCCGGAAACATTTTGTTCATCATCAGCTGCTGTGTTTCTGCTTACTTCTCTAATGAACTGAGTCATAAGAGAGAGAGCCTTGGCTAATTTCAGGAGAGAGACGGGAAGACAGGAAGGGTTCCAATTCTGTTAACAAGGAGGAGAGGGAAAGCTGGAGACACTAGTAAGAGCTGAGCATAAAGTGGGTGTTATTCCCAGTGCGCAAAGACAATCTAATAAGGCTGGATCCAGACACGTGTACTCACTCCACCTTCTAAAACAAACACCAATTAGAAAGGAACATATGTGAAGCACTAGGAATGTGCTGCGGCATGGCACCAAAAGCTGTGTGTGTGTGTGTGTATAGGTGAGTGTGTAGATGTGCATGTATGAGCATGTACCTGTGTGTATGTGTGCATGTGTGTATATGTCCATGTTTCTGTGTGCACATGTATATGTGTATGTTTATGTATGTATAGGTGGGCATGTATATATGTGTATATAGGCGTGTGCATGTGTGTATGCACATGTATACATGTGCGTGTCTATATGTGCATGTATGTGTGCGCACATGCATGTGTATGTGTGTGGGTGTGTCTATGGTGTCTATGTGTGTCTCTGTGTATATGGCTGTATGTGTATGTGCATGTGTTTATATGTGTGGACATGTATGTATATGTGCGTGTGTATGTGTGTGGCATCTATGCATGTCTATATGCATATATGTCTATGTGTGTGCATACATGTATGTAAATGTAGGTGAGTATACGTGTACATGTGTGCATGTGTTGTCTATGTGCATGTGTATGTGTACATGTCTGTATGTGCATGTGCTTATATACGTGTGTGTGTGTGTGTACCTGCTCCTCCTAAACTTGATTGTGCTGTGCGTCTGCATCCTTCCTCCAAACCTGGCCTCTGCATGCATGTGCTGCCATCCCCTTCTGGAATGACCACCGTCGATGCTCCGCCTCCAGCCAGCTCCTCCCCTTGTGTAATGGATCCTGTTCCCTTCACACCTACTTAAGGGCCGCCCTCAGGAGCTCTCTCTCCCTCCCACACATCAGCTTTTCCCTCTCTGCCAGGTTACTCCCATTAGCACAAACACATGCTCTCATAATGTCCATGTGACGAAAACAAACCTCCCTCAGGAGCTTCCACATGGCATCGCCCACCCTCTCTTGAACAGTTTAGAATCACATGAGAGCCCACCACCCTGCGTTGACACTGCTTTTGTTAAATCCAGCAATGGCCCCGTGTGCACAAATACAACGGTCCATCCTCAGTCCTCCTCGTGTGAGCCGCTCAACAGCACAGCAATCAGCTAACTGTCCCTACTTCTAGAAGGCTTTCCTGAGGCTTTTCCTGACTTCCTGATGCCACGAGTGCCTGGTTACCCTCCAACTGCCTGGCTACTTCTCTGGTCTGGTCTGTCAGTGCCTCTCCTTTTCCCAGACTCTACACACACCACCGAACGCAGGCCTCGACTGGCCTCTCCTCTCCAGCCACACGAACCACATGGGGGCTCGTCACCATCCCGTGGCTTCAGCCATTGTCTGTTCTAGGATGACACCGACCACCTTCTGATGCATTCTCAGGAAAGTAGAGCCAGGGTTTGTCCACTTGCGTGCTGCTGTATGCCCTGTCACCCTTCCTAATTTACAGGAGATGCTGAACAAACATCTCTGATAGGACCCCACACCCCACATTGCCTGAGCAGAGCTCTTGTGTCCTGCACCCCAAGACCTCCATCCACCCTCCAGCCTCATGGTCCTCCTGGCTCGGGAGACAGCTGCTCCATTCCACCCAGGCCAAAACACTGGTGTTGCCTTTAACTCCTTTTGCCTAAGTCCTCCATCTGATCCAGAGCGAATCACTCTTCCTTCACAACGAACCCCAGATGCAAACAATTGCCTTGCCAACATCTACCACCTTAGTCCAAGCACTGCCACTGCCTGCCATGGCCTCCTGCACTGCCCTCCACCTGGAGGGCCCCCACACCAGCACCACCCTCCACTCGGAAGGCCCCCACACTGCCAGGGAGGAGTGTTTTTACTCTGCTCATTAGCCAAGCCAGCAGGGGTCAGCTGAGTGCCCAGTGTGGGCCAAGCGCTATTCTAGAGTGCATGCCACTCTCCTGCTGGGTCACGGGGAGACCCTCAGTTTCACATCTTGAGAACCTTGCCAGACTATCTTCTGAAGCAGCCGTACCATTTTACATTCCCACCAGCAGTGTGCAAGGATTCCAATCTCTCCACATCCTCGTCAACACTTGTTATTACCCATCTGTTTTATTGCTGCCACCCTAGTGGCGCGAGGTAGCACCTCACTGTAGTTTTGATTTGCGTTTCCCTGATAACCAATGATGTCTTTTTCTTGTCTTATTGCACTGGCTAGAACTTCCAGTACTTCTGTTGAATAACAGTGATAAGAATGGATATCCTTGCCTTGCTTCCAATCTTAAGGGGGAAACATTCAGTCTTTTACCAGTAAGTAAAAGGACGGCTGTTAGGTTTTTACAGATTTTTTAAAAAATCAAATTGAAGTTCTTCTCTATTCTTAGTTCACTGAAAGTTTTTTTTTTGTTTGTTTTCTCTCGCATGAAAGAGTTTTCTGCATCAATTGGTAAAATCGTATGATTTTTCATCTTTAGTCTGTTGGTATGAAGTACATTAATTAATTTTTAAACATTGAACTAGACTTCTACACCCGTAAAAAAACTCACTAAGTCACAGCGTATAATTCCTTTTATAAATTGCTAGAACTGATTTGCTATTATTGTTTTGAGGATTTTGGCATCTAAGTTTGTGACAGATATTGGTTTGCTGTTTTTTATTTTTTTTGAACGGTGTGTCTGGTTTTGGCATTAGGATAATAATGGCCTCATAAAATGAGTTGAAATGTGTTCCCAACCCTTCTATCTTCTGGAAGAGCTTGTACAAAACCGGTGTTCTGCTTCTTCTTTTTAAATATTTGGCAATAGTCTCCAGTGAAACCATGTATGCCTGCAGATTTATGTTTCAGACAATTTTAAATGACAAATTCAATTTCTTTCATGATTCTATGACTATTCAGATTATCTATTGCTGAACAGATAATACTCAGAATATTCAATTGGTTGGATTTTGGTAGCTGGGGGTTTTCGAGGAATTGGTCCATTTCCTCTCAGTTGCTGAATTTAAGAGTGTAAAGTTGTTCATTATTATTTAAATGGCTGCAGGATCTGTAGAGGTTTTTCCATCTCCCTCTTGATTTTTCTATTTTGTTAGTATTGCTAGGAATGTATCCATTTTATTGATTTTTTTTCTGAGAATCAGCTTTTAATATTTCTCCATTGTTTTTCTGTTTTCAATTTTAATGATTTCTGTTATTATTTCCTTTCTTCTGACTGCTTTCAGTTTATTTTACTCTTCCAATTTCTTGAAGTAGGAATTTATATCAATAATTTGTCATCTTTCCTCTTTTCTAACATAAGATTTTAGTGCTATAAATTTCTCTTTCAATACTGATTTATCTGCATCCTATAAATACAGATATGTTGTATATTCATTTTCATCTAACTCTATGTATTTTTTTTTAATTTCCCTTGAGGCTTCTGACCCATTATTTAGAAATACGTTGTTTAATTTTTTTCACAGTTTTTTCTCGTGTTTATTGACGTGTAGCTGATTCTCTTGTGGTTAAAGAACACACGCTGTGCTGTTTAAAACTTGTTGAGGTTTATTTTATGACCCAGGATGTGACCGACCTTGATGAATGCCGCATGGACGCTGGAAAAGTGTGTGTATTGGCTGCTGCTGGAGGGAGTATCCTGTAAATCCCACTGTGATACTTAACAGCTGACACTTCAACACAGGTGATCACTTCAAGAAAAGATGGCCTAACTTCTTTTCTGATCTCTATGCCTGTTTCCTGCCCTTGCCTTCTGCGCAGACGGACTTATCGTGTGATGCTGGAGAGGATGGGTGAGAATGAACACCTCTTCCGTGTTTCTGACCTCAGTGTTCAGTGAAAGCACTTACTTCCCACTTGCCCCTCTCCTCTCATGAGGCTCCACCTTCAGCCAGAAACTCCACTGCCCTGTGCCACCAGGATCCTTTGTGAAAGACATCTGCCTCCGCGTCGGGGCGGGGCGAGCCCCTCGGCCTCCGTGGTGGCGGCAGAGGTGTTCCCGCGACAGCAAGCAGGGCCAGGCAGATGGGTCCTGCTGGGATCACAGTGCCCCAGTCTGCAACCCATGGTGCTGGCCATCATCTGTGGTCCAGAATATCAAGCAATTTCAGACAATACTTTAAAATAGATGAAATTAGAAACAAAAAAAAGGTTAAACTCTAAGAATTTTTGGGAAAGCTCCCAGTTTTATGACAACTGCAAACAGTGTATCGTTTTCATGAATTATGGCTAATCAAGTTTTCTTTGTTTCTTCTCACATTTCATACAAATCAATTGAAGATCAAATATATTTAATGCATCATGGATACATCTAAAGAAGACAACTAAAGGTAGTTTATTCAAATATGTATTTATCAAGCCAAATCTATAGATCCTTCCTGAGCATCAATTTAACGTGAGGCATTCTTGACAGGTTTACATAACAAATGTAAAGTAAGCTTATGACAGTAGAAGAGAGGCTACAAGACAACACATGATTGTCAAGGCCGCTGTGTAGGAGATTGCCGTATGTGGTCAGCCAAGGAAGATTTCAGGCTGGGGGAAGCATTTGTGAAGAAAGGGGAACTTCAGTTGCACCCTGGAAGCTGCCTGTGCTAATGACACGTGTCTGTGAAATTCATTTAAGGTCATCAGCGGTAAGGGTTCTTAAATTTTTTATGCAGAGAAATCACTTTTCTTTTTACTGAAGCCTCCAAATTCTAGGACTCGGAGTTACGAAAGGTGCCAACAAAAAAGACCTTTATCTCCCCGTGCAAACCACAGAAAGGGATGGTGCATGGGCACAGAGAAGCAGCAAAAGCTTTGGCGGCCACATTCAGCTCAGCTGCGCAGACTAAAGATGGATGAAACGGCACAAATGTCCCACCAACTGTGAAATGTCACACAAACCAAAGGCGAGGGTGTCCACAGGCTGAGGCCTGCCAGGTACACGGGGCCGGGCTGGGCATCTCCTGCTGCCTGCTCCCCCTGGGGCTGCCCTCCCAGCACCCACTGGCAGGCGTGGACCTCATCCTCCATGGGCCTGTGTTTCCCCCCATTTCTCCCGTGACCTATTTCCTTTCTGGTTGGCAAGTCAGCTCGCCAGCCCACTCCAAGGGCCAGCCCTGCCCCCCCACCCTCTTAACCTCTCACAGTGGCTTCATTCTCCCCAGCGGGGCTTTGGGGATGGCCGTTCTGTGGATTCCAATTAAAGGGGTTTCTACTGTATGTTTTGGACGAACTCCCCTTCTGCTATAGACAGTGGAAATGGCAGCATTTCTGCTAAATGAAAAATGCACTTCTCCTTGGTCATTGTGGTGGTGGTGGAGTGAGTGTGGCGGGGGGGCGGGGGAGAAAAAGAGAGAGAAAGAATGAATATATGTGCTTCAACTATATTACACATTTCTTAACACCAGGGAGCAGATATTCTAATGTTTTGAAAACCTTCACAAGTATGGGTTCTTACAGCTTACTATAAATAAAGTATAAGGTACGCAAAACTGACTTTGGCCAACTTTTGTTAAAAAAGAGGAACTGAAAGTGTCCAGAGCACATGCAGAGAAGGGAAGTGGAAGGCAGCCCCCATGCCCAAGCCTGGAGTGGTGCGGGCTGGAAGGCACAGATTACCTGAAGACCTGCCATCAGGACAGCCGGCGTCTCACCTGTGTGCCTGAAGCCAGGTGTTCTGCAATGATCCTCCACCACCGCCCCCCTGCCGGAAAGCACTCAGGCTGGTGGTGGGTTTTTTTCCTCTAAAGAGAGTTACTGACATATCTGGGGAAAATTAAAGGCAGCTGGTGTAGTCATTTAGAGCCCAGAGAAATAAAGACCTCGGCATGGGGGCATCCATGAGTCCCCAGCGCAGCAGCCAGCGCCCCCTACTTCCCATCGAGCAAGGCCCTCTAGCCAACGCCTCCTGTCACAGACACGCAGTGATGGGCAGCTTCTCTTCATTCTTAAATATGACAAACAATAAAATCACCACATACCTCCAGTATGACAGAGAATAATCTAAATTAACCAAAGGAAAAAAAATTATGCTGGAGGAAACAGAGACAACTTAGAAAAGGGGAAAGCATCTTCTTCAAACCTAAAAATTAATATCACTTGAAAATTAATAAAGTTGTGACCTAACACATGTCAGCTCACGTCCCTACTGCCTACAAATGACAAAACTATGAGATTACAGGGGAAAGCACTTATGAAAATCATTGCTTGAAAGAGAAATACAGGCGAGCCTGAGCTCCTGTGGAATCGGCACCGCAGATCCCTCCTCTGAATCACAAATGCCATGACGACGGTGAGTCCGTGGAGAAGATTTGCAAACTCACACACACAAATTCCAATTTAGGAAACAGTGATTAAGAAACACACCTGTTGAGAGGTACCCAAAGAACTAACTGATGGTATTCAGCAATCACTACAACCACAACCTTCAGCAGGAGAACTGCCTTTTGCTGCAGAATTCCATGCCAGCCAAGCAGTGTGCCTGTCTACAAGAGTAGCAAAGAAATGAAGAAGATTTCAGAACATGAGTACTTTAGATCTGTGAGATATGCATTTAATATTTTTGAGGAAACTTGAAGATTCTAGACGTTAGTCATTTTTGGCAGAATTACAATATTTATTTGACATAAAATTTAGCTACGGGGATCAGTGCAGGAGGCCAATGTATCACCTATCAGTTTAAGTATAGGTTTTCACATTGGTAGGGGCGGGGGGCGGTTAAGTCACTGCAGCCTTGGGGAGGCTGTGGACCCAAGCAAGCTTCTCGCTGTGGCAGTGAGTGACCGTCGGACAGGTTTCTGTGCTTTGGGAGTGTACTGCTACAGGTGGCAGGACTGGACCACACAATTGTGTTTAGAGACACCACACAAACACGAGTTACTCGGAAGCATCCTGAGAAAAGCCTTGCAGAGTGCGGGGGAATAGTGGAGAAGTGAATTGTGCCCATGATCCATGGGCTGAACTTTTTTTTTTTTTAAGAGATGGGGTCTCACTCTATTGCCTAGGCTGAGGTGCAGTGGCACAATCACGGCTCACTGCAGCCTCCAGCTCTGAGCTCAAGCGACCCTTCCACCTTGGTCTCCAGAGTAGCTGGGATGACACATGCGTGCCACTACAGCTGGCTAACTTTTGTATTTTTTGTAGAGATGGGGTTTCGCTATGCTGCCCAGGCTGGTCTTGAACTCCTGAACTCAAGCCATCTGCCCACCTTGGCCTTCCAAAGTGCTGGGATTACAGGCGTGAGCCACCGCACCGGCCAGGGCTGAACTTTCATACAAGACTCTTCTGACACACAGCAACCTGCTCTCCAGGAAGTCATTCTCAGGCTATTTCCATGGCTCCCACCAAAAACTTGCCTATGCTCCAGCCCTAAACCAAAAGCAGATGGCTATGTGCAGAACAAGACTTACTGGGGCAGTGGAGCCCGTGCTGTCCCAGCAGAAGAAAGGCATTATTATCTTTACCGCCTGCCCAACTCGCTACTGGCCTCCCATTAAAAAGAGGAGAAACTCGCCTAGATTTGACTCCGGGCTTGACTGCCGTCTTCAGTGACGGTGAGCTGTGACTGCCCTTGAGAAATATCCTCTAGAAGAAACTGACGGACAAGACTTCATGGGCTCCGTTTCCAAGAGCATCTGTTTCTTTAAGACTTCACCTTCCTTTCTAGTTTACAGGCTAAGGATTTAGTATCCAGATAAAAGTTGTTAAAAAACATTTGAATTCTCTTTTTTTCTCTCTCTCCAACTCAGTCAATACATATACTGTGTACGATGACTATAAATATTCCTCTTATGGCATTTATCTGGATGGAGGTGGCAGACTTATCAAGAACATCTACTCATCCACTGCAAGGAGTAACAGGGCTACCACTGGAAGAGTGAAAATTGCCTAAAATTCCATATCTACACTATCGATAATGGATGTGGTTAGAATGATGACATTACCCAGGTAATGTGGCTGATGGTCCTCATTGGATCATCTCACAGCCACCCCCAAGTCCACTCCCTTTAGTCACCCCTCAACCACACCTGGGGTGCTACGTGACCTGGCTCTGGCCAACTCGGTCTAAAGCGAAGTCTGCTTGTTGCAGTCATCCCTCAATATCCACAGGGCATTGGTTCCTAGACCCCCATGGATGCCAAAATCTGCCAATGCACAGATATAAAATGGTGTGGTGCTTGCATATAACCCACACACAGACTTTGGTGTGCTTCAAATCATCTCTACTTATAACATCTACTACCATGTGAATGCTGTAAACGTAGTTGTTATACTATATTGTTTAGGGAACAATGGTGAGAAGAAGTGTACATGTCCAGTACAATGCAATTTTTTTTCCCCGAATGTCTTGGAGCCACAGTTAGTTGACTCCAAGGATGTGGAAGCCACAGATACAGAGGGCGGGCTGTTCTTCCTTATAAAGAGACAGCTGTGGCCAGCACTGCCCCTTCCCCATTTCCTCCTGCCTCCCAAGCAGATGAAACACCTGCAGATGTGGTGGGCATATTGCAAACATGAGGATAAAGCCAGTCGGCTAAGGATGCCTGGTCCCCAGTGGCACTGCTGAAAAGTCATCATTTGCCTCAGAGACCTTATTAGTGAAAAAGACAAACTGCTATTTGATTAAAACCCAGTAATGAGATTTTTCATTACTTCCACTGCTTCAAATACTGATGGTCTCAGACTGCCAAACATCCTTTCTTAGGGCAGTGCTTGAGGATTTCCCCTAGGAGAACAAAGGAGAAAATCGAGAGAGGGGAAGAAGTGGGATCTAGACACAGGGACGGATCCTGGAGAATTACAAAGGGGAGCCAGCTGACGCCGGGGAGCAGGCCACAGGCACGATCGGCTGAGCGAGGCAGGAGAGCTTGGAAGATGTGAGGGGAGAGGGCGCCTTCTGTGCTCTCCGCTCTCCTTGTGGATCTATCAGTGGAGGAAGTGGTAACGATAGGTAATTCAAGAAGAAAAGAGGAAATGTCCAGGAAAAGCAAACAAACGAAAACAGTTATAAAAATGGAAATCACAGTACTCTAGCCACTGAGCGAGCAATATTTATGTGGTCATAATCAGGTACAAGGTTTAATGCTTGTCTTCCTATAGAATCAATCTCCACTCAAGCACAGAGGTGTTAATCGTGGTCAGAGAACGAAAGACAATCACAGAAAGTGCAGATAACAGAAGCTGTAAAAGAAAAAAGGCAGAAGAAAGTACAAGGAAGCTAAGAGCCTTGAAAATGGAAGAAATGAGCTATTACTGATAAAACTAGAAATAAAAGCATAAGGATATTACTTGAAACCACAAAGTTTACAAAGTATAAAGAAACCCAATAGAGTGAATAAGAGGGAACGCAAGAAGGCGTCGTGAGTGACGCAGCCTCTTCAATCTAGAATTTTCTCTTTAGAATTCACTACTGAATACAAATAACACATAGGAATTTAAACCAGCATGTAATCTACACATAATTGACTTCTTTGCTAACAGGCTTCCACATCGTTTCTCCCTTCTTTAAACAGAACTTAATGGCAGCTCTGTTCTTGGTTTGTACCCTAAGACAAAGCCCACTGATAATCTAAAAACGACAAATCAAGAAGCAGTGGTCTCAGCATGTCATCTACAGGGAAGGAGACACCCTCCAGAAGAACTAGAAATGGAAACAGGGGAAGGAGGTGCCTTTGGTCATAGAGTCTCAGCAGAGAAAGCGTGGGGCCAGGGACTACTTTATTCATCATAAACCTTCTGTATTATTTGATTTTTCAAACCATGGCATATACTAATTTGGTAAAATATACTTATTTATAAAAGAAGACTGAAAGCGGAGAGACTTGAATATTATCCTTAATTTTTAAATTACAAAGAAATATGACACAATAAAAATATAAGAAGGATTACTGAGTGACAGATATGTCATTTTCCGGCTCTGATGGTTTGAAGTGTGTGCAATACTGTATCTGTGCTTTGATGAAGTCGTCTTCTACTCTACCTACAGCACTCCTCTGAGAGAGAAGTAAACAATAAATAAACCTCCTGGTCCCAGGACAAGCACTGTGCCACTAAGAATATGAAAGCTGATCACCATCTCTTAAAATTTATGTCACTCATATTTGTGTTAATGTTTATTATTTGGAGGCTTTCTGGTCCAAATAACCATTTTCTTGCATTATATTTAATCAATTGTTTATTTTTTAAACCCTGGAACAAATCATTCACCTGTCAATTTCTTTCAGCTCACATGTTATACAATAAAAAGTATTAAAACATATTGTAAATTTACAAAGAATTTGACCAGCTGTAAAGAGGCAAAGAATATTTTAAAAGAAAAACCCTAACAGGCTACACAGGATTGCTGTTTCTCTAGCAGATAGTGAAATTACTAAAATGAACATTAAGCTATTAGCTAGGAGCTAATTTTATCATTTTAATTTCCACTGTTTTTATAAGAGACCAAGTGAACAATAGCCAATAATAGTAAGTGTAATAGAAACACACAAGACTGATCTACATTGTAATTAAAGAACGAAGATAAAAATCAGAGCTAATTAAAGACATACGGTATCGCATTGCCTTGCCATCTATTCGCCAACTCAGTTAACATATTTTTCATCTGATCTCTTTCATGTGGAATGAGTCAAACATTTTTTTTTCCTAAAAAAGATGCATGGGAATCTTTTCTGTTACACTTGATGAAATGAACAGTGTCTTAGGCTGATTAATCCCTGGCAACACACAGAGAGCACACACAGCACTGCCGGAGCACATGCTCAAAGCGCTGGAATGCAAGCATTTGGTATTATGCATGAGCTGGAGGTGCTGGTCTTCTGCTGAAAGGGGAGCGGGTCTCTATTTAACATGTTTTAATTAACTGAGGCTGATGTATTGGTCTTTCCCTTAACCACTCTCCAGCCCATAAATCTGGTGTAGAACTCAGGCAGGATTCTTTGGCATTTTTATTTACATATTATAAATGTAAAAAAATCACCTTTTTTTTGCGATATTTATTACTTGATGCAAGGAAAAATAAATTACCTCTCAATGCTTTGAGTTTCTTAATGCTCATTAGATAACCTATCCCCTGGGTAAACCAAGATGAAATGCCTGAAAGCAAGGGAAAAATCTGATGATACAAACCTTGATCTTTCTTTCCCTTATCATAGAAAACAAAACAAACAAACTTGTTGCATGTGGATCCTTTTTCATGGATAAACCACATTATACTTATCAGTCACTCTTTTGCGGTGTTCCACATAAAGAATTAATAATTATAAAATATTCAACTGTACACATGTTAATGTGAAAATCTACCAAACAGAATTTCAAATTTTGTTACTGATTGTTTCAGCATTTTTCTATGATGAAATGTGAAAACATAATACATTAAAATTGAATATATTCAAAAAGGCTTGAGGAAACATACTCAAGATCATTTTTGCTCCTAAATTGAGAATTTCCTATACTGCAACCAGTAGAACTCATGACCCCCTTGAGGCTGCAGAATATTTCATTCTGACACTCTTGTGCAGGCCACAAGATGGAGGCCTCTTAATCGAAACTGCCTCTTCAATTTGTCCTCAGAATTCACTGTTTAATTCAAACATCAAATATTAATTAAAACAACCAAGCAAAATGTCTCTTCATTAGCAGAGCGGTGCACAGGCTTTCCGCTTTTTGAAGTGGGCGCTACAACAGTAGCTGTTTTCGTTTGTTTTCTATCATTTTAGCTTAGTGGTTTTCGGGGATTTTTTTTTTTTTAACACAACAGAAAAAGAAACCGGGGCAGGAACAAAGGCACTGGTGGAACTGAAGCTGTGGGTCCATTTCTCCTAAAATAAATGTGTCTGCTTTATTTTCACATTTATCTTGGAGGCAGAGACTGCTGGGGCACAAATCGACCCTATGAATGTTATCAATTAATGTTTGGATTAAAAATGACACTGAGTAAAATGAGATGTAAAAATAAGTCTGTAGGTTTGTACTGGGCCGGGCTCAGTGCTCAAGCCTGTAATCCCAGAACTTTGCAGGCTGAGGCACACGCGTTGCTTGAGCCCAGGAGTTTGAGACCAGGCTGAGAAACATGGCGAAACACCACCTCTACAAAAACTACAAAAATTAGCTAGGCATGGTGGCGTGGCGTGCACCTGTAGTCTCAGCTACTCAGGAGGCTGAGAAGGGAAGATTGCTTGGGCTCAGGTGACAGACATTGCAGTGACTGGAGACGGCACCACAGCACTCCAGCCTGGGCAACAGAACAAGATTATGTTTCAAAAATAAAGTGTGCTGAGTGCCTCCCTAGCTCAACAGCATTGAATATGCCATCCTGCCCTTGGCATTCTGAGCCCTGCTCCATTCAGAGGATGTCCAACACCTCCCAACCTCCCCACCCAAACCCCACCCCCAGGGAAAACAAAACCAAACCCAGCACCGCTCTCCAAGCACCAGAGCGCTCACCTCCAGCTCCTGCTCCCGCTGTAGTGCGAACTGCTTGAAGGACTTGACGATCAAGCCAGCATTGGAGCAGTCGTAGACGAAGATCGACGGGCTGCCCATCCACGTCTGCAGGTCATATATGGACAGAGGGATGTACTGCGTGTAGTTCTAGAAAACACACAAAGTGCGCTCGTTACATGTGCGTCTCAGGAATATGGGCTGCTGGTGAGTACTGCACCGTTACAAAAGGCACACACATTGAGCCTGGTGGCTGGAGAGACGCTGAGTTAGCCTTTATACAAAACTATAAAAAACAGCAAACTGGCCAGGCGCAATGGCTCACACCTGAATCTCAGCACTTTGGGAGGCTGAGATGGGTGGATCACCTGAGGTCAGGAGTTCAAGACCAGCCTGGCCAACATGGTAAAACCCAGTCTCTACTAAAAATACAAAATTAGCCAGACATGGTGAAGGGCACCTGTAAACCCAGCTACTTGGGAGGCTGAGGCAGGAGAATCACCTGAACCCGGGAGGCGAAGGTTACAGTGAGCCAAGATTGCGCCACTGCACTCCAGCCTGGGCAACAGAGCGAGACTCAGTCTCAAAAAACAAAAACCATCAAACTGAATTTCTCCACATCTCCTCTGATGCTGCTTTACTCCAGTAGCGCCCACACCAGGTGGCTGCCAAAGTCATCATCCCTAGCCCCAGGCTCCTCCGCAGCTGCCGCTGGGTTCAGCTGCTGGTCAACTCCTTAAACTTGTCTCAGTTTTCACTGCGGGACCTCCCTCCATGGAACCAGAGCTGTCTCAGTTCCCACTGTGGGGCTTCCCTCATGTACCCCATGGCTGCCTCAGTTCCCGCCGCGGGGCCTCCCTCCATGGACCCACAGCTGTCTCACACACGTGCTCTTCACTCCGTGTCTCCATTTGTCCTTTAACTCTGTCACATCTCTGGGTTTATATAACACAACACACACATCATTTACAAGGGAGGGGAGCTCTAAGAGTTGGCCGGGTCCTCAAATTTGCATGCCACTGTCCCTTTAATTTCAGAGAGGTCCATAAGCACTTTGTCATTGAGATGACTTTTGAAAGATCATACTTAAGGGGTATAAGTGGGTTTGGCTGTATAAATTTATTTCAGTCACAGAACAATAACCTAGTAACACTAATCTGCTGAGTGAAACATTTTTCAGAACACACCATACTGTTCAGCGCCTGAACAGACACTAGTGATTCTGGTAAATGCAGAGGAGAATGTTCTCATCTCACTTGAGAAACACTTACAATCCGAACGCAAAGCTAACATTTTTAAGGAATTCTTCTCCACAGAACACGTTCATTATTTACCTTTCCTTGGACATCAAGAGTGTAAGTAGTGAAGCTGTGGCAGAAATCAAATTCCCAGAAATTGGCAAAAATCAAAGTCACAGTAAAAGTGAGTTTATTTCTTAGCAGCTAAGCCACATATCCTGCCGCTGGTACTGCCTACAGGATTGTTTATAACTCAAGAGGAAAGGGACAGAAGGCCAGATCCAGCAAAGCCTGGGGAAGTATGGCGTGCAGGAAGCCTGCAGAAGCTTTGTCCGTGCACAGCAAAGAAGCAGACAAAAGTTACATTTCAGACATCAGCTACATCTCAGACGTAAGTTATATCTCAGACATGATGATACAGTATACCAACGACGCAGATGTGTGGGGGGTGTGTGGAGACACGTACATCATCGTGGGCAGGACCCCATTCTACCTGTGCTCTGCCAAACATGTTGTTAAAACTGTCCGCGTTTGGTGGACTGTTTATAATCACTGCTCTATAATAGAACACCTGGAAATGCTCTCTGTAAATAAACCCACTGAAGGATCTAGAGATGTCAATTCTTGCCTAATGAATCCAGAAAGTCAGTCCAAGCCTAATCAAAATACCTTCTGGGTTTTTTCCATTCACGGAATTTAACAAGATGATTATATAGTACAGAGAAAAAAAAAAGCACAAGAGCAAAAAAAAATTAATAAAGAATAATGAATAGGGACTCACACTGCCAGATATTAAAGATACTATAAATCTATGGTAATTACAGGATGGTATTAGTGAGGGAGACAAACAAATCAACAGAAAAGAGAGAGTCCAGAAATAGACCCACATACGTAACTCTAATGAGGACAGCATTTTAAATCTGCAAAGAAGGAATTAACAATTCAATAACTGATGCTGGAAACTCTAACCAGCCATTTGGTATTTTGCTATCTGAGATTACACACACACACACACACACACACACCCCAGAGTGGACTGAAAACCTAAATGTAAAAGCACAGGAAAATTTTCATTTATTTTGGCATATGAAAGGCCTTAATTAAGCAAGTCACAAAACCTAATAAGTCTTGAGACTGACTGATACAGTAAGATAAAAAAATCTATAATTCTAATAAAGACATATCAATGACTAGCAATTTTAGAAGAAAGGAGGTACACAGTACATGACAGAGAATTTTTTAGATGTGTCTATATAAACTTCTGCTGCAGATCAACAAGGGACAAAACGAAAACAAACAGGCAAAACATACAAACAGGCAATTCACAGAAGAAAAATGAATCAAAAATGATTCTAAGTTTCATGCTCTTTATTAGAAATGCAAATTACAATGAGAATCTATCTATCTACCTATCGATCCATCCATCCATTCATCCATCCATCCATCCGCCCATCCATTCATTCATCCATTCTGTTTTTATTCAGCAAAGTGGAAAGCAGGATAAAATGTGAATAATGCCCCATTGTGGGAGGATGCAGGGCACTCATCCATCAATGGTGGGAATGTAAATTAATGAAGCTTGTATGGAAGGCAATTGGGAAGTACTTAACAAAAATTTTAAAGGCACATTCCTTCTGACTACTTCTAGATATCCATCCTATAGAAATACTTGCATTTGTACATGAGATGTTTTGACTGGTAAAAAAAAAAGCTGAAAATTATCTAAATGCCAGTGTGGTAGAGACTGCTAGGCTAATATCTGATTTTCTCTCTCTTCTAAAGCAGTTGTAGCTGAGCACATGGCCCAGTTTCCTTTCCAGTGAAGTCTGTCCTGCAGCCAAATTCTGGCCAGCGCGACATGGTCAGAGGTGCAGCGTCCACGTTCTTGGAGCATGACATGATCAGAAGTGCAATGTCCATGATCTTGGAGTGTGACATGATCAGAGGTGCAGCGTCCACGTTCTCAGAGCATGATGTGGTCAGAGGTGCAGCGTCCACGTTCTCGGGGCGTGACGTGGTCAGAGGTGCAGTGTTCACGTTCTTGAAGCGTGACATGATCAGAGGTGCAGCGTCCATGTTCTCAGAGCATGACATGATCAGAAGTGCAATGTCCATGATCTTGGAGTGTGACATGATCAGAGGTGCAGCGTCCACGTTCTCGGAGCATGATGCGGTCAGAGGTGCAGCGTCCACGTTCTCGGAGCATGATGTGGTCAGAGGTGCAGCGTCCACGTTCTCGGAGCATGATGTGGTCAGAGGTGCAGTGTCCACGTTCTCGGGGCGTGACGTGGTCAGAGGTGCAGAGTTCACGTTCTCGGAGCAGGAAGTGGTCAGAGGTGCAGCGTCCATGTTCTCGGAGCGTGACGTGGTCAGAGGTGCAGCGTCCACGTTCTCGGAGCACGATGTGGTCGGAGGTGTAGCGCCCACGTTCTCGCAGCGTGACGTGGTCAGAGGTGCACTTGAGCACGCTTCCTCCTGGAGCCGGAGCTTGCAGGCTGCGCTCACAGGTCCCCAGGGGTTGGGGGAAGCATGCTCCTCTCCTCCCCCACCCACTTCCATGCTGCTGCCAAGGGAAAGAAGGGCCAAAAGACGTCCTTTAATTGGGCAGGATCACCCCCCACGCTGACAGGAGAAAGGATTTTGGCAGCAGCCTGGGACATGGGTGTATCTTTTTACCCCCAGAACACTGCGTGCTATTTATTTACCTCCTATAATGTTCTGGGCTTAGCGAACAGCATCTGAATACAACTTGCCCAGCCCTGACCCTACAGCCACCTGACCCTACAGCCACCTCACAACGTCCTCTGCGCCACCATCAGTGAAACGGGGGCTGCTGTCATCTTTACTACCTTCTAGGTACAACCCCGAGGGTCCCAGGGCTGCAAAGTGGCATGAAATGAAAGATATTTTAACACACCATGTTCTCAGGTCTTGCTTTTTGAGCTGAAATCTATTTTCCACATTTGCCAAAATCAAAATCAAAATCTCCATTTTAAATTCTGAGATGCAAAGTTCAGGAAGATGATCCGTCATAACCATGAGGTACTGCTGCACTAGGACAGCACTGGCAGTCTCTCCCTCCACGCCCCGTGATCTGTGGGCGGCGAGCACCAGGTTACCGGCAGGGTCCTCGTGGCCCAGTCCTGCTGGGGCTGGACCATCTCCACCTCCTAGCGTGCGTCCAGGAGGCAGCACGGCACAGGGCCATGGATGGCCCCAGTTGGTCTCTGCTCTAGGACTTTAAATTCTAAGAGGGGCTTTCACCCCGTAACAGCCACTGGGATGCTGCGCCACAGAACAGCTTTCCCAGCCCCGCCTGCTCTGGGAAGCCTGCTTGGATGTGGGCCTCTGTGGTCGCTTCTCTGTGAGCGGCGTCTGTCCCTCTCAGCACCAGGGCCATTTGGGGCCGGGCCGCTCCTTGTGGGGCTGCCCTGTGCACCACACAATCTTCCGCAGCACCACCCAGCCACCCCCACACCTAGATGTGACAATCTCCAGGTTGCTGGACATTGCCAAATGTCCCAGTGTCCCCTGAGGGGAAAAGTTTCCCTGGTTGAGAACCGCTGCCTTGGAGGAGAGGCGATTTCCTTTCAAACATGAGCTGTATACATTACAGTTAGTGAGACTGCAACAATTTGGAAGTCTGTATCCCTCAGGGAATATAAAACCAACTCTATTAAGCCACAGTGTGGAAAATGACCTTTGATAGCGAATCCTGATTAGAACACGGGATGCAGACCTCATTTCCCATCTCAGAGGTCCTGGGTCGTTTGTCAAGCTCCAGGCCAGAATTATGGCCCCTGCAAACCAGCAAAGGGCAGCCTGCAGCCTCACAGCCCCGGCTGCAGGGGCAGAAACAACGCCCACAGTAGAGTCACTCCTCGTTGTCCTGTGGAATATTCCTCTGTCATCCTGACTGCACCAACCCACACCAGCCCAGAATTGAAAAGCCCCCTGTATACACGGAAGGCTGCTTGGAACACTCAAGAGCTTGTGGCCAATGGTTTTCATTTCTTCTTGATCCAAAACTAAAAGTACAGAGAATAATTCCTAATCAAAGCGTCTCTTCTTTTTCTCCAAGAATCATATTCAAGGCCATGTTTTCTTTTCAAACAAAGAAATAGAAATGGGTTTTAGATAATTTCTTCATTACAATCCACTTTATCTGTCAGGTTATATTAAACATCAGGGGAAGAGTCCGCCTGCCTCACCAGTCTGTCGCCGCAGCCTGAGTTAGCCACCAAGGCAGCCATGGCCGGGAGAGCCCAGCCCACTGAAGCCTGCAGGCTGTCTTCCCACAGAGGGGCAGCCCAGCAGCCCGCCAGCCTCCAAGGAGCTTCCCACAATTCTACATCTCAGGGATTTCTGGTGGAAAGACTGAAACTGGGTTTTGGCTTAAGTTAAATGTGAGCGTTTTATCCCTTTAAATTACAGAGCAGAAGACAAAACGCAAAACCCCTCACATACCAAACAGATGAGTACAAAGAAGAGAACGGCATGTCCCAGGGGAGGCAAGGGGCGTGGTGGCAAGGCATGGCAGGAAGAAGCCCTGGCCTCAGCAAGTTTGCATCCCAGTGGGTGAGGTGGGCAGAACGACACGGTGCCGCCACCCCGTGCTCCAGCTGAAAAGGCAAGCGCAAGTGTCGTGGGGGCGGCTTCTTCTCCCACGGCCCCTCCTCAGATCCAGGCACAGCAGCTCTGACACTGCAGAGGAGGGAACGGGGGGCACACTGGGCAGGTGCAGACAGTCGCCCTCTGGAAGGGCAGGTGGGGTGTCCCAACCCCAACTCCAACCCACCACAGGCTGAGCAGGTAGATGTGATGAGCCTGGAAATTTCTGGCCTCACCACTGTTGGGATGGGAGAACCTGGCCTCGCCGCTGTTGCGATGGTAGAACTCGCAAGCATCTCTGTGGATAGCTGGGATACACAGGAAGACTGCCATCAGCTGAAGGACATGGATCTCCAGGTGGCCTTACCCAAACCTGATTTGGCCATTTCATTAGCCCTGCAAAGATACCATCCTACTTTATACAAACTGGGGTATTTAGCACCTACTAATCAGATCATAGCAGCATTTTCCTCAACATAAAGAAAAATGCCAACTATGCCAGGCAGTAAACATGAGGAAGGGGTGGGTTGCCATGTCTCCTCTCTCCTGACCCTTCCATCCTGGCACTCATGGCCCCCACCTCTCAGGACATGGCCTGGCTTCTCACTTAACAGGAGACAGGCTCCAAGGGGAACCAGCTCTCATGTCCAGCTTCAAAGCTCCACCACATTTGTATTCACCTCTCCTTCCCTCCCACGTCTCAGAGAAGAGTGCTTGGGCTTGCCAAGTCAAATGCTGTATCTCTGTCCTGAATTAATCTTCTCATACCTTCCCATTTCTCATCCTTTACTCCACTGATTTATACTTTCTTCAGCAACCCCCTTTCTCCTATCTACAAACATAAGTTACCTCTTGCAGAAACTAAACATCCCTGCTTAGCCTTGTTCTTTCTTCGAGGTCTCCCCAACAGACAGGCTCCTCTAATCACATGCTCTCTATGTATTTATTGCAAAAATTGTATTACAGAGAAAGCTAGAAAAAACAGTGTTATTCAGTAGTATCACCAAACTTCTGGAAAGATTAGTCTATTCCAGTCCCTAGTCCCTTACCTCCTGTTTAGTCATTAAAATCTAGTTTCCACACCTGTACATAGATACGCAAATCAATATGCATGTGTTTACAGCTTACTACACACAAATGCATCACTTAGCTAAGTCCACGGAGAGGGCCTAGGCCTAGTAACACTAATGCTCCAGTAGTAACGAGCACACAAAGAGGCCACATCTTGGTTTCTAAATCCCACTCTCAAAAAAGCCAAAGATCCTTGGAAAAATGGTTGATCCAGGGCTGTGGTAGAGAAAATGCTAGAAGGTGTGTCAGTGGTCAAAGTTGAAACAATTTCAGTAACAAAATAAATAATGATAATAATAATGGATTATAACCCAAGAAGTAAAATAAATATTAGTGGCTCCATATGGATATAAACAAACAACCAAGTAAATAAACAACAAGAGAAGCAACAATTCTTTCATACAGAAGAATTCCAGTTACTAAACGTGGAAGGAAATAGGGAGGTACAGCACCACCATTAGAACACCAGGATAGTAATTACACATGAATGTTAGAATTAGGGCATGGCAGTTTAAGGAGAAACAGGATATCTGCATACTCTCAAAGTATCTCCTTCAAATGCTTATGAATTATAAAGAAAATAACAACTTCACATTGGAGAAACACACAAGGCACCACTTCAGCCTAGTGATCAAGGTTGGTATCTGCAGTAATAAGAATCACACACACCACGCACCCCCAAACCTGATGCACTGAGAATAACCCATCTGCATTATTCTTCCCAAAACTTTGATCCTCAATCTCATCATGAGAACACATCAGACAAACCCAAAGTGAGGGACATCCTCCAAAACACCTGAGCAGCATCTTACAATGTCATGGTCATGAAAGACAAGAACAGCTGAGGAACCATCCCAGGCTGGGAGGACCAGAGGACAAGGCAGCCAATGTGGGTGGGGGCCTGGGCTGGACCACAAGACATACAGAGGATTACAGCGGCAAGGCTGCTGGCACCAAGGAGGCTGTGTGTGGTTGGCAGTGCTGTAACAACATATGTTTCCTAGATTTGATCGCTGTGCTGAGGTCATGTAAGAGGTTGACACTGGGTAGCTGGATGAAGGACACACAGGAACTCTCTGTGCTGCCTCTGCAACTCTCGTGTACATTTAAAATTATTTCAAATTGTTTTTTAAAAATGCAAACCTAGTTTTGATCCTAACTGCTCTCCAGAAATTACTGAACACATAGTCACCTCTTCACATGCTGCATCCCATGGTCTCTTCCATTCCTGCCCCACCTGACATCTATGCGCCGTCTCCCCTCAAACACACACTCTCTCCCCAGGTCTCCGGCTGCCTCAGCTCATTCTTCCAAAGTTTCCCAGCTTGGGACCCCTCCCTTCCACCCTCCCCTTAAAAACTTATCGTCAGGGGCCTATTCCATTCTTCTTATTCCACATCTTCTCCCAGGCAATCAAATATAACTCCCTGGTTTTAAATACTGCCTAAACATTGAAGTCCCAAAAATGTTCAGCTGCAACTACCACCTCTACAGAGAGTTGGTTATTTTCATTTGATTGCCTGTGACACCTCAAATTCAAAAATTTGAGAAGGGAAAAATAAAACTTATCATTTCCTCTTCCAAACTCAATGATGATGATGATGATGACGGCACTTTGCAACATGCCAAGAACGTGCCACACAAAGGCTTGGAGGGAAGGAAAGGAAGAACTTTTATTGTTTATTTTATGCTTATCTGCACCATTTGAAAAAAAATGAATTTTATAATAAAATATTTTAAAATTAACTAAAAGAAAATCGTGTTAAAAGCCTCATCTTACATATGAGATAACAAAGAATGCACTTCCAATCCCTTGTATTTGTGAAGTCAAAGGAAGTTCCCATCAGCAGCACAATCCACAAGGAATAGGAAGCAGCTGACCTTTGCCCTTAGCTTCATAAAAACCTGAAATATATATATATATACCAAATTGGATAATAATGAAGACTTGTTCTTTTTCAGCTGGCAATAACTTTCTAGCAGAAATGTCCTTCTGGCTATCTTAAGCCTATTAATAAATAACAGGAAAGCTGGCTGTGTTCCTCAACATTCATTTTTTCAGTGGATTAACCAAAATATTTCATCCTTCTCCCCCAAAGTGCATTTCATGTGTATGACTACCAAAATAAGCCCGAGTACCCTGAGGAAGCTTCCAGCATGTTCCAGCATGATGGGCTGGAGACACCCAGCTGCCCAGCCCCACCGACTGAGGTAAGAGCCCAAAGGATGCTCCTGCAAACTGCAGCGCCCTGACGGCCCCGGGTGAGCCAGGAGAGCCCGCTGCTGGGTGTGCCTCTTTCCAGGGCCAGATGCACACGCAGCAGGAAGAGCCAGCATGGCTTCTGCTGCTCCTGCACCAGGTGCGTGCAGGCCCTGCCGAGGAAGTGAGTGATTCTCACACCTCCTTGCTTACCCCTGAGGTTACTCAACTTGCCATCCTTTTTCCCGCTTGCACTTCCGCCGCGTCCAGGAGCCTCAATGACTCACAGTCGTGAGAACAGTTTCCACAGTGCTGCCTGTGCTGCTACGACATCTTTCATCCTACTGACCCCAGGATGACAGAGCACTGGAACCACATCACCTGCTCCCCACGGTGTCACCGGGTCAGAGGGGACTACTTCCTGTCACCAGAGCCCCCTCGCACTCCCAGGCCTCCCCTTGTCTAGCTGGTTCTCACTCCTGCTTGGAGACCCGGCAGACGTAGCCCCTCCTCACCTCCTAGGTGCCTCCCACGAGGCCTTGGTGTTTACCCGGGACTGTTTCTGCCCTAGACGGCTAAAATTAGAGATGGAAAACAAGGGGTCGGGGAAGTGTCTCTCCCGACACGTAAGAAGCAGAGTGACCCCAAACCATAAGATGAATATCCTGCTTGCCTCTCACACCACACTGTCCATACCAGGGGTTCTCAAAGGCAGACAACCCAGACAGCAGCAGAAGCGGCCGCAGCAGCAATTTTGTGGGACACCCAAGAAAGCCAAATCGTCAGGCCCCACCCACGGCCACAGAAGCAGAGGCTCAGGGAGGGCCTGGCAGTCTGTGGCTCCGTGAGCCTGCAGGTGATGCTGGGCGCACTCAAGCATGGGCACCGCAGCGCTATGACCGTGGTTTTAAATGCAGGGCACCCGCGAAGTCAGTGCAGCTGCACTCTCAGGTTTTGTATCTCTTGGCATCAAGGAAATCATTTGTTTGTTAAAGTTTAAGCTCTCATAAAGAAATACTCCAAACATTTCCAGCACTTCTCCCAAAGAAATGGAGTTTTTGTTAATGGCCTTCTACTACTGTAAGCAAACACAAAATGCTAGAATTTCTCAGAAAAGAAAGGTCAAGTTTACCATAAAACTTTTTCTTGGACACCGCTAGATTCTCAAGACGAATAAAGTAACAATTTTAACAAATGATAATTGTGGTCTGACATAAATATCACTTTTTAAAAATCACGTATTTTTCTGATAATAGTGTATTTCAAAAGCTTTATGATCCATCTTTTTTTTTTTGAGACAGTTTCTCTCTTGTTGTCCAGGCTGGAGTGCAATGGCACGGTCTCGGCTCACTGCAACCTCCAAGTCCCAGTTCAAGCGATTCTCCTGTCTCAGCCTCCTGAGTAGCTGGGATTACAGGTGCCCGCCACTATGCATGGCTAATTTTTTTTTGGTATTTTTAATAGAGACAGGGTTTCACCATGCTGGTCTCAAACTCCTGACCTCAGGTGATCCGCCCGCCTCGGCCTCCCAAAGTGTTGGGATTACAGGCGTGAGCCACCGTGCCCGGCCCATGATCCATCTTTCAACAGAAGCAACAATTAACTGTATACCAACACAAGAGGCATCTATTTGATAATGACAATCCCAATTAAAAAAACAAAAAACCAATAAATCCTATTAAATAATATTTATTTAGAATTGCTCATGGAATAATTATTTAACTGTAATAAAAGAAGGGCAGAGGAAGTACCAAAAACACCACCACCAATGACAATAAGCTTGCAGCCTTACGGATTTTACGGGACTGGGGTTTACTGGTGATGTATACTCCCGAGTTGTCTGTTCACAAGTACCGCTTCCCCCCACTCCTGACCTTTCGGGGCCACGACCCCCTGCTTCTGGATGATATGTATTCAAGAACCCCCTTCAGGAGGAGGAGGAATCTGCTGACCCCTGTCCTTTGCCCTCCTCTGAGAATGGTGGCACAAGTCCATCTTTAGTCCAGGGAAAGCTGCGGCGGCAAATCCAGATGAGACCACAGTTCCTGGCTGAGAGTTTAAAGGAAGGCTGTGCCCTTAAGGGGCTTTACAGGAACGAGCCCTGAGAAGATGCCACTTTAATAGGGCTGAGAATTCTGATTCACATTCTGAGTTCTCTGGCAGAAGATGTACTCAGCATCTTCTCAGAAATGGGGAGCTGCTTATTTTGAACAGGACTGCTTCACTTGGAATATAAAGTGCTCTTCTTGCTAAAGGGCCAGACTCCTTGGAATAATGGATATCAATTCCATCTCTGTTCCCCCGGGCTGACAGGTACCCTTCCCGGCTTCCCCCATGCCATTTTCTCCCAATTCTCCTCCCCATCACCTGCCAGGATCCTCTTCTGCTCCCCAGATTTCACTCTCTTGGCCTTCTTCGGCTCTAGAAACTGTATTTTGGGAACCGCCCGCAGCATGTCTGCCCCTACTTCTCACGACCCCATACTCATGGACCTCCGGCCTACTCACAACCTGAGAACAAATGCCCACAAGCTCCTTCTTCTCGCTTCTGGTGCCTGGTCACAGTCCAGGTCTCACCTGCTCCCTCTAACTCAACCTCCACCTGTCCTAGGAAGGTCCTGAGGGTCGCCCCACCAGCCTGACTCAGGGTGCCGCCACTGGCCTCTTGTATACGACGGCCTTCTACCTGGAGTTTCTCTAGCCAGTCTTTTCTCCCCAGAGCCAGGCTTCACACGGCATCAAAAGGATTTATCTAAGCCCACATCCCTAAGAGTCTGCGAGGTGCTCTATGCCTTAGCCTGGAACACTTTCTGGCCTTCTTTCTTTTGAAACCCAATTCAGGCTCCAGGCTCCCATAGCACAGAACTGCTTGTAGTTTCCAATGAATACCATGCTGGTTTATTATATCATCTACTTCCTCTGAGATCATCCCCTCCAGTCCCCTCTCAGGGACAACTGTTGCCTTTGTTCTCTTCTGTAAGACTCAGCCCGAGCAAGCACCGCCTTCTCCAGGAGGCCCCCTCCAACCTTGCCTGCCCACCATGGCTGGGCTGGCACAACTCTCTCTCTCTCTGAAGGGGCCAATATTTTCCCTACATTATCACAATACATCATCATGCAATTCGGCTTTAAGCTAGACTTATAACCAACAATCAGAACAAAACAGTCTTTGCTTTCCGTCTGTGCTCTCCATGATAAGATCCATTTTATGTCCCTATTTAATGTCCGGAGGGGTAAGGGTAGAACATAGTGCAAGACAAAAATGGCCTTTGAGGATGATTTTGGCAGAGGGTAGGGGTTAGGTTGTAAACACCACAGGAAGACCACCGAAGAATTAAAAATTATCCTAAACCAAAAATGCAAAACCACATAAAACTCCAACTTTATGTTCAGTAAATTAAGGAAAGGCAGGTAACCTGGAGCAAAGCTCATCCTACCTAGAGAGGGCACCATGAGCTGTACACACAGGGAAAAGCCTTGTAGCTTTGTGCCTAGGTACACAGCAAAGGGTGGAAATAGCTTCTGGTCACAATGGAACTCTAAAAAGCAGAGAAAAAAAATGTATCAAGTGGGAAAAACCTTTCTCCTTTTGCAAAGAAGAAAAGGCAGACAGGGTCTAAAAGCTAATTGGGAGTATTCGAGTAGTGGATTAATCCTTCTCCCGATAAACGTTCCGCTACGTGAATTCTTAATGGCTACAGCTGCCAGTCCTAATTGCCTGAAACACAGACAGGGGAATGCAAGGGAGGGCGGTGCATGGGGAAAATCTGAGCCCGGATTTTGCTTAAGGCCTGAACCTCAGTTTTCTGCTGAGGCTGAGAAAACAACCAGCAACAGAATAAATGGTGATTAAACAAAAAGAAAAGTATAGTTAAAACTAGCATGTTTAAATGTTTTTAAATCTTACATTGTGTACCGACAGTGTATCATCTGTAATGCTGCAGGCTTCGTTTTGATGGAGGGAGCCTATCTGAAGGCTGAAAGACTCGGCAACAGGACTGCATGCTCTACAGTGCAGCTTATGGCTGTCTAGATCTGGAAGAACACGCGCCTGTCTCCGGTGGCATGCCACGTGATGTGCAAAATAAACCTATGAAAGGATAAACTAATGGAATAACACAGTGGGGGAAAATACAACCAAGAAAGACTTGGCTCTAGGGATCATTCTGTTGCTTTTATGACATTAGCGTAGAATGCAGTGAACATTGAATTACCATTTCCTATGTTCTGAGATGCTTGGTTTTAGGTACCCATGATAAAGCGGTTCATAGAACAAAGACCTTGTTATCCTGGAACTCACATTTTAATGGTGACATAGAGACAATATACATAAGACTGGGAAAAAGCTGTGGAGAAAAACAGACCACACCAGGAGGACTAAAGAGTCAAGGAGAGGGGTGCATGCCACATCTGGTGATCAGATGACATTTCAGTAAAAATATCCACTCATTTCAATGCAATTCCCATCAAAATACCACCATCATTCTTCACAGAATTAGAAAAAACAATTCTAAAACTCATATGGAACCAAAAAACAGCCTGCATAGCCGAAGCAAGACTAAGCAAAAAGAACAAATCTGGAGGAATTACATTACCTGATTTCATACTATACTATAAGGCCATAGTCACCAAAACAGCATGGCACTGGTATAAAAACAGGCACATAGGCCAACGGAACACAATAGAGAACTCAGAAATAAACCCAAATACTTACAGCCAACTGATCTTCAACAAAGCAAACAAAATCATAAAGTGGGGAAAAGACACCCTTTACAACAAATGGTGCTGGGATAACTGGCAAGTCACACGTAGGAGAATGAAACTGGATCCTCATCTCTCACTTTATACAAAAATCAACCCAAGATGGATCAAGGACTTAAATCTAAGACCTGAAACTATAAAAATTCTAGAAGATAACATTGGAAAAACCCTTCTAGAGACTGGTTTAGGCAAGGATCTCATGAGCAAGAACCCAAAAGCAAATGCAATAAAAACAAAGATAAATAGCTGGGACTTAATTTAACTAAAGGCCTTTTGCACGGCAAAAGGAACAGTCAGCAGAGTAAACAGACAACCCACAGAGTGAGAGAAAATCTTAACAATCTACACAACTGACAAAAGACTAATATCCGGAAATCTACAACAAACTCAAACAAATCAGCAAGAAAAAAAAATCCCATCAAAAATTGGGCTAAGGACATGAATAGACAATTATCAGAAGAAGATATACAAATGGCCAACAAACATATGAAAAAATGCTCAACATCACTAATGATCAGGGAAATGCAAATCAAAACCACAATGCAATAGATACCACCTTACCTCTGCAAGAATGGCCATAATAAAAAAATCAAAAAACAGTAGATGCTGGTGTGGATGTGGTAATCAGGGAACACTTCTACACCGCTGGTGGGAATGTAAACTGGTACAGCCACTATGGAAAACAGTGTGGAGATTCCTGAAAGAACTACAAGTAGAACTACCATTTGATCCAGCAATCCCACTACTGGGTATTTACCCAGAGGAAAATAAGTCATTATACACAAAAGATACTTGCACACGCATGTTTATAGCAGCACAATTCGCAATTGCAAAATCATGGAACCAACCCAAATGCCCATCAATCAATGAGTGGATAAAGAAAATATGGTATATATACATGATGGAATACTACTCAGTCATAAAAAGTAATGGATTAACAGCATTCACAGTGACCTGGATGAGACTGGAGACTATTATTTTAAGTGAAGTAACTCAAGAATGGAAAACCAAATATCGTATATTTTCACTGTTACGTGGGAGCTGAGCTATGAGGACACAAAGGCATAAGAATGATACAATGGAATTTGGGGACTTGGGGAGAAGGGTGGGAGGGGGCGAGGGATAAAAGACTACAAGGGTGCAGCAAAATCTCACAAATTACCACTAAAGAACTTCTTCATGTAACCAAACACCACCTGTACCCCAATAACCTATGGAAAAATAAAAAATTGAAAAAAAAAAAACATAAAAATAAAAACATCCATTCATCTACCCACCCATGTGGTTGACAATTACCAAACACCTGCTAGGGTAACAGACACTATCTTAAGAGCTTGGAATGTAGCAGTAAACAAAATAAAAAGCCCCTGGCCTCACAGGGATTAAATGCCTGGCATGGCCTTGGAAAGAAGCCGATTGATATAGGGCTATTCAGATATTCTATTTCATTTTAGGTCAGTTTTGGTAAGTTGTATTTTAAGGCATCTGTCCATTTAATTACATATTTAAATGTATATAAAATTAATAATATTCCCTTACCTTTTTAATGCTTATAGGATATGTGGGGATATCCTCTCCTTCATTGCTGATGTTGATAAAGTGTTTTCTCTCTTTCTTCACTGATCTACCTACGTAGAGATTCGTCAACTTTTACTGATCCTTTCAAAAAAAACACATTTTAGCTATGTTGTCTCTGTTGCCTGTACTCTATTTTATTGATTTCTGCTGTTTGTTATTTCTTTCCTTCTGCTTTGAGTTTAATTTGCTCAGCATTTTCTGTTTCCTTAAGGCAGAATATTAGATTTTAGGCTGAGCACAGTAGCTCACGCCTGTAATCCCAGCACTTTGGGAGGCCAAGGTGGGAGGATCACTTGACGTCAGGGGTTTCAGACCAGCCTGGCCAACATGGCGAAACCCCATCTCTACTAAAAATACAAAAATAGCTGGGAACGGTGGTGGACGCCTGTAATCCCAGCCACTTGGGAGGCTGAGGCAGGGGAATTGCTTGAATCCAGGAGACAAAGGTTGCAGTGGGTGGTGATGGCACCACTGCACTCCAGCCTGGGCGACAGAGCGAGAGACTCCGTTTCAAAAAAACAGATTTTCATTTTAAATATATTTCTAAAATGTATCTTTCTATGTAAGAATTTAAAGCTGTACATTTCCATAAGCACTGTTACACCTAAATCCTATAAATTTGGGTGTCATAGTTTCATTATCTTTAGGTTTGAATTATTTTTTATTTTCTTTTATGATTTTGTCTTTGACTCATGTGGTATTTCATTTCCAAGTATCTGGGGCTTCTCCAGATATTCCATAATTTTGAATTTCAAGAACAGAGAATATACTCTATGATTTTAATCTTTCAAACTTTATTGAGACATCTTTATGGCTCAGCATATGGTGAACATTCCACATGCACTTGAGAATGTATATTCTACAGTTGTGTGGACGGCTGTATAAATGTTAATTAAGTCGGGGTGATTGATAATATTGCTAGGTCTTTTACATTAATACTGGCTTTTGCTTTGGACTAGAAAAAATATACTATGCCTAGAGTTTTCTCAATAAGAAAGTTTTTAATTACAGGGCCAGGCACGGTGGCTCACATCCGTAATCCCAGCACTTTAGGAGGCCGAGGCCGGCAGATCACCTGAGGTCAGGAGTTCAAGACCAGCCCAGTCAACATGGTGAAACCCCATCTCTACTAAAAATACAAAACAGTTAGCCAGGCGTGGTGGTGGGCGCCTGTAGTCCCACCTCCTTGGGAGGCTGAGGCAGGAGAATAGCTTGAACTCAGGAGGTGGAGGTTGCAGTGAGCCGAGATCACGCCACTGCACTCCAGCCTGGGCAACCAAAGCGAGACTCCATCTCAAAAAAAAATTTTTTAACTATCAATTTTGTCTATAATTTTTAACTATCAGTTTAATCTATCAATTACTAAAAGAAGATCTTCTAACCTCCAACTATGATTATGGATTTGCATACTTTTCCTGTTAATTCTGTTCATTTTGCTGCATGTCCTTTGAAACTCTGATATTAAGCGCACGCACACTCAGGATGGTGTGTGCCTGGCTCATGAACTGGCCTGTTTATCATGAGGAAATGGCCCTCTTTATCATCAATAATACTCCTCATCTTGCAGTCTATTTTCTCTGATTAATAGAGCCACACTGGTTTTCTATGACTAGTATTGGCATAGTATATCGTTTCCCTTTCTTTTACTCTCAAACTTCATATGTCTTTGTATTTAAAATACATCTACTATGGACAGCACAAGGTTTGATCATGCTTTTTTTTAATCTGGTTTGACAAAAACTTGTGAAAAAGCGAAGAAATTAAACTAGAATGTGGGACATCCTGGAGGATCACTGGTCCAAACTCGTCAAAAAGCGAACATCCACTACTAGGAAAAGAAAACAAGCAGCCACAAACTGGGTGGACATATTTGCGAAACACATATCTGATAAAGAACTGGCATCCAGGCCGGGTGTGGTGGCTCATGCCTATGATCCCAGCACTTTGGGAGGCCGAGGCAGGTGGATCACTTGAGGTCAGAAGTTGAGATCAGCCTGTACTAAAAAAAATACAAAATTAGCCGGGCGTGGAGGCGGGTGCCTGTAATCCCTGCTACTTCGGGGGTTGAGGCAGGAGAATCACTTGAACCCAGGAGGCAGAGGTTGCAGTGAGCCAAGATCACGCCATTGTACTCTAGCCTGGGCAACAAGAGCGAAACCCCATCTCAAAACAAAAACAAAAACAAAAAACTGGCATCTGAAATATGGAAAGAACTCTTAAAACTCAGCAACAAGAAAAACAACCTGATTCTTAAAATGGGCAAAAAACCTGAAGAGATACCTCATCAAAGAAGATATAACACGGCAAATAAGAACATGCAAAGACGCCCAATTTCACATCATTACGAAATTGAAAATGAAATAACAATAAGATCCTACTACATACCCACCAGAATGGCTAAAATCCAAACACTGATAACATCAAATGCTGATGAGCATGTGGAGCAACAGATACTCTCGTTCAGTGCTGGCAGGAATGCAAAACGGCGTAGACATGTTGGAAGACAGCTTCACAGTTCCTTATAAAGCTAAGCATACTCTAACCGAATCATCCACCAAACCCATTCCCAGGTATTCACCCAAATGAATGGAAAGCTTATATCCATACAAAAATTTGCACACGTTAATAATAGCTTTATTCCTAATTGTCAGAAGTTCAGAGTATCCAAAATGCCCTTGAATAGGAAAATGGATAAAGAAGCAGTGTTGCATTCACACAGTAGAGTATTGCTCAGTAATTGTAAAAAATGAGCTATCAAGCCACAAAAAGACACGGAGGAGTCTTAAGCGTATATTACTGAGTCAGAGAAGCCTGTCTGAAAAGGCTACATACTATATGAGTCCAACTATAGGACATTCTGGAAAAGACCAAATGCTAGGGGAGAGAAGATGAGGGGGCGCACAGAGGACTTGAAGGACACCACTACTCTGTGTGGCAACCTAACGGTGGTTGCAGGAAATCACACATTCAGCAAAATCTGCAGCATGTACATCACTAGGAGTGAGCCCTAGTGTAAATATGGACATCATTAATTATAACACATCATTATCAGTTTACCAATTGTAAAAAACATAACAAACCAAAGCAAGATATTAACAATAGAGGAAAATGAGGGGAAGGAAGTATATAACTCAATAAACTTGCTCAATTTTTCTGTAAAATTAAAACTGCTCTTAAAAAAAATGATGTCTATTATTTTAAAAAAGACTGCTGGGCACGGTGGCTCACGCCTGTAATCCCAGCACTTTGGGAGGCCAAGGCAGGCAGATCACTTGAGGTCAGGAGTAGGAGACCAGCCTGGCCAACATGGTGAAACCCCGTCTCTACTGAAAATACAAATATTAGCCGGGCGTGGCGGCGGGCGCCTGTAATCCCAGCTACTCAGGAGACTGAGGCAGAAGAATTGCTTGAACCCAGGAGGCGGACGCTGCAGTGAGCCAAGATCACGCCACTGTTACTCCAGCCTTGGCGACAGAGGGAGACTTAACCTCAAAAAAAAAAAAAAAAGACTGATGTATAACTATATGTTAACTTCCCAAAAGAAGACAAAATTTTTAAATTTTAAAAAGTCATTTAAAAAGTCAATGTCATAACATGAAAGGCAAGAGGAACTAAAAACGCATAAGGAACAGATGCAATGCATGGACCTTAATTAGATTCTGGGTCCACAACAAAATCAACAAGTAAAAAAATGCCTACTAATTTAGTGCACATTTTGCAAACACTTGGGAAAACACAAACATGGACTCTATAGTAAATGACACAGAACTGATGTTCCATTTCTTGAGCAATTTGACGGTAATGTGGTGATACAGAAAGCCATCCTCGTTCTTAGTGTCAGGATGTCTGCATCTTTCAAATGGTTCAGGGGACAAGAAAAAAAGTGTCAAATTGGCAACAGGGGAACAGTATAAAGGTATTCATCCTACTGTTCCTTCCATCCTCTGGAGGGTCAACAATGGTAAAAGCTGGGTCTTTGAAAAGACTGATAAAAGGTACATAAACTCCTCACAGGAATAATCAACAAGAAAAGAGAGAAGGCACATATACCCAGCACCAAGAGCAAAGGAAGGCACCTCACTCACAGATACCCCCGATACTGGTGAGTTTCTAAAGGGGTATTGTGAGCCAGTTTATGTCAACACATCGGGAAGCTTAGTAGAAATGGACAAGGTCCTGCAAAAGTCAGTTGGCAAAGCTAACAGAAAAACCCTTTAACCATGAAAGAAGCTAGATCAGTAAGTCAAAAACTCTCCACAAACAAAATACCACCCAGAGAGCTTTCTTTGTAAGTTCCACAACATTCAGACAACAAATACTTCAAACATCACAAAAACTATTCAAGTATATATACAAAGAAGGAACATTCCTCAGCTTATTTTCTAAGGCCACAGTTATTGATTACTCCGCCTAGGCAAGGACAGCAAGACAAAGAAGAATCCCTGTCCAATCTCACTCACGAACACAGATTTAATATATGAAACAAAATGGCTGCAAACTGAATAAGCCATGCATGAAACAGATCATTCATCATAACACAGGTTAATCCAAAAAGAAAGGTGTGTATAACAGGAGATGGTCATACAGTATCATTCAACGTAGCACCAGCCTAAGGGAGAAAAGTACTGTGACCACTTTAACACACACACACACACACACACACACACACACACACACACATACAAATAACCAAGGGAGGCAAATCAACATCTAGTCACAATTTTTTTAAAAAACCAAATTAAGAATTGTACTTTCTTAATTCGATAATGGTGATTGTTTTTGTTTTACAAAAAGCCTGGGGCAAACATCATACACTGAACACAGAAACTCTCCCTCTGCGAGGACAAGAGAAACAAAGATGCCTCCCTCCCCGCTCCCCACCCAGTCCCCACTTCACTCCACTGAAGGCATCGGCCAGCACACCAAGACAAGAAGGACAAATAAAAAGCACAACTGGGAGCGGGGCGCAGTGGCTCACGCTGTAATCCCAGCACTTTGGGAGGCTGAGGCAGGAGGATTATTTGGACTCAGGAGTTCAAGACCAGCCTAGGCAACATGGCAAGACCCTGGCTCTACAAAAAATACAAAAATTAGCAAAAATACAAAACTTAGCCAGGTGTGGTGGTGCACACCTGTAGTCCCACCTACTTGGGAGGCTGAGGTGGGAGGAATGCTTCAGCCCAGAAGGCAGAGTTTGCAGTGAGCCATGATCATGCCACTGTACTCCAGCCTGGGTGACAGAGAGAGACCCTGTTTCAAAAAAAAAAAAAAGTTTTGTAAGTTATCAGGAGTGTAAGAAGATGAAGAAAAAAAATCACATCATAAATTCTGAGAAGAGAGACACAATTCATAAAAATCATTACTGTCTGGAATACAAAGAATTCCCTCAAACCGATAGGAAAAGGCAACCCACTGCAGAGAGAAGTGGATAGCAGATAGGCGCTTTGAGCAGCAGGGAGCCGGCGGGCGGACACAGGGTGCGCGATCTTAATGGTTATCAGAGAAAATCAGAGCACACCACAGTCTATCATTAAAAAAAACCTGTGACAACACCCAGTGCTGGAGAGAAAGGTGGGCAGCTGAAACACTCACGCGGTTTACAGCAGAAACAAGATGGGAACCAGCCCAATGCCCATCTGCAGGGAAGGCACTGAGAAGGGCGGGGTCCCGGCAGGGGACAGCGAATGTGGGAAGAGGCAGGGCTGCAGGCCCCTGGGGTCGGTGGCATGAATCTGCAGAGCCTCCGACCAAGTGAGCAAAGCGCACTGCGGAAGAGCGCGCCAGCGTCCGCCCAGCGTATCAGCAGCGATCTCCCGGATTCGCCGTGCCTGAGAGCCAGCACACCGGGGGCTCCACAGAGGAGAGCCAGGGAAGGACAAATTCAAATTCACTGTGCCAGGCGCCACAGGGGAGGGCAGGGAAAGGAGAGACTGCAGCTGAGAAAGACACGCCAGGGGCCTGTGGTGCACGCCTGGTGGTTCATTACATCCTGCTTCTGTAAATCCTACTTCCTTCACAACGATCGTTTTGAATTTACTCAATATTTAACGAAAGGAATTAAAATCAAGCTGGTATCCAGATACACACGGGGAGAGATGGCACTGCCCTGTGCCCTGCGGGAGGAGCTGGGTGGATACCTTTCTAACTTCCGAGGCTGGCTACTCCTCAGTGTCCAGGGTCAGAAGCCTTCCTCGAGGTCTCTGCTCTGGGCCCACACTGCTTCACCACCTGTGCCGAATGCTAGCTGCGAACCCGGGACGGTAGGCGGGAACCGAGAGTTCAGTGTGTGAAGAAACGGAGTCAGAGTCCTCACTATGATGGCAGGAGGCGGTGTCCACACTAAGGAAGCAGAAGCCCAGGAGGCTGACAGCACAACCGAAACTGGGACTCGGATTTGCTGGATTCCAAATCAGTGCCCTCATAGACACGCTCAGGCACATATGGGGCCACCGCACCCTCCAAGAACTGCTTTTCATGCATCACGCAGAGCGCAGTGAGACCCATAGCTGGCTGCTCTGAGACAGACCAAGGTTCCCACCCTGGAGGATGGGGAGACAGTCAGCACCCACCACACCCTGGAGGGTGGGGACAACAGTCAGCACCCACCACACCCTGGAGGATGAGGAGACAGTCAGCACCCACCACACCCTGGAGGGTGGGGACAACAGTCAGCACCCACCACACCCTGGAGGATGGGGATGACAGTCAGCACCCACCACCCACAGCAACAGCTACAGAAGGGGAGCAAGCACTTCATCTGGTCCTGGGCAACGGAATTGCAAAAGGCTGGTGATTCTGACCTTGAGGAGGGAAGCCCAGAGCCTGCACCTGCAGGGCAGCTTGGAATTAGCCCTTTAGAATATATAAAACACTTTATTTTCTAAGAAAATCACCGATGCTTAAAGAAAGATTCTAACGAAATTGAGAAATTGTGCAATTTTTTCAAACTAGAAGGCAGACACTCTCGAGGTCTGTCCTCGGAGAATTACAAACAACTGCTGGTCTTACAGAGGGAACATAAACCACACGCACCACACTTCAAGGCAGTCATTCCATGAACACGTTCTGCCACAGAAACAGCCCCTCCTTGTGCCTGACTACCTGGTCCGTTCAGTTATGGCATTTGGGTTTGTTGAAACACAGTAAACATCAATGGCTTAACAGAAGCTACGGATGGGCAGGACCTGCTCCGACCACCGCAATTGGCATGGCTTTTGGCAGAAACGGGAAGGAAGCTGGAAGGCACACCCACCTTGTTGAAGACCCAGACCTCCCCGTTGACTGTGGGCCGGGGCACCCCGTGGCCATTGTAGTGAAAGAGGACTCGCTCCTCCTTGGCGTTGCGACGTAAGGACGTGCAGAGCTTCTTGACTTCATCCACAGTTGGGTCAAGGCTCTGCTTGTACCGGGCCTGTTGCAGGAGAAGAAATGAAGAAATTTACCACGGACTCCAGGGAATGCTTGGAACTCATCCCCTACCCTTTCCTCTGGGTTTGCAGTTAATAGCTGTGTGGTCCTGGACACATGGCTCTGAGTTTCTCCATCTATAAAACCAGGTAATGCCAGGCACCCTGGCTCATGCCGAAAATCCCAGCAGCTTAGGAGGCCAAGGTGGGAGAACTGGTTGAGCCCGGGAGCTCAAGATCAGCCTGGGCAGCAGAATGAGACCCCATCTCTACAATTAAAAAAAAAAAAAATTAGCCAGGTGTGGTGGCACACACCTGTAGTCCCAGCTGAGGTGGAAGGATCACTTAAGCCCAGGAGGTTGAGGTTGCAGTGAACCATGATCACAACACTGTACTCCAGCCTGAGTGACAGAGTGAGATGGTCTCAAAAAAACAAATCAAAACACTACATAAGAACTGCCACACATGATGGTTATAAATATTCATTCAACAAACATTGAGAACTACTAGGAACAACAATGAGATAAACAAGTAATGCCTGTCACATGGCAACACCAAGGCAAACGCAGCTGCCACTGGGGTACCAAGTGTTTCTCAGAAGTACGCGGTCCTTCTGAAAACATCTGGAGCATGGAAGAGAGAATTTGCTCAAATGAAGGAGCCTGCAATGTACACATGGCAGCAATGGCAGAAGAGTGAAGAGACCGAGTAAGGAATCGCCCTGCTGAAAGCTCCTCCCTCCGCCTCCTGCCTGGGCCCTTAACCCTGAATGAGCAGAATCTAAAACTGACAGAGAACAATCAATAGCCTTGATATACACAAATAATAAACAAAGGAACATCATGGCAAAGAAAACCCCATCTCGAAAGCCACAGAGCAGACTGAATGCATAGGAATAAGTTTAACATGAAATGTGCAAAACACAGACATGGAAGATTTTCAAAGCTCTCCTGGAAAACACAGAAGACGTGAACAAATGGGAAGATGCTCCCTGCTTGGGTGGGCTGAGTCAACATTCTTAAGATGTCAGCTCTCGCTCGTTTAATTCACATATTCAATGCATTCCCAGTAAATACCCCAAGGAGCTAAGCTGCTACTGAAGGTCACAGGGAAAAACAAACAGGGACGAAGGGCCAGAAAATCATGGCAGCAGAAAGCCCTGAGGGCAACCTGGCCTTGCCAGACACTGCAGGCTCCCCTAGGGCCTCTCATTAAGACAGCGAGGCTGGGGGCACGGAGACCAGCAGCCCAGGGAACTCACACACAAAGTCCAGAATCAGACCCAAGTACACATGACTTGGCTTGCTTGAGAACAGTGTTTACATAGTCCTAATGCTATGAATGCTGATTTTATTTTAGTAAAACTGTGCCAACTTCCAGAGAACCTGAGTGAGGAGAACGGGCCAAGGAGGAGACAGACCTGGCTGGGTGGCAGGATGCTGGAAAACGGGCACAGGTGGGTCATGCGAGGAGCTACTCCAGTTCTATCATTGCTCTTTTCCTGCAAAGTACTTTTCATGGTGAACTCCCAACAAAGAAGAACCGACAGAGTAAATCTACGACCTTCTGGGGTTGGGGAGGGGAACAACGGGTGTGAAAGTGCTGGGGCCACACCAGGCAGTCAGGGAAGATGCCCTGAGTTGATGAGTCAGTGCAAAGCAGCACCAACATATGCCACTAGAACAAATAGCTAAAAGGGTTTGCCTCTGGGTGGGGATTATGTTTTTAAAAAGTGATGTGTATGTTCATCACTTTGATAAACTTTTAAAACTTTCTTTTAAAAACAACTAAAATAAGTAAGGCCAATGCCATGATCATCACTTGAAGAAAAATGCCAGTAAGTGTTTGGAACGTGCAGGGGAGGCTGCGTTTGAAGGAAGGCCTGGGCTCCCGCTGTGCCCAGGCTGGGCACACAGATGCACACGAAGCACCTGCTGATGTGACTGAGAAAGGAAGCAGAGAGGACACACCCTGAGGAGGGCACACCATTCATGCTTAAGAAAGGTTCCCCTGCCGGACACGGGGGCTCACACCTGGAATCCCAGCATTTCGGAGGCCACGGTGGAAGGACCACTTGAGGCCAGGAGTTCAAGACCAGCCTGGGCAACATAGTCAGATCCCTCGTCTCTACTGAAAAATAAAAATAAAGAAAATAAAGAAAGGTTCCCTGGCATTTCCAGAGAAAAAGAATTAGATGTGAGGAAAACAACAGGAAAACGAGGCCCAATTCCTGCAACACGGTTACTCTGTTGTATATGATACACATTTGGTTTCACCTAATTATATACATTAAAACTCTAATTTATGACAACATAAAACCTCTTGGTATTCTAGACCTTGTACTTTGGAAGTCATCAGTAGATGTATGAATATCTTTCAGATGAGGAGATTTAAGAGTTTTTCCAGGTTCCCCCAAATTTTTGTACCTGCAAGCAAAGCCCATTAGAGAACCAAAAGCTAATCCAAGGCTAGCAACCCTGTGCCACTGCAGGACAGTGCGGAGCCCTGGTCTGAGGCGGGGTTAGAGCCACAGAGTGGTCTCCCCTCTCAGTGTCTCCTCGCTCAGAACCAGAATGCTGCTCGAAAAATAAAGCAGAGTCACGAAGGAGACTTGAGAGAGAGCTAACCAACTGATAACGCGGGATCTTCAAGTCCATTTTCATCTATGAAGGATGTGCGTTGACACGCACAGGGGGCTCTGCCAGGACAGGGCTGGCCCACAGGGAGCCCAGGGCCACAGGGAAGGAGGAAGTGCTCAGAGAAGCACGGAGCGTGACAGGAGGGGTGTCGATGCGTGGCCTGGGAGGCAGCGTGTCACCTGCTCCCATAGGTGGGCATCACTGGCCCATGGGGGACCCCAGCCATGCGGTGGCCAATCTGACCCACATGTTCTGGAGGAGCCTGTTCAATGCCCAGCTCTCCTACAAAATTCCTTCTTGAACCCTTTCAGCAGGAAATAATTTTTTCTTTCTCTGAATTAACTTACACTGCTCACTATACATTCATGTGCAGCTATCTCAATTCTGTGTAGACGGTAAATTCTGTGGTGGTAAACACTGCTCACCCACATGTGTGCCTTTCTGTTCAAAATACAAGTTTTATATCCTTTCCCCAGCATTACAACACACTCAGTTACCAGCAACTAATTGCTGAGTCATACTCAGATTTTTACTGACAGTAATTACAATAATTATTAAAGAAACAAATCAATTTGTAGTAAAGAAACTGATAGAATCCTGCCTGAGGTTGAAGTGGTGTAAGTCACTGTCAACATAATATCAGAAAGTATGTGTGTACAAACAGCTGCATCCAGGTGCTGGGTACCCAAGGCGTCTGTGACATCATCCTTTCTGCTTTGCTATCTGAGATTCTCTGCATACTAAGACTTACGAAAATGATGGACACATTCTGGATTCATCACTGATGTGATGGATTCATCAACTGTTTATTTGTGTTCTTGGTGAGACAGAACCAGGCCACTGAGTCTTAATGTTCTAAATACCTGAATGTTGGCTGATCCCATACAACACACCAAGGGCAGCTGATAAATGAAAGCGCAGTTCTGGGGGCAAAGAAGGAAACATTTTATTCAGCTGTCACGACCTTGGCTACAGGCCCTCCAAAACCACATCCACTCAAGTAAGTACATTCTAAATTAGAAAATAAGTCTGAAGTAGAGGTAGCTAGACATTCCGTCTTCAGGTGGATAGGTAGAAAGAATGGCGGACACGTAGGACGGGTTCAGTCTGGAGAGATGGCTTCAAATCAGCGCAGCAGCAACAGCCCCATCTCGCCCATGTCTCTCCACACCCAACAAAAAAGCACCAAGTCCTGGAGAGGACCTAGTTCACCTGCTCCTTCAAACCAAACGCATCAGCTATAAGACCTGCATAAACATGAAATTTAGGTTTTTCTCTGAATCAGAGGCGTGATAATGGCCAGTCTAAGCAGCAGGCCACATCCCATTTTGGTCTGGGCCGTTATGTAAATTAAAACAAATACCTATGCATTTTTAATGAAAGTGCTTTTTAAAAAGTGTCCTGGCTAACTTGGTAGAAACAATTAGAGGTTTTCCAAGAAAGCGTTAGCCCAGCTCCAGGCCCCAGGGCAGAGGTGCAGCCATCACCGAGGCTCCTCCGGCAGTACTGGGGCCCTGGGAAGGAGGGTCTATGCATTTTCCTACCTCCAGGGATGCTTTAAGACAGCTCAAGTAGGGAAGAGCAAAAATGGAGAGGTAGGACTCAAAAAAAACTTTTTTTTTAATGGATGCTAAAGGATATCTCCTTGATCCTCCTGGGTCTCACACACAAGGCGGAATGGGTGTTCCTGGCTCAAGTCTGCAGTCAGGCCAGGGGAAGTGAGCCACCTGAGCTCACGTTTATCAGGAACGTCCACTGAAGCTAACTTCCCACCCCTTCTCCAGGGTCTAGGGTCCAGGTGGGGTGAGCGCCTGCCAGCCTCTTTTCATGCACATTAAAACCACTTCCCCTTAGTGAACACAGGATATGTTTTTCAGAGTCAGAAAGACTTCCGGAGTCATGGGCTGCAGATACAGGTGAGAAAAGAACACATGCAGAGCTTGCCAGACGGCGAGGCAATCAGAAGGAAGGAAAAAGCGCTGTCAACTAAACTCGAGATTTCGGAGTCTAATTCCACAGATCCACCCTGCTTTCTGGTTGCTAAGGCTACAGAAATCCCCCATGCATAGTGGTGAAGAACAAAGGCACGGAAAGATAAGGCACCCCAAAATAAGAACAAGCCACGGTGCTGATCTCCACATCTGTCTCCCTGGAGCACGGGCCCATCGATCTGCAGGGGCTGGGTTCACTGCAGGGCCCACAGATCGCTGGGAGATTTTCTAGTGAAATTGTCAAGTGCCTCCTGCTCCATCTCACTTATTACATTACTGCTGCGGCAGTTTTTCTCAATTCTACTCTCCTCAACACAGCTATCGAACTAGGATTGCTGAAGTCACAGCTCCACAGGAAAATCATTCGCTGTCTCCTGAGATTGCTCCTGAACAGGAGTGCTGTTCTTCCACGCCACACAGAAGGCCACGGGGTAGATTATTCAGGGACACCAATAAAATTAAGGATTCATCATTTCTGACCCTGGCTCTGTGAAGGTCTTATCCCATGGGGCTGCGAAAAACGGATTTAGCTTCATTTTCTTACCTATTGCGTAGAGAAGGCACATTAATGGACTAGCATGAAAGGCGCCACAGATATTAATAATACGCCTCCTGGGGCTTCATGGGAATTAATTAATATTTTTAAGGGCTTTGAAATGAGAAACACTAAATTAAATGTCACCACATTGTGTTAAGGTTTTGTCTCACAACTAGAATGCCAGGGATAATAGCTGTGTGGTCTGAGAGACAGGAGAGGCACGGGAGCATCTGATCATCCGGGGGAGTTACGACAATTTCTGCTGGACATATAAAATGACAAAGCAAGTCTCTAAACTACAGCCTATTGTGCTAGGCATTTTTCCTGAAATGCCAAATCTCAAGGTGCAAGAAAATATATGCACAGGAGTTTTGGAGGATGTGACAGCAGAAGATAATAAAAGAATGAATAACCGAAGAAAAGAAAACAAAACAAAAAACAAAACAAAACAAAAATGGGCCCTTGGTTTAATGAAGGAAAATGCAGCTCCAAATTTCATTTCCTTCTCAGTGACGGGCTCTTGTCCTAAAATGACACCTGGTAAATTTATATGCTAATAAGGCCTAAGAAATGCTACTGCAATCAGATTCTGCATTTTCCACGTAGACTTTTATTGGTATTGGAGCTCCTTCTCATACAAGTGCAGACTTCAGACCCTGGAGAGCCCTGAGCATGGGAGGGACTCTGCTCCCAGTGGCCCTCGTGGCGGCATGGTCCCGCTAGAAGCTCTGGTGAAGCTGCACAAACTGCCGCTGGTGTGGATCAAGGAGAGACGGCCACCTGGGAAGAGGAGGGGCTCAGGGGCTCTACTTGGTGGGTCTTCCCCTTTGACAAAATCCCACCAGGGGTAGCCCTGTGCCGCTGGGGCAGGCTGGACATAGACATCTGTAGAGTTTCTAACAAAGACACTGGCGTCGTACTAGGCTGGGTCTGTGAGTACAAGTGATATCGCTGCCATCCTCCCATCCTATAGCAATGAATAGCAGGTCAAGTTTAGATCCAACAAACCGAAATGCCTGCAACACTCTCAGAACTGTCCTGGAGGAACAAATGTCATTTCAGGACTCAGGCCAGTTCTGGCCCCATCTGGGGTCTAGTGAAAGTTTCACCCTACCCCTCTCCTTCTCAAGTAGGATGCAAAGATTTCCAGGGAAATGTTGGTAGGAGGGACCTTTAGGCGGACCTGACCTTCTTCCCTGCCCGGCATTTCCCTGGAAGGCCTCGCCTCCTATAGCCCTTGTTTACCCTCACCCTTAAGGGTGTTAGGATGAAAAACAAGTAAAATACAGAGAAACAAAACAAAAGCCAAAAAGAGTGATGGCAAATGCTACCTTTCGGTTGATATGGAATGAGCATTATGGTCTCCGTGAGAATAAATGGCAAGAATATATAACCTGTGCCCTTTCCCATGATTCCACCCTAGTGCAACCAGGTGGAGCCGCTGAGGACACAGAGACTTCACAGCATTTGTTCCCAGATGTGAAGCAATCCATCAGTGTGTCTGAGGCCTTTCAGCAGAGAGGAATTGTCCAGTGCACATCTTCTGTGTCTTCCCTCCTAAGCTTGCTCCCCTCTCTCCTCAATCCATATGGATGGGGTCACTAACCATTTGGACAACAGAAACCTGAGAATCACCCAGCTGGACAACAGAAACCCAAGAATCACCCTTGACACCTTCTTGTCTTTCACCCTTTCCATTTTTATGTCATCAATCATTGCATCCTGTTGAGTCTACCTCTTCAATCCTGACTGAGTCCATCCACCTCTTTCTATCCGTGCTATCAATACCCAGGTCAAGCCACTACCAAACCACCACTACCACCACCATCATCTCTACCATCACCACCACCACCACCATCACCATCACCACCATCATCATCACCACCACCACCATCATCATCTCTACCATCACCATCACCATCATCACCACCACCACCACCACCATCATCACCACCACCACCACCACCATCACCACCACCATCACCATCACCACCACCTCCATCATCACCATCACCATCATCTCTACCATCACCACCACCATCATCGCCGCCACCACCACCACCATCACCATCATCACCATCACCACCACTTCCATCATCACCATCACCATCATCTCTACCATCACCACCACCATCATCATCACCACCACCACCACCACCATCACCATCACCATCATCTCTACCATCACCACCACCATCATCACCACCACCACCACCACCACCATCACCACCACCACCATCATAACCACCACCATCACCATCACCACCACCACCATCACCACCACTACCACCATCACCACCACCACTTATCTATTTCTTAGATCATTGGAGTAACTTCCCAACTTATCCTCCAGCCTTGTTTCACTCCAAATCCATTCTCCAAAACTCAATAGGTCCTTCTCCCGCTTAGAAACCTTTGATGTCTTCCCACTAACTTTGAAAACTCTTTAGAAAGACCTACGAGTCCCTGCAAGATCTCCAGCCTGATCACTAGACATAATCTCTGAGAGTCTACACTTCAGCCACAAGAAAGGATCTTTTAAGCCTTTTGCCTCATTATGTTCTAACCTACTTTCCAGCCTTCTGCCCAGAACCTTCTTCCTACCTTTTCTCCATGTCCTATTCCAAGTCTTGCCTGGTCATTTTCTATTCATTCTTCAAGTATCATGTTAAATGTCCCTTGTCTTTTATCATGTTGAAAGCATCCTTCTTGGATGCTCTTCCAGACACTGGATAGGAAGCCATGCCAAAGGCTGCATAGCACCTCTAGCTCCCCATCACTGCACCAGGGTACTGTGCGTAGCACCTCTAGCTCCCCATCACTGTACCAGGGTACCGTGCACAGCACCTCTAGCTCCCCATCACTGCACCAGGGTACCGTGCACAGCACCTCTTGCTCCCCATCACTGCACCAGGGCACCGTGCACAGCACCTCTAGCTCCCCATCACTGCACCAGGGCACCGTGCACAGCACCTCTAGCTCCCCATCACTGCACCAGGGCACCGTGCACAGCACCTCTAGCTCCCCATCACTGCACCAGGGTACCGTGCACAGCACCTCTAGCTCCCCATCACTGCACCAGGGTACTGTGCACAGCACCTCTAGCTCCCCATCACTGCACCAGGGCACCGTGCACAGCACCTCTAGCTCCCCATCACTGCACCAGGGTACCGTGCACAGCACCTCTAGCTCCCCATCACTGCACCAGGGTACCGTGCATAGCACCTCTTGCTCCCCATCACTGCACCAGGGCACTGTGCATAGCACCTCTAGCTCCCCATCACTGCACCAGGGTACTGTGCATAGCACCTCTAGCTCCCCATCACTGCACCAGGGTACTGTGCACAGCACCTCTAGCTCCCCATCACTGCACCAGGGTACTGGACTCTACCTGCTGATTTACTCATCAGCCTTCACAGTTGACATTAAATAAATATTTGTGCACATACAAATGATGAATAAATACTTCCTATTGGAGTTTACACAGCCCGATGAGCTTCTCCAGAGAAAGCTGTTTTATCAAGAGCTTGGGGTCTCTATTTTTATTTTGAGGGCATTTTAAACAATTCCATTTTGATGGGTTGGAGTACAGCAGTGAAGCAAGGCTTTTGCTCCAACACCCACTTTCCTTAGCAGACAATCTAACTGCCCAGACAAAGGGATCTGCTGCTCCATGCACATAAGCTCGAGGCAGATGCTGGGGGAATCACGGGCGCCTGAACATCCAGGAAGCACCCAGGGTAACCTAGCAATCAGACACAAGCTGGCGCTTCCTGGCCAGCAGGCTCGCCTGGGTTTCCCCAGGAATTGGATGGGCACTACCCCCTGAAGAGCTGCACCACTAGTCAGGTGAGGGCCGGGACAGCCTTCCATGAGCAAGACAGAAGGAAAAGGACTGACTTGGTGACTGGCAGAACAGGCTTGTCTTTCACGGATTATACCTGCATGAATGGTAATAAAAGACATTTCCTTTGTTCCAGATAAGGCTATGGAGAAGCAGCGGCACATTTGTCTATAGAAATCTTTCCAAACATAAAGATTAAGGAGAAAAGAACAAAAGGGAGGATGTTAAACGGTGACGAGGCTGAGGAGGTTGACCAGCTGCCGGCCTAGGATGGAAGGTGCCCCCACGTAACTCCAGCTCTTTCCACTTCCCGCTTTGTTTCCTTTGGCTGGAGGACAATGTGGATCAATGGCTGGAATGGCCCCCGGGGAGCAGGCCATGACCACATGCTGGTGACAACGGTGCAGAAACCTCTGCAAACGAGGAGCTGGTGTCTTTCTTTGCTCCGTCCCGTCACTTTTCACGCTATCCTCCACGTGGTTGCTGTACCTAGATGGCTCCCACAGGAGTCAGTGAGGCCTGGGTGGGGGTGGGGCGGCAGCCCCTCTGCATGGGGCCCAGTGCCTGGTGCGCCCGCACTGGCCTCACGTGGCTCCCCTGCTCACTCGGCCTACCTGGCCTGTCACCTCTGCCTCTGGCCCATCCTCCTCTGTGGACCCTCAGTCGCCTCCGTTCCTCACCCTCCTACTTTCACAACACCGTTTCCCCATAGGGCACCTTCAAGAGAAATCTGGTCAAATTCCCCACCTTGCCCCGCACCCACCCGTCTGGGATCCTTGTCTACTCGCTGGCCCCACCAAATCAGCCAGCAGAAACTCAACCACCAAACTCTGCCAGCAGAAACCTCACCACTACCCTCAGCTCCTGCTCCTGCCATCTCCCTGGTGCCCAGTGGGTCACAGGAATGTGTCCCTCTGACTTCGCTGTACCACCTCTGCCTTCATGGGAGTCAAACACCCCAACCACCTTCAGGCCTCCAAAATGACCCCTCTCCAAGTCCCCCCATTCTGTCAGAGCCTTCCTCCTTAACGCACAGCAGTCAGGCCACCGGCCCCTGAGACAAACCCTCTGTGGGTGGGTCAACAGGCTCCCTGCCCAGCACCACCTGCGAGCCCTCTGCTCAGCCCAGTGTCCTCACCACGTTCCCACCGTGGCTAATCTCTCATGACTCCATGCCTCTGCACAAGGTGGCTCCTTGGCCCAGACGTTCCCAAGTCCCTGACGTGGCTGTGCACGGTGCCACCTGCACCTATCACGCCGCCACCTGCACCTATCACGCCGCCCTCCTCCTCCCTTACAAGGTCCTCACCAGCTCCCTGGGGCTCACAAGGTGCTTCTGATACCGATGGGAGGTAGTCAAATGCCTAGGCAGACAGGGGCAGGTCCCTGGTGAAACCTACCTCCAAGCCAAATAACAGCCTGAAGGCTGAAAGACCAGACGGCAGGTCCTGGATAAAACCCAAGACCCAGAGCAAAACTCCTATTCCCGTTTGCCCACCCTTTCCCAATTGATTCTTTCTGAATAATGCCTTTTAACCAATCAAATGTTGCCTTTTCCAATACTACCTACAGCCTGCCCCTCCCCTATTCTGAGCCCACAAAAGCCCCAGACTAAGACACACTGGAGGGATTTTCCCACCTTCGGGTGGGGGGACCGCCCCCATGTCCCCTCTCTGCAGAAAGCTCTTTCATCACTCAGTAAAACCCCTCACCTTGCTCACTCTCTGACTGTAGGCACATCTGCATTCTGCTTGGATGCTGGACAAGAGCTCAGGACCCACCAAGTGCTGGTACCAGAAAGACTGTCACACTAGCCCTTTGCTCCTGCTGGCAGAGGGCAGCCACCCTACGTGATGGGGCCAGGGGGCGACGGAGCTGCTAACATGCCACCATCTGTTGGACTGTGGATGGAAGAACTAAAAGAGCTAATGAGCACACTAACACCCACTCTGGGGCTTCAGGGTCATGGGCACCCTTGCCTGGGTGCCACCGTGTTCCCCTCAAGGTGACACACCTGGTCTGGCTGTGGGCCCCGCATGGAGTTTGCTCCTGTATTGGTGCTTGGGGGGGCTGGCTGGATCCCACACTCGCTCACTCACGTGCTCCCGCCTGCAAACGGCTGAGTTCGGCGGCATCCCTGCTGCAAGTCCAGCAAAGAGGCCAAGAGAAAATTCCTGTGTCCCTTCTGCGCCCACTGCAGAGATCCAGGCTCTGACGCACCAGCCGGCCTTGCCCCGGGAGGCCATGGCCACTAAGAAGAGGCCTCTCAGGTCCCAGTCAGCCCCTTGCTTCTGGGCACAGAGTCGTCACCCAAGAAAAGGCTGTGGAATGAATCTACATGGGAATTCTGCTTACTTGGATTAATATGCTGCTCGCTTTGAACTAACGAAAGCCGAGCTCCACTATCCCAGTATCATTTTTTTTGTCCCAACATGGACCTCAGAGTTAAATTTTTATTGGGAAAGATGTAGGGCAAGAGGCTGTGCAGTACAAATTCTGTCCCACTCTATTTGCATATTTTATTTGCTCTTTAAATGTTTTCAATATTTCATAATAAGATGCCATTCTGTGTAATCTTTTCCTGATGCTATCACTGTAAGGCTGGTTTCCTCCCCCTCCAAAATCTCTTAATGAAAAAACAAAACAAAACAAAGCTGCCACTTATCTTGTCTGTTTAAATGGAACCCTGAGTCTTTGAAATTTAAAAGGGAGAGGAAGCCTGAACTCCAGGCTGCAGCCCTGCCGGAAAAATCTATCCTGCCCTACAGGGACTCACAAGAACAAGGCCAGTCGCCAGATGCCACCTTGGCTCTGAGAGTCGCACACTCAGAAACAGCAGAGACACGGCCAATTTCCATCTAAGATGTAACCAGCATCCTCTGCAAACTCTTCACAGAAAGATGGGTCCGGGGTAGATCAAAGCCAGCTCACGCAGGTAGAAAAGGCAGCCACGAGGCCATGCAGGGCAAAAGTGGTCTGCGGCCCTTGGCCCACCAGCTCCAGCCACCCCCAACGCTCCTCCCTGGCCTTGGTGCCTCTGCATCCTGAGCTCCTGTCACTCTGTAAAGATGGGCCTCAAGCGACTTGTTTTTCAGAAATAAAAGAGGTGACCTTTGGAAGAAGTCTATAAATACAAAAGTCACACCACTCCACTGGCTCCTTCTCACGATTATTCTGGAATTCGGGGTAACGTGCAGAGACTAGGAAGCCCAAGGTCATCCTGCTTTGTTTCCTGTAAAACAGCTGCTTGGGAAGACGCTGGCTCTGGGTGGCTGGCAGGCATCCCCAGGCACTCTCGCAGTGGAGGTGAGCTGGAGAGAAGTGACGCAGGTGAGCCCACACGTGAGCCACCCACCTGCCCCTCTGTAACAGAGGCCACTGTTACAGGGAGAGAGCACAGGTCCCGCCCAGAGATGGGAAACTTAAGTCTCAGCCCCAAATCAATGATTCACCAGCCATTCGACCTGGCAACGTCATGAACAAAACCAAACCTCAATTTTCTCCTCCACAAACAACTAAACTAACGCGGGCCCTGCCCGGGTGGCTGATGTGAAAGTCTCGTGTGGAAATGCTCGGGCCCCCGTGGCAGACAATGTGGGGGTGAGTGACCCGCACAGCACGGGTCGGGGCAGCCTCTGTCTTGGGCACATGCATTCTACCCGCCTCACTCTTACCACCATGCAGTGGGCACTGCCATCGCTCCTGCCTCACAAACAGGAGGCTGGGCACAGAGAGGTTCAGTAACCCTCACGGGGCCACACAGCCAGCCCCGCACAGGCCCATGTCAAAGCCAGGCAGCCCAGCTCAGCCCCCAGGCTTCCTGCTCACTACCCTGATGACACCCACGGAGGCCCAGAGGCTTCTGGGGAGCACCCTCACCCTCCTTGGATATAGCTGCCCGTGGCACTGTGTCTGCCCGTGGTGCTGAGTCTCTGGCACACACTAACAGGCCATGAGTTACTCAACCCCTTCCCCTCGAGAAGGCCAACATGCCCATGAGTGCCAGAGAGGCTGTCTTCAAGAGGCAGTGAAGCCAGGAACCGCCAGAATGGGGTGGATGGAGGCAGGAGCTCACGACAACCTGATCACTCAGTGCTGCTGATTTCCCAGCAACTCCGACCAATACCACATCTCCTCGGGAAAATCACTCCTCCTTACTTAAGTGCGGAGCTACCACCAGCCGTGATCAACAGCTGCAGGTTCCCAGACACTCCATATGTGCACGCCTGCCTGGCAGGCAGAGAACTGGGAACCTGATGCTGGATGGAAGGAAGGGGCGCAGGGAGGCTCCACCCTGGTCACCAGAACCAACACATTCACGGGAAAGGAGGCACTCAACGCACAAGCCTTCAGCACCACGGCCCCACATATGGAAGACACTCTCACTCCACTGAGAGATTGTGCGACTGTGGAGGCCGACCAACGCAATGCACAGAACAAACATCTACCATGCGCCTCACCTGGGTGGGAAATCAGTATTTATTCAACGGTTGCCAGACCAGGCCAGCAAAGCCATCTGCGAGGGCCATGCCCGGGCATGCCTGCCCCTGGGACCAGGCTTGAAGAGGTCACCTGGAGAGGTCACCAGCTGTGTCAGGGATTCGTGAGCACGGGGCAACTGCCTCGACCTGTCGCCTCCCCACCCACTCTGAATGAAGCCCCAGATGAGGCACCTGAGGCTGCAGCAGTGGCAAACAAAAGCTGAGATGTCAGAGCCGCCTGTATTTGCTCTACAGCTGTAAACGCAAATCTTCAGCTCGCATTCTTGACAGCGCTCTTTACTTTCTGAAGAAATTTCTAATTTCTTGTCAGATTTCATTTCAAGTTCACAATGTCCCTCTCCGTTCAGACCAAGCCCGTTTCTGCGCAGAGCATCGGCCGCCAGGAGCAAGAGGATGTGAGCTGCTGGCTGCGTGGACGCTCCGGACCATGCCGGGCTCTCCAGACATTCCCCAGCCTCTTGCTGGGTGTTTCAGGGACCCTGTTCCAGGCCCGTGCCCACCTGATCCACAGTCTGTTTTCCAGGTCACTATCTGAGTCAGCTCTCTGGCCCCTGGCAAAACGCTGTTTCCCACAGCACCATCTGGACGCCCACCCTGCGTGGAAGGGGGTGGCTGACCCTACAGCACCCAGGGCTGGCATAAGTCTGCCAGAGTCTGGGCTGGCAGATGCTGAGAGTAGGAAATTGCGTACACCGAACCCAAAGGGACTACAAGGTCACAGTAACTCGTAATGTTCTCAACACGTGTCTGCCCAGTAAGGGCAGAGTTACGTGAAATTTGTAAAATCATCGACTCTTTCCTTTATGTATTATTCAGTAACAATTCTTCCTTCCTTCCTTAATTTGCAGAAGAGGCAGACAAGAACTAGAATAGCTGGTTTATTATTCAAAGTCCAAAAAGAAAAGCTATTGCTTCCAGATGGGGCCAAATCCACTTCTGAAATGGGTGCTCAGAATCCCCCCAATGAACCCGAGAAACACCATCTCCGCTGGGAGCAACTCTGCCCTCGGGGGCACTGGTGTTGTCTGCAGACAGGCTCGGTCGGCACTGCTGGGAGAAGTGGGCCCTGCTGGCATCTGATGGCAATGGCCTGGGGACCTGCTACACATCCTGTGACTGTCCGCACAGCACATGAGCACACGACCACCACAATCATGAATTAGCTGATCCAAATGCCAATCGGGCCAAGCTGGAGAAACTCTGCTTTAGAGGAAACAATGAAGCTTTGATTCCAATGAGGACACGTGGATTCCAGTCTAATACAGCAACAAGAAGCAAGGTAGAAGAAACCATGTACAACATACAGCACTTCCCTAAAGAGAAAACACTGTGTGCGTGTGTGCGTATATAAATGTACCCAAGGTTACGCATACGTGTCATCACATGTGGTACACATATTATTAAAACATTTCAGTGGTGACCTACAGAAGAAAAGATAAAATAGGCTCACCAGGACAGGAAGAGCAGCCAGGCTCCTTTCAATAAACTTCATTTTGTGTATTTAACTTTGGACTCATGAAATATTTTACATAACTACAAAGCAAAATTAATTTTTTTAAAAAGTAATCCAGCCAGGCACAGTGGCTCATGCCTATAATCCTAACACTTTGGGAGGCTGAGGCAGGAGGATCACTTGAGGCCAGGAGTTCAAGACCAGCCTGGGCAACATAGGAAGACTTCATCACTACTAAAAATATAAATAAATAAATTAGGCCAGGCACGGTGGCTCACGCCTGTAATCCTAGCACTTTGGGAGGCCAAGGCAGGTGGATCACCTGAGGTCAGGAGTTCAAGACCAGCCTGACCAACATGGAGAAACCCCATCTCTACTGAAAATACAAAATTAGCTGGGCATGGTGGCATGTGCCTGTAATCCCAGCTACTTGGGAGGCTGAGGCAGGAGAATCGCTTGAACCTGGGAGGTGGAGGTTGCGGTGAGCCGAGATCATGCCACTGCGCTCCAGCCTGGATAACAGAGTAAGACTCCATCTCAAAAAAATAACATAACATAACATAACATAACATAACATAACATAACATAACATAACATAACGTAGCCAGACATGGTGGCGTGCACCTATAGTCTTGGCTACTTGAGAGGCTGAGGTGGGAGGATGGCTTGAGCCCAGGAGGTTGAGGCTGCAGTGAACTATGATTCTGCTACTGTACTCCAGCCTGGGCCACAGTGAGAGCCTGTCTCAAAAATAAATAAATAAAAATACAGGGTAATGTCACTCGACATCTGTGCCTAACCTGAGAAGGAAGGGCGAGTGCCTCAGCAGCGGCTATGCCTCGGCAGCGGCTCTCAGTAACCGCGTCAGTGGCAGTGCTGGTGTTGCTTTCTGAAACTGCCAGGTGTGGTGCAGGATAAGAGAATGGGTAATTACGTTGGTGTTCATGAACAATCTGAGCACTCCATGTGGAAAGAAGCAGATACAGCTGTAGGACCCATGAGAGTAAGCAGACCTTGCAGACCTGAACCTGGATGTGTAAGAGCGCCTTCGTATTTTATCTTTGAAACACCCATAGAGAAAGGGGGCTGAACAAGGGTCAATGAGCAGCCCTGGAGCCCAGATTAAGCTCTCCATACCACTTCCCATGGAAGGAAACCAAGACTCCCTGGAGACAGACACGTGGCTGATTTCAGGCCTAGGGTAGAAGAAGTACAAAATGGCACAGAACATGCTGGCTTGTCATACCATATCAAAATGAAGCAATTGAGGACCGCGAGAACTGCATCACAAGGCTCAGGGGCCAACACAAAGATGGAACGACGTGGACATCGGTGAAGAACGAATAGAGTAAGTCATGCATTCAATAGGGTGGCCACACACGCCACACCACACACACCTATGCGCACACACTGACATGCGTGCACACACACACATCACTCACATCCACACACACCCCCACACTAGTCACCTTTGAGAGATGCAGTGAGAAACGAATACAGTAGGTAGTGCCTTCAACAGGGTGGCCACACACACCACACCACACACATACCTATGCATGCACACACGTGCATGCACACACACACGACATGCACACACACATATCACACCCACACACCCCTTACTAGTCACCTTTGAGAGAAGCCCACACACGATTTTGAAAACTGGTTAATAAAGGAAAGTAAGTATTGATGCTGGCTTTCCTCTATGACTGTACCTTGAGCTATCCAAATAATTGATGAGAGGGTTTCTTTATATAGAGATACTCCAGTTAACAAATAAGGACAGCTAAGCACAGTGGCTCGTATCTGTAACCCCAGCACTTTGGGAAGCTGAGGCAGGAAGATTGCTTGAGGCCAGGAATTAAAAACCAGTCTGGGCAACATAGCAAAACCCTGTTTCTACAAGACATTTAAAAATTAGCAAGGCATAGTGTCATGTGCCTGTGGTCCCAGCTACTTGGAAGTCTCAGGTGGGAGGATCACTTGGGCCCGAGAATTTGAGGCTCCAGTGAGCCATGTTTGCGCCACTGCACTCCAGCCTGGGTGGCCAAGTGAGATCCCCTGTTGCAAAAAAAGGAATGAAACAATAACACCATCTTTTCATAATCTCTAATAAATAGATCCAGACAATGATCATCAATAGCTGCTAATATCACAGAGGGACTATCAGATATCCTAAAGTAAGGACACAGCACCACACATGAAACATTCCCTGACTGAACCAGAATCTAGGGGAGCCCGGCTGTGTCCACCACCGAGAGGAAATCCAAGGAGCAGAGGTGAGTGTGGCTCACCCAGGGCAAGGGGGGAGAAGCCACTGACGAGATCGAGACCACGATAAATTCTACAGGCTACATGATCCAGTTTCTTCAACCAATCAACTGCAGAAAGAGACAGGCAGACAGGTGCACAGAGAGTGCTGGGGTGAGGGACTGACTTTTGGATTAATTACATGGATTAACAGAATAGATGAAGTAACTCACAATACATTCATCTCACTTGCATCCTGATTCAAACAAACATTGTGTGTGTGTGTATGTGTGTGTGTGTGTTTAGAAGCATACTTATCTTTAGAGAAAGTAAATATTTCTTTCAGAAATATTGACAGGTGAAATTACATGAAGTCTGGGATTTGCTTCCTAATCAGCCAGGGGAGTGGGAAGGGGGGACTGGGTGGGGGCACAGATGAAAGGAGACTGGAACTGGCAGCTGAAAATGACTGAAGATAGATGATGGGTATATGTTGAAATTTTTCATAATAAAAAGTTTAAAAATAAACAAATGAATAAGCCATAAAAACAAATAAAGAAGCAAATGAGCAAACACGTTTGAAAATGTTTCAATGATTAAAAGACTCTCCCCTAGAATGCTTTTACATATAACTTAATGGTAAAGTAAAGTTTCCTACTTTAATTAGAATCTGCTTGCATGAAGCGTTTCTCCAAGGTGCAGCCAGACATTTTTAAAAGGTGTCCAGACAGGTAGAAATATTAAATGTGTTTTTAGCAAAGGTACACATACCAAAAATCTGAAAGATTATCATACCTAGAAAAATATGTTTTCTATTGAATAGGAGAATGCTTGAGGGCACTGATCAAAAATTTTAAAAATGAACATAAAGAAGGAAAGAAAAATATGTTTCATACGCGTAAAACACTGATAGTGATATGTCTCAGAAAGATCTTCTCCAGTCTTATAGACAAAAAGTATAATGATGGTGTAAGGTAGAATCAGCCTATGAATGGCCTCCAATTAGCTTTCTGACTTTTCGCTGCAGGTCAGCAAACATGGAGACCATGCTGTGCTTTTGCGCTTCCTCGCTAACTATCTGATGAAAGCCTGAAATCTAGTAAATTCCTCATAACAGCAATCCTTGGCGCTTACAAAGCACTTCTAGCCACATTATCTCCTCTGACCACATGCGTAAGACGAGGCCTCACTGCCCACACTCAGCAGAGGGCTCCAGCGATGGCTTCGGAAAGACGGATGTCAGGGAGCAGGTGGCGTCCTCCGCCCCTGCTACACCTAGAACTCTTCCCACGGGGGAGTGCATGGTTTCTGTGAGTACATAAATGATTTATCATGCGGACTCCAAGATGCAGATGCAACCTCTCTAGGAATAATGTTGCCAAGGGGAACATACAAGTGAATGTGTTCATCTGCTGACTAGCTTCTGGCTGTCTGGGGAGATGAAAGGATTTACTGACTTCATAAGGTAGTCCTGTCACTTTAAGAATGCTGCACAGACATACTCCATACATATGAAACCGTTTGATAAATGTTTAAAACACCTTAAGGTGCCATTTTTAGGCAAAGTCATATCCAAAATCAAAAATGCCCCTTCCTTGCACTTCAGTTTTATCTTGCAATTTATCAGAACGGCAACAGGGCAGCTGCCGTTCTGCAGGAGAGGCCACCTCTACCCCTTGAGGTGCCTTGTGTAAAGCAGAAAAAGGCACTCCCTCTGGGCAGACTCACTCGCCCACCAGGCTTGGGGTGGAAGGGCAGAGAGTCTGTGTTCCAACATGCGCCGGCCTGGGCCAGGCAGCAGCCCCAAGCTGGTCAGTGTCCTTGGAGTCGATTCCTGCCACTGCCCTAGAGATACATCTAGTTTAAATAACAGTAACCGCAAAATTAACAAAAAAGGGATGGAGCAGAGAGTAACACTGGCTGCCTCTACAGCTCACTTCTTCCCAGCCCGCATAGCACCGGAGATGCTTAAAGTGTCCCAGGCATCAAGTCAGGCCAGTGGAACCCACAGGAAGCCAGTGAAACAGTGTGCTCAAAGGAGAACGGCCGTCCCTTCTTCTTTCTCCCTTTGAGCACAACTGTGAGGCTGTGATGTTTGGAGTGGTGGCAGCCTTCTTGTCATCATGAGGGAAAAGTCAAGAACACAGAGAAACTTATCCAGAACCTGACAATACTGAACCATTTACCTTCAGACTTCTTGATAAACCTTTTAATTATTGATCCAGAGAGAAACGGTTGAGGGATGAACTTTGGACACACACAAAGCCCATGCTTATACCAGTTTTGTGACTTTAGCAAAGTCTTCACCTTCTTTGTGCCTCCGTTTCTTCGGCTATAAAATTGTGTGTGTTTGGGGCTGGGGGTGAAGGGAGTGGAGAGGATAGTGTCTAACTTCTAGTTTCTGTGAAGATTAAATGAGCTAATACATCAAAAGTCCTTTGACTAGTGCCTGGCTAACAGGCAGCAGTGCTACGTGAGTGTTCATAAATGTCACTTAACAGGCATCTGACTACTTATCAATAAAAGCATCCCAGTTAATTATTTCCCCCACTCAGGTACTCAACCGCCACTACATGCTTTGGGCTACAGCATGGAGACTGCTGAGTGGAGGTGGGTGTGGCCAGTGTGAAGCTAGCGGTGCTGAGGTGAAGCTTCAGGCAGTACCGGGACAAGAAGCCGGCCACATCTTTTGAGACAGGGGCCTGCAGGCGCTGACCTGGGTATGCCAGCGGCGATGGACAATGGAGGGTGAATTGAAGGCAGTGCGGGCATCCCATTTCTGAGCTTCCTACAACTCACTGTCGGCCTCACTGCATTTCACGTTTTAAAGCTTAAACACTACACGGTGAAGCTACGCCTCCATCTCAGGGAAGGGACGCTCTAAACAGGCAGCCTCGGAGATCATCAACACCCACGGTGCTGCCCCTTTCATTCCCCTTCTGAAGCCGATGACAACCATTCCGTGGCTGTGCTGTGGCACTCACTGTTCGCATTTCTCCACGCAGACACCGAGGTACAACACCCAGCTCAACACACACCAACGGGTGCCCACCAAGGGCAGAGCAGTGTGCTGGTGTGGGGCAGAGGCAGGGGAGACCCACTCACCGAATGAGTCCCTGCCTTTCATCAAACAATGACACAGAAAACAAGACCTGGACACAGATAGATACAGTGTGGGCAGATGCTAAGAGCACCGGAGGAAGAAGCTCAAAGACAGTGGTTCCTTGTGGACAAGTGACCAGTGGCAGAGTCCTGACAAACATGGGCTGAGTGGGACTGTGGCTCGATCAGATGACAATCTGAAGGAGCACCCCATGGTGCATGTGAGGGATGGTGTGGTGGGAGGAGAGACAGGAGAAAGAAACAGGAAGAGGGTAACGAAGAGCAAACGTGAACCAGGCTGGGAGGGTCAGAAGAAGACTAGACAGTGAGGAGAAGTGGGACGGACAGAACTCTCGGCAGAGAATGCGCCAGAGGCCTGCAGTGTAGGCGCTGGCCATTAGCACTTTGCCTGCAGAAAAGGGGCCTGCCCTGCAAAAACCCTGACCACAAAGCCCCAGTTATTAGGAGGCATTGCGTGGGGTGATGTATTTTGGTTATGGAAGACACAGACAGACAGATTCCACTCTCTGGTTACTGAACTGAAAGAACAAGAGTTTGCCATCAGCTCTGACTGGAACTGATAGATGCAATAAGCTGTGTGATTTTAACTCGCATGGCATCTGCTTTTAAGGCCTCCCATTAAAGTAAATCTCATTCAAGATTGAAAATAAATTTCATGGAAGGGTCCCAGGTCCAACAGCCTTACTCTGAAGCGCAGGTGCTCAGGACTCACACAGCTGGGCGAGGGGCTGGACCACTCATCCTCTCACAAAGCTGATTTTGTAAAAATCAAGCAAGTACCTCTTCATATTTAGTGGAGTGCTTGAGACACCGGCCTCGTTAGAAGAGAGCCTTTCTTTCCAGCCTTCCCAGGAAGAGCCCTTTCTAAGAGATGGATACGCTGCCGAGAACTCTGAATTATGCAGTAAGAAGTGTTTCAAGAGAGAATACCAATGAGTCCCGAAAGGCAAATACTGTAAATTTACCTTTCTCTTCATTCACGGGGAAGAAACATGGCTTTGTCGTGAGGGTAGAACTGCACTAGACAGTGACGCACTTAAGTCTCAGTTTTCTAATCTGTGAACTGGGAACAATGGTTGCGTCTACTTCAAAGGAGGTGTTATGCATCCTGGCTAACACGGTGAAACCCCGTCTCTACTAAAAATAAAAAAATTAGCCAGGCGTGGTGGCGGGCGCCTGTAGTCCCAGCTACTCAGGAGGCTGAGGCAGGAGAATGGCGTGAACCCAGGAGGCGGAGCTTGCAGTGAGCCGAGATCGTGCCACCGCACTCCAGCATGGGCGACAGAGCGAGACTCTGTCTCAAAAAAAAAAAAAAAAAGTTGTTATGAAGCTCAGGTGAGTTTATGCATAGCAAGTGCTGAGCCCCACATCTGGGCACAGGAAGACTCAGTGACCAGTGCTCTATAAACCATGGCCCATCCTCCCAATCCTTTATCTTAGAGACACGTAATCTCAAAAATGAACAGCACCAGATGGGTCGGAGGCCTGAATCCCTTCTAGAAAGCCTCTAACCATGCTTATGTCCCTCCAGGCACAGGATGACCCTGCCCTCTGCAGAGGCCACCAACACTGTCAGAAGAGCTCTGAGGACTGGAAAGTGCCCCCACCTGATGAGGAGAAATAGGGTTCTTGTCGGGCATTTCCGAGTGCTGCTCCCAGGACGACTCTGGGGGTCCATCTTACGCTTACGACTAGAGGGAGTTCAACAGCCAGAGGCAGCTGGGAAGAAGCTCAAAGGAAGCACCCCACGATGTGGGGAGTAGCAGCTGTCACTAGGAATTAAAAGTCGTGGAAATATAAATCATTCCATGAGGCAAATGGCAAAAGACATGTCAGATAATTCACAGCAAAAAAAAAAAAAAAAAAAAAAAAAAAAAATATATATATATATATATATATATATGGAAATGGCCCTGAATATACAAAAATATTAGCCAGGCACAGTGGGTCATACCTGTAATCCCAGCACTTTGGGAGGCCAAGGATGGAGGATCACTTGACCCCAGGAGTTCAAGTTAACATATCAAGACTCTATTCCTACATTAAAAAAAAAAATGTTTTAATTAGCTGGGCATGGTGGTACACGGCCGTAGTCCCAGCTACTCAGGAGGCTGAGGTGGGAGGGTCACTTGAACCCAGGAGGTCGAGGCTGTAGTGAGCCAAGATCACACCACTGCACTCCAGCCTGGGAGACAGAGCAATACCTCAACTCACTTACAATAAAAATAATTCAAATTAAAACTACACCGAGAGCATTTCTCATCTCCCAGACTGCACACACTGGCATACACTGAAAACGCAACAAGCGACCCTGAATGAGGGGTGACTCCGAATGAGGTGCGACCCTGAATGAGGGGCGACTCCGAATGAGGCGCTCTCCTATGTTGCCGAGGGGAATGGAAAAGGGTATACAATCCTGAGGTAGGAAGGGAATTTGACAATAACTAGAAAAAAACTACATACACATTTTTCCACCCAGTGATACTATAAATTTACCTTGAAGATACAGCCTTAATACAAAATACATCTGAACAAGGTTATACAATGCGGTATTATCTGTAATTGCAAAATGTTACAATGTTAAGATGTTGACTCACGTAATGAAGTGCCATACAGCTCTCAAAAAAGGAAGAGAAAGTCCCTAGAAACTGACATGGAGTGATTTCCAGGACACGCTGTGTAGTGGCAAAAAGCAGAGTGCAGAGGAGCATACCTAGTATACTATCTTGCCATGTAAGAGCAGGATATAAGAAAATAACATGGCTGGGCGCAGTGGCTCACGCCTGTAATCCCAGCACTATGGGAGGCCGAGGTGGGTGGATCACGAGGTCAGGAGATCGAGACCATCCTGGCTAACACGGTGAAACCCCATCTCTACTAAAAAATACAAAAAATTAGCCGGGTGTGGTGGTGGGCGTCTGTAGTCCCAGCTACTCGGGAGGCTGAGGCAGGAGAATGGCGTGAACCCGGGAGGAGGAGCTTGCAGTGAGCCGAGATCACACCACTGCAACTCCAGCCTGGGCGGCAGAGCGAGACTATGCCTCCAGAAAAATTAAATAAATAAATAAATAAATAAATAAATAAATAAATAAATAAATAAACATGTATCTCCTTATTTAAAAAAAAAAGAAAGACAAGATATGCCTGAAAGTAATGAAACACAAGGCAGCCTGGAAACAGGATTGGGGAGATGACATGACTCTAGCTTTATACAGTTTTGACTTGCAGAACCACATTAATAACTTACATACTCATAAAAGAAGAAATAAGCAAGGATAAGAGAGCCCTGCAACGGAACAGAATACAAACTAAACACGTGAACTTGAGTACAGTGCAAATAACAGCCCGGAACAGAGGGGACAAAGCCCACCCAAGTAACTCTGACCATGGCATCTACACCTGACTCCACCCCTCAGTCCACAGGCAGAAAATAACTGGGAACAGATAGTGAATTCACGTGAGAAAGTTTGTTTACGATGGTACGAGACGGCAATTCTGAATTTACTTCCTGTGTATTGTGGCACCAGGCAACTGAGCGGCATGTTGAGGATGAGGGAGTCAATGCCAGGAGCCGACATCTTGGCTTCTAAGTCCCATTCTGTAGAAAAGGAACCAGGGCTCCTTGGAAACGTGGCTGATGCCAGGACTTGAGCCATGCGGGTAGAATATGAGGCTGCTCCACCTTGTCGTGCCTGAAAGCAAGGAATTGCTCAACAGTGAAGAGAACACATAAAACACATGGACAGGAGTGAGCTTGGAGGGTGGCAGCGAAATCAGGGACAACTGGAGCATCAAAATAAACAATGACAGTAGCAGATGATTGATGGGATAAAATAAGAATTTATTTTAGAATGATATAAAGGAATGAATGAAGGAATGAATGGGGGCGAAGGGAAGAAAAACATACAATCAGAAAACCAGCATTTGGCAACCATCACGATCATAACTGATGTGGGCAAGAATTATCCATGGTTGCAAAACCAGCACAAGGAACAGGGTAGGCACAGAGCCAGAGTCCTTATTACTTACAAAGGGAAAACAACTCCGCAGCGGAGAAATGTGGGGACGCCATCTTAATCAAGGTCAAAATGAGTATGGCCAATCATGGGACAAAATGCCATCAGCACCTCCGACAGCACCTGAGGAAGCCCCAGTATCACTTCTGCAGCCCTCCTGCCACAGATGCTTGCCCTGCTCTTGTCGGGAGAAGACAGGAGGAAAACGCAAACTGAGGATTAGAACTGAACTGGCCCGCATCCTTCAAAAATGGCCAGACTGAGAAAGCAAAGCTGAGGAGGATGAAGTGCCATCAAAAAGCCGTGTGTAGTCCGGGGTCCGCTCCCAGGCCAGTGCGGAGGCTGCCACAGACGGAGCTGAAACAACTGGCTAAGAAATGAATTCGATCAGCTGAGCGCTTGGCTCGCGCCTGTAATCCCAGCAGTCTAGGAGGCCAAGGCAGGAGGATGGCTTGGTTCCCAGGAGCTCAAGACCGGCCTGGACAACATGTTGAAACCCCATCTCTACAAAAAATAAATAAATTAGCTGGGTGTAGTGGTACGTGCCTGTGGTCCCAGCTACTCAGGAGGCTGAGGCAGGAGAATCACTTGAGCCCAGGAGTTCAAGGCTGCAGTGAGCTATGATGGATCACACCACTGCACTCCAGCCTGGGGAACACAGCAAGACGCTATTTTTCTTTTTTTTAAGAAAAAAAAAGGAAACAAATTAGAACACAGGACTGAATCAATGTTATATTTCCTAATTTTGATAAATGTACTGTGGTTATGTAAGAGAAAGTCCTTGTTCTCAAACTCTATAGACTCAAGTATTCATGCAAAATCACTAAGTCAGCAGGGCCACGCTCCCTCTGGAGGCCCTGGGGCAAATCCATTCCGGCCTCTTCCAGTTTCTGGTGGCCGTGGGCACGCCTCGGTGTTCCTTGGCCTGTGGCCACATCACTCCCAGCTCTGCCTCAGTCTTCACATGGCCTTCTCTTCTGTCTGACTCAAAGCTCCTCTGCTTCTCACTCATAAGGACACCCGTGATTACATCTAGGGCTCACTCAAATAATCCAAGATAAGCTCTCCCTCTCAACAACCTTAACCTGGCTGGGTGCAGTGGCTCACACCTGTAATCCAGCACTTTGGGGCTGAGGCAGGCAAATGGCTTGAGTCCAGGAGTTCAAGACCAGCCTGAGTTACATAGGGAGACCCCTGACTTTACAAAAAAATTTAACAATTAGCTGGGTGTGGTGGCGCAGGTCTGTAGTTCTAGATACTTGGGAGGCTGAGGTGGGAGGATGGCTTGAGCCCAAGAGGTCGAGGCTGCAGCGACCCATGATTGCACCACTGTACTCCAGCCTGGATGACAGAGCGAGACTTTGTTTGGGGTGGGGGGGGGGACCTAATCACATCTTTCACCACATGAGGTAATATTCACAGGTTCCAGAAAATATGATGTGGCTAATCTTTTGGGGGGCCAACGGTCAGCCTGCTACATCATTTTAAAGAACTGATAAGATTATATCACATCAAATACAGGAAGATTCCACATCATTTACCAATATTCTAATACACCGAGAGAATATTTAGACAAATTCATTCTTCCTCAGTGTTCATGACAGGAGAGATTGTAACTACGTTTATTATCTAATTTTTCAGCCAAATATTTAAGAATCAAATGAAATTCAACCTCAAGAAGGTGTAAGAGACGTACACCTCATGAAGGTGTAAGAGACGTACACCTCATGAAGGTGTAAGAGACGTACACCTCATGAAGGTGTAAGAGACGTACACCTCATGAAGGTGTAAGAGACGTACACCTCATGAAGCTGTAAGAGACGTACACCTCATGAAGGTGTAAGAGACGTACACCTCATGAAGGTGTAAGAGACGTACACCTCATGAAGGTGTAAGAGACGTACACCTCATGAAGGTGTAAGAGAACTAGAAATGTTGAACCACACACACAGAATTGGTCCTCGATACCGCACCACCGGCCTTCCCTACACTCCCCGCAGCACTCGAGAACTCACCCACAGCGCGAGGTGCCCCTGAACTGTCACCTGCCAGGGACAGCAGCGGCATGAGGAATGCACACAGCACGCACGCACTCTAGCAGGGCAGTGTGAGGACGGAACGAGAGCCGCGGCCCCGCAACTTTCTGCCATGAGGCCCAGACAGCACCAGTGTTTCCACAACTCAGGCACTCTGCTCTTTATTTAGTTTCAGGTGACTCTAAAAGATGCTCTTTTCCTAGGAGTTATCGATCTGAATAAAAAAATAAAGCGAGACACTCCACTGCCAGCATTTGGAGGTGGTGTTTTGCTGACTGACACTAACTGGCCTCCGCAGAACACGTGGCAGGTGCTAAAGAGAAGATGCCAAACCAACCCCTCCCTCCATGAGCCTGGACTCCAGTGCGCCAGGCCCCTCACCTCTGTCAAACCCATGCATGCCTTGAAGCCCCGTCCTGAGTGGCTGTCTCCCCTGTATTGACAATGAGCCTCACGGGCTCCCTCTCCTCTTCCGCCTGTGTGTTTGCTGTTGTCTCCTGGTGAAAACCAAATGCCAGCTGAACACGAAGGCCACATTTCAAAGCCCATCTGCTGGGTCTAGAGAGGGTCCATGTAACCTGTTCACAGACGAGCCCAGCACATACGTGCGACGTGGGATTTTATACGCGGATCTTTGCCTCGGCACGCAGGACCACTTGCAAAGGAGCTGTATTTCTCCTCTGTCACTAACTAAATCCCCTGGGATGCAGCATACAAGATGCAATATGTCACTCATTGGCTGATCTAACAATTTATCTAACAAACAGGGAGCCCTGAGTATTTTCTAGGCATGGTTCTGAGTTTTTGTCTGTTTGTTTGTTTTTTGAGACAGAGTCTCACTCTGTTGCCCAGGCTGAAGTGCAGTGGCTCAATCTTGGCTCACTGCAACCTCTGCCACCTGGGTTCAAGCGATTCTCCTGCCTCTCCTGAGTAGCTGGAATTACAGGCACCTGCCACTGCGCCCAGCTAATTTTGTATTTTTAGTAAAGATGGGATTTCACCATCTTGGCCAGGCTGGTCTTGAACTCCTGGCCTCATGATCCACCTACCTGGGCCTCCCAAAGTGCTGGGATTACAGGCTTGAGCCACCGTGCCCTGCTGATTCTGAGTATTTTAACAAACCCCCTTCAGAGGCACAGCACCATCATCCTGTCATTCTCTTCTAGGATTCCAGTTAGAACGGAATAAGTCAACAAGAAAGAAAGGGGGTTCTAGACTTGAGATGGGGCTGAGGTGAGACAATGAACAGGGAGTCTGAGGTGCAGGGCTGGAGTTCTGGTGAGAAGATGTGCCTGGAGGAAGAGAGCAGGAGCCTGGCAGTCTGAGGTCCTGCACAGAAGAGCCAGCAGGCTGAGGAGGGCAAGAGGAAAAACAAGTAACTGTGACCCACTTGGGGGTCTTGGCCCTGACCGAGAACTGGAGGTTCCTCTCCAGGACAGGGACCATGGGGGCTCCATCCCTCTCTCTGGACTCTGGGGGAGGTCTTCCTCTCCAGGACAGGGACCATGGGGCTCCCTCCGCCTCTCTGGGCTCTGGGGAACCGTGGAGAGGACACCTCACCCAGCCTGGGAGTGGAATTGTTAACCCTGCCTCTTGAGATGCTGGAAGAATTGGGAAGAAGAGAAAGCAGAGAAAGGAAGGCTGTGTAACTGACAAGATCTGGGCATACTTGAGGCAGAACTTTGAATGACAACAGCTAAACTGAGCTTCAAATAAATACATAAATATTAATTCTGAAGACACTTCAACTCCTTACAGCTATAAACTATTTATGGTTTACTTTTTCACAACCTGCCTTTTTCAAAACAGGATTTAAGTTAGTAAATAAGCTATTCTCAGAATAATAAAAATTTAAAGTTTGCAGGCTCAAAAAATAAGCTAAGAGAAACAAAAAGGGAGGGAAAAATGACAGAAATTCTTAAGTTTAAATGCATTCAAACGGGCCTGTAAAGGCATCTTACTATTCCTGAGCCGAGTAAAAAGGAAACGAAAACTTAGAGTAACATGATTAACCACCACCCCCCAAAAATCTTTTCTACGAGGTGAGGAATGAGGAGAACGTGGCTGTGCGGAAGCCTCTTTCCTCCCGCCCTGTGCCTGAGCCAGCCGACTGCCCTCCAGGAAGTGAGCCTAGCCGTCAATTCACAAAAGACCTGCCTTTCTTTTTTTGTTTTTGGAGATGGGAGTCTCACTCTGTCACCCAGGCTGGAGTGCAGTGGCACAATCTCGGCTCACTGCAACCTCCACCTCTGGGGTTCAGGCCATTCTCTGCAACTTCCGCCTCCCGAGTTCAGGCAATTCTCCTGCCTCAGCCTCCCGAGTAGCTGGGATTACAGGTAGCCGCTGCGCCCGGCAGAGACCTGCCTTTCATGCAGAGGAAAGAAAGGGGATAAGGAGTAATCAATAATGGACAGTGTGAATAATCAGAAGAAGCAGAGGCCACTTCTTGTGAAGAGCGAGAGAAATGCCCTGGAAGAGAAACGAAGCCACTGTTGGAATAAAACAAACACAAACATCGCCCCCACCCCACACAGCAGTGAAAGCCACTGGCTTGTCGGGCATGGACAGCAGAGGGCTGCGATGACACACACAGACAGAGAGCATCTCTGGAGGGCCCCAATCCACGCACACTGAGGAGTCACTGAACCGGAAAGATCGCAAGTGACTCAACACCACGATACTGCAATCCCAGGGCGCCGCTCCTTCCACCTTCTTCATGCATTATTTAAAAACCCAAGAACCAACAAACAACTGCACAATCTGAAGTTAGAAAACGTGAATGGGTGACTGTCTATTCTGAGTCAGGCGTTGCTCTGGCTCAAGTATAAACAGGCATAACCACTGCTTTCCTTTCTTAATTTTTATCTTGAAATAATTTTAGATATTCAGCAATGTTGCAAAGCTAGTACACATGGCCTTAACCCAACATGCCCGACCATTAGGTCTTACATAACAATAGTATAATTAACGAGACCAGAAACTCATTTGTACAATACTATTTGTTTGTTTTTTGTAGAGAAAGGGTTTTGCCATGTTGCCCAGGCTGGTCTCGAACTCCTGGGCTCAAGCCATCTGCCTGCCTCAGCCTCCCAAACTGCTGGGATTATAGGCATGAGCCACCACACCCAACCTGTGGTTGTCCCTGTCTACAGGACACTAAATTTCCCCTGCTGATTCTTCTTCCTTTCGCCATCCACCCATATGTCAAAAGGTCCTTCTCCTTCCTTTTTGTCTTTTTCTGCTGCAAACTTGTACCTATAATTTTCTGTCAACTACCTACAACCCAAGGTGGACAGAGCCTTGTGGTAGTGGGGAGATGGAGAACATCAGGAATTCCATGTTGGATTGGGTGTTACCTCTTTTTACGATTTTCAAGTTGGAGTATATTGTGTCTTTCACACTGAGGACATGGCTTTTACAAAGTTTACTTTTCTCCTTCTTGTTCTTCTACATTATTCTGGAGGAAATACTTTGGAGACAGGAACCTAAGACACAACCATTTCATCAGCTACCTGGAAGTCCCCATCCCTTATTTTCTAGAAGACTAGAGACCAGTGAGCAATACTGATATCAATCCTGCTACCACGATCATCGCAACAACACACCATACAGTTGAAGACAATGATGGAGTAGGAATCATATCCTGTGAAAGAATAAAGGAGTAGATCTTTCTTGGGGTTTATTTTGTTATTCTTTTGTAAGGTAGAAAGGATTAAGGATTTAGGAACAGTTTCCAAAGAAAATGACATCAACAGCAAGACTCGATGCATGAATAGAATTTAACAAGTTGAGGAAGAGAAAACTGCCCAGCAAACGCCTGAAAAGGTGGAACACACTGAAATGTCAGCAGTCAGGCTGCAGTCTGGTGAGAGGGAAGGTGGGAGGTGAGGCTGGAGTCTGGTGGGAGGTGAGGCTGGAGTCTGGTGGGAGGGAAGGTGGGAGGTGAGGCTGTGGTAGAGAGCAGGGACCAGATCAAAAGCAATTTTTCCTCCCAGGTAAAGAGTTTAGACTTTGTACTGGGGCCAACGAAAAGCTGTTAAAATGCTTTAAGCAGGCCAAAATCCCTCTCAAATGAAACCTAGAATGTCTCCAGAGTGGAGAGCAAGTGCCAAGTTTAGGAATTACTGTTCAGTTTTTGGGTTACACTTTCTTTACTGCACTTCAAAGACATGGAGAAGAGTTATGACAGCTGAAGAGCATAGAATTGAAGCATAGATTGTGTCTCTCAGAGCACACTGTCAAAGGCAAACGTTAACATGGCAGTTAAAAAAGAGGTATATTCACTGCTAAAGATGAGAAAATGATTATTTTTCTTATCACAATAAGAGCTCATCACAATAAACAACCAAAAGAACAACATGGCATAATGCAACAGCGTGCCCCTGAGAGCAGCCTTCCCGCCCTCCCAGGTCCACTGGCACGAGGCAGTACCTGCTCAGGAGGTGGGAACCGAAGTCCCTCACCTTTCTATATGTTTGGGTTTCCGGGATCTACCTGAAACTGATTATTAAAATACAGCTCTCCCCCACACGGGTGACTTTATGTCAGATGAGGCGGCACTAGGTAAAGGCCACCAGGCTGCAAATCAGGATGCCTGGTCCCGCTGTGCCCTGGCTAGCGATGAGCCCTGCACCTCCCTGACTCTGTTCTCCATGAAATACACAGGGACAGAGCCTGAGGCCACTGAGGCCTGCCCGGTTCTGCTGCAGTGGGGACCGCAGTTCAGCCACCACGCAGGCTTCCAGGCCTGGAGAAGCAGCCACCCTGCTACTTTACTTTTGGTTGCAGTTAATTAGCTAATGCTCCACCTCAAAATCCAACTGTATGCAGTATTCCGACCCTGCAGACCCCTCCAGATGCTGGCACACCCGGTCCAGCCTCACTCACTGCGGAGACAGGGCACTGGGTGCAGAGGCACCCAGGAGCTGGTGCTGCCTCATCTGCCCTCAAGTGTCAATTCCAAGACGACCCACAGCGCTGATGTCCAGAGGTCCCGGGGGCCCTGATGCCTGGTGCTGGCTACCCCGGAACAGAAGAGCTGCTGGTTTCTTGACACGCTGGCCATTTTGTTTCTTTTGATACTATTTCTGAACTGTCATTTAAATCAATAGCCGGGGGTGACTCCATCTACACAGTGATTCACTTCCCTCAGAAACTTTTACATTTAATCAAATCCCATTCGCCATTCATCTTTACTTAACCACTTCTAACCTACTGGAACTTTCCATATCGATAAAGCAGCAGTAGGACATTACCATTTTGCATAAACACGACAAACTCCTTAGCCTCACACTAAGCAAAGGCTTGCTGACCTATCAATTTCCAGAATTACCTTCAATTCTTAGTAAACAAAACTATCCACCTAATGCGTATAATAATTTATCACCAGAAATGGCTACACTTGATACTAGACACTCAGCTACATTTTCTATTTCTTTCAGAATTGTCTGCTTGTACACCTTTCAGATTTTGTGATTTAGTGAAATTCACACTCTCAAAAGTATTTCATCATACCTCTTAAGAGTAGGCTCTTGAAGAAACAAGCAAGGAAATCACATCTGCGGTAATAAAAAGACCACAAGCACAAAATGTCCAGCAATGTGGTGGATTCAGGCTCCAGGTTCCTCTCACTAACAAGTGAAAATGCTTGGAGGTGGGGGGCAGACAAGCAGGCAGGGGCACGTTCTGAAATTCACGGATGTGCTGGTGTGAGAGCAGTGAAGCTGGGGCCAGCCCGGTGAGCAGAGCAGCCGGGTTCTGCGGGCCCGAGCCCGGTGAGCAGAGCAGCCGGGTTCCGCGGGCCTGAGCCCATGAACTGGAGTGGGGCGTTGCAGTCATGGGCGGCCTGAGGGGCAGGAGGCAACGCCCAAGGCCCGTGCTGGCATGGTGTCTGAGGGAGGGCATCCCTCCAGAAGAGTGGGTGTGCAGAGGGCTGCAGACGCAGAGCAAGGTTTACCCGAAAGTAAACCCACCCCACCGGGGCACTGCAAGGAAAAGTTTCTGCCCCTCAGCCTAGTAATAAACAGAGAGGAGGGATGGCTGGCCTTGACCCGGGTGTGATAGAAAACCTCAGACTGTCAGGACCTGTAAGCACTTGATAGAAGCAAACTTCATAGTCCTAAAAGAAGCCAACTTCATCCCAAGCTTCAAAGATTTCACATACTTCAATTTCAAAGGAAAATAACTGTCAAAATTTAAAAGGACATTAGGAAACAGGCACCATGACGAACAGCCAACAAAAACTGTAGCTGAATCAGATACAAAAAGACTTCAGACATCCAAATCAGAAATAAATAACTATACAGAATTTGTAAGAAAAAAAACAACTTAAAATGAAAATGGAAAGGCTTCAAAACAGACTGGACATAGCTGAACAAAGAATCTGCGAACTGAGAATCATCCTAAATCTCCAACACTCTCACAGCTTCTCACAGCGTGTCTCCTGCCCTTCTGAAGCCAGGGGTGACTGAGTCCTAGTTGGAAGCAACTGGTCACCTGAGTATTCTACCTCCACGTCAGGACGATTCATTTCCATATTCTTAGTGTATATTTGATCATATCCCAAGATGGGTGGTATTGTCATTTACAAAAGTGTCTTGATCTTGTTAGACCTTATGTTGAGAAGTTGTTTTTTTTTTTTTTTTTTTTTTTTTTTTTTTTTTTTTTGAGACAGAGTCTTGCTCTGTTGCCCAGGCTGGAGTGCAGTGGCGCTATCTCGGCTCACTGAAAGCTTCGCCTCCCAGGTTCATGCCATTCTCCTGCCTCAGCCTCCCAGGTAGCTGGGACTACAGGCGCCGGCCACCAATTTAGAACCAATTCAGAAGGATTACAGAAAACTCCAAAGCAAATGCATTCTCTTCTGGGCGTGGTGGCGAGATTTTAGCTAAGCTCAGGTAGAAAAGAAGAAACTCAGCATCAGCCAGGATGGCGCCTATGCCAGAGGCTGTTCGTTTTCCCCAGTATCCACCCCACCCTTCCATAACTAGAATCCCCAGTTCTTCATTTGCACACAGGGTCACCTAGATATTTTCCAGCCTCCCTGTGAAAGTGCTGAGTGTAACTTTTAAGAAACATCCTTAAAGGAAAACAGTGGGGTCTTCTTCCCTACTTCTTCTTTCCGGAAAGGTGAAATGTACAAAGGGTTTTCATGTTCAAGAAAAAAAACTATGCACGTACTTCAAAAAACATTTTGCCCCAAAATAAACTTATACTAACTTGTTCCATAACATGTGTAAACAGGATCTAGTTTGAGACAGTAAGAAGGATAAGATATTAGTTTGAAAGGAGCCCTTATCAGAGCAACACAAATTCCGCTAAAATTGAAGCAAGAACAAACATCAAGTTTATAATGAACCTTGGGTGGGAGAATGGTGAAATCATTGGTGCTTTACAAAAAGTTGATGGGGGCAATGCACCAAAGAAATCAGTAGTTTTCAAGTGGACAATTAATTTTAAGGAGGGCCAAGATGATGACACTCTCAGTGGCAGACCAACCACACCAATTTGCAAGGCAAGACTTCATCTAGTTCATGCCCTAAGTGAAGAGGACTGACAATTAACAACACAAACAACAGCCAGTATCACAGACCTCTCCATCGCGCTTACACAATTCTGACTGAATAATTACAGTTGAGCAAACTTTCCATTTGATGGCTGCCAATGCTGCACTCAGATGAGCTGCAGACCAGAGCAGAGCTTTAGACAGAAATCTCAAACAAATGGGGTCAAGACCCTGAAGGATTTCTTTGAAGAATTGAAACAGGAAATGAAACACGACTTTCCCAGCAGATCCTGAAGACAAACCACAATCAAAGCGCCGGCTACCAAGAAGTGGCTCCATCAAAGCAAGAGCAATCTGGATGACAGCGAAGGTCACGGCAACCGCTCTTTGAGATGCTCAAGGCATTTTGCTTGTTGGCTTTCTGGAGGCCAAACAACGATGACAGCTGCTTGTTACGAGTGTTTGAGAAAGCCTAAGCTTGAGCAGAAAAATGCCCAGGAAAGTGTCACCAGGGAGCCCCCTCCACCTCCACAGTGATAACAGTGCTCCTGCTCATTGCTCGCATCCAAAACAAGCATCCAACAAGGGGAACTTTGTGACAGTTTTCATGGGAAACAATCATTAAAAATCTGCCTTACAGTCCTGATTTGGCTCCTTCTGACTTGTTTGTTTCCTAATCTTTAAAAAATCTTTACAGGAAACGTATTTTTCCTTCTGTTAATAATGTAAAAAGAGGGCTGGGCGTGGCGGCTCACACCTATAATCCCAGCACTTTGGGGAGGCCAATCACCTGAGGTCAGGAATTTGACACCAATCTGGCCAACATGGTGAAACCGCATCTCTACTAAAAATATAAAAATTGGCCAAGCGTGGTGGCACACGCCTATAATCCCAGCTACGTGGGAGGCTGAGGCATGAGACTCGCTTGAACCCGGGAGGTGGAGGTTGCAGTGAGCCAAGATTGCACCACTGCACTCCAGCCTGGGTGACAGAATGAGATTCTGTCTCAAAAAATAAAATAATGTAAAAAGACTGTATAGACACAGTTAAACTCCTAGAACCCTCCGTTCTTTAGGGACAGATTAAATGGGTGGTATCGTCATTTACAAAAGTGTCTTGATCTTGTTAGACCTTATGTTGAGAAGTCTGTTTGTTTGTTTTTTGAGACAGAGTCTCGCTCTGTCGCCCAGGCTGGAGTGCAGTGACGCGATCTCGGCTCACTGAAAGCTTCACCTCCCAAGTTCACGCCATTCTCCTGCCTCAGCCTCCAAAGTAGCTGGGACTACAGGTGCCTGTCACCACACCCGGCTAATTTTTTCTGTTTTTAGTAGAGACAGGGTTTCACTGTGTTAGCCAGGATGGTCTCGATCTCCTGACTTCGTGATCTGCCCGCCTCGGCCTCCCAAAGTGCTGGCATTACTACAGGCGTGAGCCACCGCGCCTGGCTGAGAAGTTTGTTTTTTATTTTTATCTTTTAATTCTTTTTTTGCATGAACTTTTTGAAGTCCCCTCATATATGCAATGGCTGGAGCTTGAGCAGCCATCTTGGACAATGAGGTAACCATTTAAAAAAAAAAAAAAAAAAAGAACCTTTGCACAGCAAAGTAAACATAGGAGGAGCCCGAGGCCTTGCTATGCTGGAGCACTAAACAGCCTTGGAATGACTACTTCTAGGGAATCTTAATGTGAGTGAACAAACTTTAATTTGAGTTACACAATTGTTATTTCCTCTCCCCTGTAACTCTCAGCCAAACCTAATCTTTATACTGTGAGCATAAAGAGATCTTAACCTGACCTTCACAGAGGAGGTATCCAGGGCCACTGTTCCTCTCCAGTATCCGAGTCAGAACACTTCGTAATATAGTATCTGCTCAAAAACTTACCTTGTGATATTAGCCCTTTCTTTAAAATAAAGATAAATCAACCTACGAACCATTGTATTTTAAAAAGAAGCAATAGATTCAATGTACAATGGAAATAGCTACTGGCACCTAGCCAGGGACATTTAATGCTACAACAGCTACTTGGAAATTAAGCCTCCAGTTATATATTAAACAATGACAATAATTGCCTCCTTCAAAAATTCCACGGTCATCTTTGTGCGCAAAGAACACCACGCACACCACAATCCTTTTCCCCTACTGGTTACACCTATTTCAAAACTGAGAAGGTGATTCTACTGCCAAATGGAATGACTAGTGACCAGAAGACCATAGGTCAGCCTAGAAAGAAAAGGAAGGCTGCAGATGGCATGCCTGGAGAAGTGTGCTCACTTCTCCAGTAAGCCCCAGGTTCCCTCACAACTATGCAAAGCTGCTTCTCTTACCATTATTTGAAGGATTTTTGAAAGTATCCCCCTTGTAATATGAGTGGACCCCCTTCCCCAACCGACTTAAGTTCTTTTTTAAAGGAATGCTAATCTGTCGAAAATCGTTACAAAAACATGACTTGTGCCTGCAGTATTCTACTCAGCACTATTGACAGAGAGGGCAAATAGACACATCAAATGTCAAGAGCAGGAGGAAAGAAACCAATAATTAGAGAGTGTTCTGGCAAGAGGAAAGAAGAACCCAATAATTACAGAGTGTTTTGATTTAACCGAGATGCTTCAGCAGGAACACACTCTCTCTCTCTCACACGCACGCCCATAAATTTGATTATCAGGAACATTGGCGCTTCCTACTGTGCCGAGCCTGGAGGAAAGGCCATCGGCTGCCGGGCAGCACAAGGACGAAGAGCACAGGCTGCAGAGGGCACTAAAGGCCAGGAGGGGCCCGTGGAGCAACACGGCAGAGATGGTGAGCCCAGAGGAAGCAGGATGTGACTTGGACTCTGAGAAATGAAAGAAAAAGAAGAGAAATTCAGGATACAGCAAAACAGAAGAGGAAATACTGGGCCACGCTCCAGGGCCCACGCTCTTCCCAGGGCCAGGTGCTTTAGGGGCTCAATATGGAGGCAACCGACCTCCAGGATCACTGACCCCGGCGAGGATAAGTTCCAGTGTGCAACCCAGCTCCACCACAGAGAGGGTAACAAGGACGAGCGTGTGCTCCCCTAGGACCAGGGAGAATCCATTCCCCTGACCGAGGAGACCCTTGTGGCTACCGGGGAGGGTTTATGCTTCAGAGTAATCAGAAATGAATGTGGGGGGGAGTTGGGGGGCTGATTATCAAGGGTCCCACAAATTCAACAACTACTGTGTGTCGTCTACAGGCAAACGCCAGGTGCTGCTACACTACACATCTATCGTATACCAGAGCTGAATGCGTGTGTGGACTGCGGATGACCACCTGGCCGGGAGCTGTAGGTACATCTGTTACCAAATGGATTACAATTTCTGGCCTCCTACAGCTCACAGTCAAGTGGGGAAGAGACCCTAAACACAATAAATACGAAAACTGCACAGTGTGTGAGAGGTAGCGAGTGCCATCAAAAAAATAGGGTACAAATAGAAAAAGACGAAGCAGCGGGCAGGCGTCATGTCAAAATCGAGTGCTGACAGCAACGCTCCGGATGGTTAAAAGGCTTAAAAAGGTCAGAAGCAGAAAATCTAATGGCAACAGTGGCATGACAGTGAGGCTTAAGTATAAAGACTGAGAATTAGAACAAGGAGTGGGAAAGGAGAGGGAAGGCGCAAATTCCCGACACGGACAAGGGACGGGTAGGACCTGGTGACTAAGTGGATGGTGATAAAAGAGGGACAATTTAAAGGTGATGTTCTCTGTATTATGGTCGGAAATGAGACAGTTGTGACAAGAAACTGGCTTAAGGTCAAACCTTACAGTGAACAAGAAACCAAGAAACCCGGAGTCCGGTCTGCAGTCGATTTCACTGAGCAAGTCACTTTCTCTGTCCCAGCCCCACCACCTTATCTTTCAGATGAGGGTAATGGTTTTAAACTATTATTCAGATCTCTTGTACATCTAAAGCTTCCAATTTTAGGATGAATTCCACTCAGACAAGACAAATCTAAAGATACCTGAGTGATGTTGTAGACTGTCTCAAATACACAATTTGAGCAAAGACAGAGGCCAGGCCTAAAGAGGCATTCAGAAATCAAACATGAAAGTGACGACTGAAGAACAAAAAAAATGAATTATTTGAATAAGTATCAGAAGTATCAGGAAAAAAAGGAAGGGAAGAGGAAAGAGAGATGATCCACAGAGGGGAAGAGCTCCTGGTGCAGAAGATTGTCCCTCCATGGAGAGGTCTGGGGGTCACCAGAGCGCAGGGGAGAAACATAACAAGGCGTTTTAAGAGTGAACTACTGGGCCGGGCGCGGTGGCGCACGCCTGTAATCCAGCACTTCAGGAGGCCAAGGCGGGCGGATCACCTGAGGTCAGGAGTTCAAGAACAGCCTGACCAACATGGAAAAACCCCATCTCTATTAAAAATACAAAATTAGCCGGGCATGGTGGCGCACGCCTGTAATCCCAGCTACCCGGGAGGCTGAGGCAGGAGAATCGCTTGAACCTGGGAGGCGGAGGTTGCGGTGAGCTGAGATCGCGCCACTGCACTCCAGCCTGGGCGACAAGAGTGAAACTCCGTCTCAAAAAAAAGAAAGAATGAACTACTGTATGCAACAGGGATGAGGTCAGGGAAGTTCCCCAGAAACCACTGGTGCTATTAATGCAGCAAGGGCAGCACTCCGGGTGTTCTGTGACTTACAGATTCCGTGCAAGGGCAAGAGAAGAAGAATTTGGACTCAGCTTTCAGGGAAGGCAGGCCAGGACCAGTGGCCTGTGCAGCAGCTGGGAAATGCCCCCTACCCACATTCCCACGCCCTAGAAAGCCCCAGAAGCCCCCAGCCCCTGGCTGCTCCTGCTGAGCCAGCAGAACGGGCAGGTCCCACCACCTCCCTCGGTGCACACTTAGGGTAGCCTGGCCTCCGGCAAGCGTGTCCCCGAGCAAAGCCCTGGCTGCAGGGGCACCTGGCTCTCCAGCCTCTGTGGTGTGAGAAGCACCCGGGAGGCAGCAGACCCACAGCACTGCCACAGCTACTAAAGCTCTTTCTTTCATTGATATTCAACTCGTCCTTTACAGAATACTGGACAGAATAAAATCTGACCTTTAAAACAGTTGTTCTTCTCTGAAATCATGGGAACAACATTCTCATGCTCAAACCCGAATGCGGACAAGCCGCTGTCCTGAGACTAAACTCCAGCAGGACCCGCTCTGCCTGTGATCCCTGGGGCAGCCGCTCTGCTGAACAAAAGGTTTCTAACAATAAACAATGAGGAATAATGACTGCCAGGTAGCTGGACAGAAAAGAGGAGATCCCTGTGACGCAAGTGACCTAAAGAGCTGGTTTTCACTTGTAAAAGCATAGGCATACGGCTGAGAACTGCTGAGGCGTGCAAACATGGGAGACGGGGGTGTCATCTTCTCTGACACTGGTCATTGTTTTATTTTGCTGTCTGCTTGTGAGGAGGTCCTTTCTCCAGAAGCCTGGAAGAATGGCCATGGCCGACTCTGGGAGAACAAGTGCATGCTGAGGGGACAGGGCGCGAAGACCTCCTGCGGCCACCTATCAAAGGCCTTTCTACAAAGAACACAAGCCTGCTCTATGACCTCAAGTAATACTTAGAACCCAGGCCTGCCAGCCTAGGAACATGATGAAAATTATCTCACTCTGTACTTTATAAAGGCTAGTAATGAGTAAAAATGGATGGAGATGGAAGAAACTTGGAGATTATCAGGCAACCTCTCAGTAGCCACCCTCCTTGACAAGTTGAACCCAAAAGAACTCACTAGGATAAACTTTGTCTAGTGGAGGCCCAACCTGCCTCTCCGCTACCCCTCAGGCCTGCTACACTAAGGGAAATGTGGTAACTGTTTACTGCTGTGGTATCTGAAACCTGCACTGAAGAACAGGGCAGGTTAGATGCCCGCGCCTGAAACCAGACGTTTCCTCTGTGCAGCTTCCATGTCATCTGTTTGCATTAAACCCCCTGTGGTTCCAGAATCCCATCTGAAGGTCGTTCTGCCCACGGCATTTTTGTTGCTGACAGAATGGCAGACCCTTGTGGATTTTCCCACTAAAATGATTTCACAGAAAGGTTAACTTTTTTCTAAATGCCAGGCTGCCGGTGGGAACCGAATGAATGAAAAGCAGTCACCTGCATTATCACAATCACAATTACACCACTCATTTCACTGAAAATCTTTCCAATCACCTCTGCAGGCTTAAGTCCAAACTGCAGTTAGTATCAAGCAAATGAAGGAGCCTCCATATTTGTCCCATGAAACCACAAAGAATACTAACATTCTCTCCCGTGTGTCAACAACTTGTTATCTTTGTCCCAAGAGACTCAGCTAAACAAAGGTCATGGGTGCGAAGGGCTTACTATTTGCTATGACTTCCACTGACATCTTTTAAATGGGAAGATAAATTATGCAACTTTATTAACTCTGGGCATCTTAAGTCAAAATAGTCAAGAAAAAGAAACTTCGAAAGTGGGATGAGTAGAAAAAAGAGCACCTCACGATGCACTTGTCAGCAAGGAAGGCGATCAAGTCCTTATTCTGTATCCACTCAAACACCTGTTCCTTATTCCAGTAGGAACAAATGCAGAGTCCAGCCTGCTCCTCTGGCTTCCACTGGAATGTCTGCTCACACTTTGCCCACCTTGCCCAGCCCTGGTCTCCCTTCGCTCCCAGCTCAGACGTCACCACCTCTATGGAGCTTCCCCCGGCTGTCCCCCTCCAGCCTCTCCAAGACCCGTCTAACTCTTCCAATGTGGTATGGACTTACTTCCCTGCCTCCCTGGGGGGCAACAAGCTGTACTGGAAAGATCAACATGCACCGGGGCAGGGATCCAGCAGAACCTACCATCAGCACTGGCACGCTGGGAAAGGGACGTGGAGACGGGAACGCCTTCCTCCCGGGGTTATTGGGAAAATCCAGGCCCTGATGAATCAGTGTCCTAACCACACAGAATGCACTCAACAAGTGCCACCTACTGCATTCCTTGAGTAGACAATTCCTGGAGTGCTGTTGGCTGGACTATAAAGCCTTCTCTGAGGATACGGTAGTGGCCTAGAAGGCTCGATCAGAGGACACGGGCAGTAATTCGCATGGCTTCTGGTCAAGAGAACTCGCCATCACCCTTCACAGACAGCATTCTTCCTTTCAAGGCGCTGCCTCAGTTTACCATCCACTCCTTAGGTGGGTTCTCGGACTGCTCGGCCACCCATCTCCCCACGAGGCTCTGCACCACTACAGCAGGGGCAATGTTGGGCGCTGCTCACAGAGGCTGAAGCACAGTGGAATCCCAATAAACATTTGCTGAATGAATGAATGAATGATGTTTATTTTCCCTATCAGACTTAGAATTCTTTGCCAGTAGGAGGTATCACTTATTGTTATATCCACAGCAACTAGCAAAGTGACGCATATATGGCCAATAATCAACATTTTGCTGCGTCCAACCAAGCAGTCATTTTCATCCTTGCGCCCTTCCTACACTCTGCCCAGGCTGTGATTAGATTCCGGGTCACTTGTTTCGGCCTCACCTATACTCACGGCAAGGACCTAACTCTTCAGGGTCACCCTGAAGACAGCGGTAGCTTGTCCTAGCACTTCTTCTAGTCTCCATCTTCTGTGTCTGCAGCAGGCTTGATCGAGGGAGAGGGAACAAGAGTCTTCTTAAACTCATAGCAAGAAGAAAGAGTAGATAATAAACGTAATTTATTTTGGCAAACCAACTTTGGAGAAGAATAATATTTTAGATAATATCAAGGAGAAAGAGTAGATAATAAACATAATTTATTTTGGCAAACCAACTTTGGAGAAGAGTAATATTTTAGGTAATATCAAATGGCAAGATTTTTACTATTTCATATTGAAAGGCATCGAAAGTATAGCTCTTTGAGGGACAGTCACTAAAAATAAAACGTTTGTCCTCCCTGCTCAGCCCACAAGTCCCAGTCAAGGCATGGTAAACATTTCACAACAGACGCAGGATACACGGGCACAGGCAGATGGGAGGGAGAGATACTCAGTGGCCTCCAGGGTTACGAGACAAACAAGACTTCCTTCATCTTTCCGACGAAGATCTTCCAAGAGTTCTTCATACTTTATATCATTTCTAAAGAAAAATTTTTGGGGGGCCGGGCGCGGTGGCTCACGCCTGTAATCCCAGCTGTGGGAGGCCAAAGTGGGCGGATCACGAGGTCAGGAGATCGAGACCATCCTGGCTAACACGGTGAAACCCCATCTCTACTAAAAATACAAAAAAATTAGCCGGGCATGGTGGCGGGCGCCTGTAGTCCCAGCTACTCGGGAGGCTGAGGTAGGAGAATGGCGTGAACCTGGGAGGCGGAGGTTGCAGTGAGCCGAGATCACGCCACTGCACTCCAGCCTGGGTGACAGAACGAGACTCTGTCAGGAAAGGAAAGGGGAAAGGAAAAGGAAAGGAAAGGACATGGAAAGGAAAGGAAAGGACATGGAAAGGAAAGGAAAGGAAAGGAAAGGAAAGGAAAGGAAAGGAAAGGAAAGGAAAGGAAAGGAAAGGAAAGGAAAGGAAAGGAAAGGAAAGGAAAGGAAAGGAAAGGAAAGGAAAGGAAAGGAAAGGAAAGGAAAGGAAAGGAAAGGAAAGGAAAGGAAAGGAAAGGAAAGGGAAAAGAAAAGAAAAAAATTTTCTCAAGAAGAAAACAAGCAGTGTGGTTAGGATGCACGCCGGTAATGAGGGGCTCCCATGCCTCCCTCCCTCCTCGCCAGGAAACTCAGGTCTTTGATGTGTAACAACCGGCAAACCACCTAATTAGGATAATGGAGAGGAAGCCCAGTAAAAACCAGAGACAGCAGGTGGGAGGAGCCACCGCACCCTCGGTTGACAACAGCAAAAACAGGTAAAGTCCTTGCCCAAAGATCTCAGTGATATCCTTTCAAATATTTTAATTGACAGATTAAAAAGAGGGAAGAAAGGAGGGAGAAAGGGGTGGGGAGAATACAGAGGACAGAAGCAGGAGAAAAAGGTCTCTGCAGCTCAGGGAGAAAAAAGCCAAAACATTTTTGTTCCTTTTGAGGAGTAATGCAGATTAAAACTATAACAACATAAATTATGTTTATATAAACATAAAATTTAGAAAAGTATATTTCACTTTGTAAGAAAAAATCCAACTCCTTCTGAAGCAAATAAACACTATAAATTTATCTCAGGCACTTTAGAGTTAACAACTCACATTGTAATAAACGGCCCATCTCCTAATCAAGCAAACTCCCAACAGCCATGATTCCTTTGGAGACTCAGACTCCCTTCGTCTTCACATCCCTTCATTAACCAACACTTCCCAAGCCTGCCAAGGTCAAGGATTCTGAGTGCTACTAAGTGCTTCTTAGGAGACCAGCAGGGACGGAGGAGGAGGTGGAAAGAGAGGCAGGAGGAGAAAAGGGGGAAGAGTGGGGTGAGGAAGAGAAGAAGGAAAGGAGGGAAGAGCAAGCACTGAAAGGGGAAGGAGGAGAAGGAGAAGGGGGCAGGCGCAGGGAGCGAGGCTGCAGGATGGTAGGCCATCGAGGAGGAGAGGGTGAAGCAGCAGCAACTTCAGTGGGAGGGGGAACACCCTAGCACATGAAGCAGAGAATCAATACTGAGTGTAAGAATTATTTTCTCAGGATTGCTTCTGTTACTTAGGGAAAAAAATAAACACAGCTAAATGCATTTGTGCTGGGCATTAAAGAAGAAATCGTATTTTTAATCATTAAGAAAGAATAGGAAGCCTCACAGCACATTTCAGGAGTCTGGAAGCCCAGCCCCCATGAGAAGGCAGACCTTCCAGGCAACAGGGCGCTCCACAGCCAAGATGGTTTGCACGTAAGAGCCCTCTGCGCTAAGTCATAAACACTCCACCACCCAAGTCCCTCCCAGACGCAGCCCTGGAGGAGGCCTGCATTTTGCTCCAACAGAAGTGAGTGACTCCTCCAAGGTTTCTGTCTCAGCCACCACAGGGTCAAGAGCAAATGCCCACGCGGCTGTCACGGGGAAGATGCAGAGCAGTGGGAGCCTGAGGACCCAGATCCTTGTGAGATGAGCCTCAGAACAAACACCCAGCGGAGGATGCTTCCGTGCCAAAGCAGGGCAGGCCAGCCCATCTTGTGCACACACCTGCTTGCACACACGCACACGCACAGAACCAGTCTCAAGCAGAGGAAGGCACAAGGCCCAATCAGGACAGGGTGAGCTCAGGAAGACAGAGGGGACTGTGACTGGGGAGGGGCTCAGAGGGGGTTTCAAAGGCTATGTCACCTTCCATTTCTTAAGCCCAGTAATGTGTAAAAGCAATTCATTCTATTATTTTCCACACGGTAAATAGATCCACGTGCACACTCCATAATAAGCACAAACATAAGCACAGGCTGCCTTCACTCCCTGCCATTCAGGAATGTGGACTGTTTGAGGGGAAATAATGTCAATATCTCACCTAATAATTCATTCAAAGACAACCAAATACCTCCCAGCTCACTGATGCCTACGCTTCCATGTCTCCAGAGTGCTGGAGGAAACTGTAAATAAAGATTCCTCTGCAGATTGCCTGGCTTTGCAAAGAAAGAGATGATTTTTGTCATTTTTGTCAATTTAGAGTGGCTTGCAAAATGTAACTGGAAACATACAACCACCCAATGACCTGCAATCCCATACACTCAAGAGAAATAAAAATATATGGTCCACACAAGACTTGCACCCCAACACTCATGGCAGCTTTATCCCTAAAAGCCAGTCACTGGAAACAGGTGCAGCGTGAACCTGTGGGAGAGGGAGGGTGGATGCACCCTGCGTGGATGTGCAGGCTCCGGGACACCCAGCAATGAGCTGCCGCCCGGACGAGTCTCAGAAGCCTCACCCTGAGTGAACGAGGCCAAACGCAAGAGCAAAAGAATACATCACATGTGGTCACTGTAGAAAAAGGTAAAAAATAAGTGAGGCCACCTGGGCAAGATTATGACAGGGAGAAAAGGCTGGCAAGGCTGATTCCACCTCCCTCCTAACCTCACAGGCGGCTGCCCTCACCCATTCCCGGATGCAGGCACAGCTAACCATGGGAGGAATTTAGTTTGCAGTTGAACTTTAAAGCAAGGATGATAACAGTCCCTCCCTAAAACTGGTCCCCTCCTGGTTCAGGGACTGAAACCACCTTTGTAAGACTATGAAAGGCCATGAGATTAGGATTATGTGAGGGGCCTGAATTCTGCTAAGATGTAGATGTCACTAATGATACCCAGCCATCATCCCTAGCTTGCCTTTCTATAATTCCTTGCTGCTCGGGAGTCGTGGCCAGGTTATAAAATTTGCGACTTCCCCAATTGCTCCTGTAGAAAACAACACATTACAAAACCTAAGACTGGAGATGTTTTTCAGAGTTTTGCGTTCTGGCAACCAACTGACCCCACCTGGACCCATCCTGTGGCCCCACCCAGAGGCAGACTCAGTGCAGAAGACCATTTTCCCCACCCCATGACTTCACCCCCCAACCAATCAGCAGCACCCACTCCCTAGCCCCGCCCACCAAATTATCCATAAAAACCCTAGTCTCTGAGTTCTCAGAGGGGCTGATTTGAGTAATAATAAAACTCCCGTCCTTCCACCTGCAAGGCTTTGAGTTAAATTCTTTCTTTACTACAATATTGCAGCCTCCGTGAATTGGTTTTGTCTGTGCAGCAGACAAGACGAACTCATCGGGGCGTTCAGTTCCATGGGCAAAACTAGCCTCTGGTGATAGGAGGCAGAAGGCGGCTGGCCTCGGCCAGGAGAAACTGACTGGAAAGGGGGCTGAGGGAGCTTTCTGGGGAGTGGAAATGATCTCCATCTTGCTTTGAGTGTGATTAAGCAGGAGGATACAACTGTCAAAACTCATCAGACTAAACACTCAAGATCTACGCATTTTACTACACATAAATAGCATCTAAAAATCGCCTGGAAAAAAGTTTTTAGAAAGGCATATGAAAAACGGGTGTTCTAAGCTTTAAGAGATTTAAAGAGACATGAAATATACAAAATGGAAAATAGAATGGCCCTTTCTGTACACCTCTAAATCTGTTGTTTTGACTGAATTACCGAGGCCCTGGTGTGCAGCGCAGTGAATCTCGAGCGGTGCAGGGTCCAAATGCCACGAGACTCGCGGCAACTCCGTTCATCACAGCCACTGTCTTGGAACCACTGGATGGATAAAAACCCATACTGGGAGAACCAGGAGGCAATAAAGAGCAACTCTCTCATGCGCCATCCTAAGAACCCACTAAGAAAGGGGGCGGGGGGTGGTGGGGGATCCCTTTCCCAGCAGCAACAGAAGCTCTAAGAAGAAACTTAACAAGATGTGCATAGGAGCGCCGGGGAGAGACTCTCCGACCTTATCGGCGGACATAAAAAGCAGAGCAGAACAGCCCAAGAAGCGTGCCACTGCCACGGGTGCAAAACACCAGGTCTCCCCAACTCATCTACAAGCTCATATCACCCCCATCAACGGCTCAACACCGTGGTGGAGAAGGGTTGTTAGTTGAGGCCTGCTAGGAGCAAGGAGAGTGAGTCCTGGGGCTCCCGCGCGACTCCTCTGCTGAGACCTAGAGAGCTGGCCTGGCGTCAGCGGCCTCCACCTCTGCCTCTCCGGCTCCGACTCTGCAATAGTGAACTGCATCTGCTCCTCACAGCCACCCGCCTTGTGCTGAGACTTGGAATTTTTCTCCTCCTCCTAACCCATCCACAATCAATACTGACATTGAGAGCAAGGCACTTCAGATCTCCCCCAAATCTTAAGATTTCACCAAGTCAGCCACGCTTACACCCTAACTCAACTCCCTCAACCCCTGCCACTTCCAATCCTGGTCCCGTGCTCAGGGGCCAGGGCCGACAGAAGATGGCAGCAGAAGAGAACCTTAAGTGTGGTAGGTCGGCAGTAAGACTTAGACAAAGAAGAAAAAGAGCCCGAGAAAGATGAGCAGGCCCAAGAGAAGGAAACGCAGCAGAGGGAGAGGAAAACCCCCAAGGGCAGCTGGGCTGGGGGTGGGGGTTGGAGCTTGACCTTGACCTTGCCTTGTTTCCAGCAGGTGAGCCAGAGCCACAGGGCATTTTAGGAAGCTGACTTGGGGTGGTATGGGGGAGGCTCCTGCTGAGAGAAGGGTGGGGAGATGGGGTGGGGAACGATGGGAATGGGGGGACCAAGGGGCTGCCTGCATTGGGGACAGTGGCTGACCATCCTTCCAGCAGTCAGTTACCATTGAGTGCGGCCAGCAGGGGTCACTTAGGGCTTGAGCGAAGGATGGGACCGCCTGTGTTGCCAGGCATGCATGGCCCTTGTTAGTCCCTTGCCGCAAAAGGGTAGAATATAAAGAAAATGGGAAACGGGGCAGGGAGTGATCATGGGTGGTGAATGGGGCTCTGGGAAGACCTGCAGGAGACCGTGTCACCATCAGACTCTTCCTTCCACTCTTGTCCCCAACTCTGCTCCTCAGAGTGTGGCCATAATTTCTATAGAACAGATGCTACTTTTTCATAAACTCTAAGGTGCCAAAGGTTGTACGATCCATCACTGTCTTCTATGTCACTAAGGAAAAAACTGCCAATTAAACTATGACATGACACGACACAACACTTTCTCTTTGGAATTTTTATCTGATACTTAGTAAGAAGAGCTATTATCAACTTACTCAGACATGTTTCTCATTTATCATTCTTTTTTTTTTTTTTTTTGAGACACAGTCTCGCTCTGCCGCCCAGGCTGGAGTGCAGTGGTGCGATCTCGGCTCACTGCAACCTCCATCTCCTGGGTTCAAGCAATTCTCCTACCTCAGCCTCCTGAGTAACTGGGATTACAGGCGCCCACCACCATGCCCAGCTAATTTTTGCATTTTTAGTAGAGACAGGGTTTCACCACGTTGGCCAGACTGGTCTCGAACTCCTGACCTCAGATGATCCGCCCACCTCGGCTTCCCAAAGTGCTGGGATTACAGGCATGAGCCACCACGCCCGGCCTCATTTAAATTCTTATATATACACAAAAGAATATTACCTGCAGGCCAGGCACGGTGGTTCATGCTCAAATCCCAGCACTTTGGGAGGCCAAGGCAGGAGGATTGCTTAAGCCCTGGAGTTTGAGACCAGCCTGAGCAACAGAGCAAGACCTTATCTCTACAAAAAAATTTTTTAAATTAGCCAGATGGTCCGGGCGCAGTGGCTCACGCCTGTATCTCAGCACTTTGGGAGACCAAGGGGCGGATCACGAGGTCAAGAGGTTGAGACCAGCCTGGCCAACATGGTGAAACCACATCTCTACTAAAAATACAGAAATTAGCCGAGTGTGCTGGTGCGTGCCCGTAGTCCCAGCTACTTGGGAGGCTGAGGCAGGAGAATTGCTTAAACCCAGGTGGCAGAGGTTGCAGTGAGCCAAGATCGTGCCACTGTATCCAGCCTGGCGACAGAGAGAAACTCCAACTGAAAAAAAATAAATAAATAAAAATAAAAATTAGCCAGGTATGGTGTCGCATACCTGTAGTCCCAGCTACTCAGGAGGCTGAGGTGGGAGGATCACTTGAGCCCAGGAGGTCGAGGCTGCGGTGACCCGTGATTGCACCACTGCACCCCAGCCTGGGTGACAGAGCGAGAGCCTGTTTCAAAAGAAAAAAAGCAGCCACAGAAACTGGCTAAGGTATTCCTAACCCTTCTTGGATTCAGATCAGAAGCCCACTCTTCTGAGCCCACTTCCCCCTCGGAGCCATGGAGCCTACATTTCACCCAGGGTCACCCTGTGTGCATGAGTGCAGCTCTTCCCTCTCCTAACAGCGCTCGGAGGCAATCTCTCGGGGACCACTCATGGGCTCCAGCCTGCAGGACGTGATGCTGCCACCACCATTCCACAATCGGGACTCAGATTCCCTCCACGGGTGAGCCCTGTGGCTCTCGGCACAAATACTGGCCTCTGTCTAGTCATGCCCTCAAGTCCACACTGTGCTGACAGCAACAGCTGAGTCCAGGCCATCAGCAGCAGTCAGACTGATGGCAACACACACCCCCCATTTCAAAGATGTTGATGTAAGGAGGGCTAGAACTGAAAGCTGATGTGTACAAGAAAAGAGATAACAAGGTGAAAATTTTCACCAGAGAACTGGAATTGATAAAGAATCGAATGGAAATCACAGAATAGAAAAATACAATGGAATCAAGAATTTGGTAGGTTGGCTAAACAGCAGACTGTGCCCCACAGCAAAGGAGAGGATCAGTGACCTACAGCAAGAAAAAAACTCGGAACAGAACATGAGAAATGTACAGGACATGGTGAAAAGGTCTAACCTATTCCAATGAGCGTCAGCAGGGGAGACAGAATGGCAGAGAACCAGTGTCTTAAGTGATAGTACTTAGAAACATCAAGCCACAGGTTCAAGGAGCACCAAAAAGGATACATATGAAGTAGTCCACAGCTAAGAACATCTCCGTAAAGTAATACAAACCAAATCAGCTGGACAGGGGGGTGCGGGGAGGGAACTTTCAAAGCACCAATATTAAGACTTACAGTCAGTGTGACGTTTTAACAGAAAGGAGATGAAGGGAAAAACACCTTTAAACTTAAAAAAAAGTTGACATAGAATTCTACACACAGCAAAAATATCCTTCAAAAATGAAATAGAGGTAAAATATGCAGAAACTAAATTGTTGTTGGCAGCCTCACCCTAAAAGAAATATTAAAGGATGTTTTTCAGGTTGAAGAAACATGACCCTGAACAGAAGGACAGAAATGCAGGAAAGAATAAAGAACATTAATAAGTGTAAAGAAGCAGATAAATCTAAATAAATATTGACTGTATACTGTGGGGTTTAAAATCCACATAGAAACTCCAACCCCATGATGTTGACACCATGCAAAGTAAAGGGGGGTGGGTAGGAGGGTTAAATGCATCAAGATTCTTGCACTGTCTGGCCAAGTGGTGCAAGTGCTAACTTCAACACTTCTCACAGTAAGGGTATGTAGTAATTTATTAGGGTTACCACGAAACAAATATGTAGCTTATGTATTCTCTGATACATCACTAATAGAAGGAGAAAATGGAATAATTTTTTAAACTGCTTAATGCAAAAGAAATCAAGAAAAGAGAAAAAATAAAGAACAGGTGAGACAAAACTAAAATAAATAGGAGGGTGGTGGATTTAACCCCAGATACACAGTGTATCAATAACTACATTAAATGTAAATGGACTAAATATTCCAACTAAAAGATTAAAAACTCCCCTATCCAGTAAATAAATGCCCCAGTAAGTCAGCCCTCCCCTGGGAATCTACAGTCCTGGCTGCATCTCCAGACAGGGCAAACTGGAGGTAGAGTGGCCACTCGACAGAACCAGCCAAAGGTCACCCAGTAAACTAAGAGCTGGTTAGTAGTATCACTGCTGCATTGCTTAGCCTTTATGCATTCAGTGAGTGCTCTGGGAATATGAAAGCAACATATTCACACTGAGAAACAGCCTTGTGAAAAAGTAAAGGAGATTTCAAAAAAAAAGAAGGAAAGTCAGCTGGTTACTTTGGCTATCAAAAGCCAAGACCTAACAGACCAAGACAGGAGTCAAAGGCATGAAAAATATCAGGTTATAAGATCCTAAAAATCTGGATTCCCTCTCCACTCAGCAGGGAGAGGTGCTGGCTGTCACCCTAACTACACTCTCCAAGGTTTACCTTGCAAAGCTGGAGCCTGCTCTTTTCTGGAGCTTGCTTCTGCCATCAGTGTAGACTCCAAGTCCCCAGGTCCAAACCCCTCCCTAACAAGGGCCCAATAAAGACCCACTGAAATCACATTCTGATCCCTAGTCAATCTGTTCTTTTTTCTCCCTCAGTTTAAAAGTAAAGAATTTCTATCAGCTGAATGAATAGAAATATATTCAAATTTAAACAAGCAAGAACAGGGCTGTGAAAACAAAGAGACTTCTATTCTTCAAATGACGAAACGCTGAGAAATTGGATTAAAATGCCCATGATAATTTAGCTGTTTTAATACTTTATGCTGGTAAACAAAGGCAAAGGAAACAGCCCTGGGCAGAGCCCCTCCTGCTTGCTCTCCCACCGCTATGGGCAGTGTCCCCGCGGCTCCCTGCCACTCAATACAAGTGTTCCGGACAGAGGAACTAGCCATCCCTGAAACAGCTCTGTCAACTAGAGGGTGATTAACACTTGCCCCTTCGATGTGAGCACTCACGTGGGCCCCATGCAAAGTCTTTCCAGCTCATCATGTCACACGCATGGCACAGAAACAAATGAGATGGACAGAAGTGAAAGAACCTACAGACAAATGTCACAACCCAAAGGCAAAAGTCCCAAGTGGCTCCGTCTGCCTCACAGTCCCCTTCCTACTCTGAGATGACACATGGTGAATAGGTATTTTAAATTAGTTGCCTATTATTAAAGTAAAAAAAATCATGGTTTTAAAACAGAAGGCACATAGAAGGGTTTTGTGTAAAAAGGTGAAAGTCCCATTCTGCATCTGCCCCAAGTCACGGTGACAGATGTTCTGTGCTTCGCCTCATTTGTGGTACTGTTGCCCCTTAGAATCAAATTTTATTCTGGAGTTAGATTCTGAAGTCAGTACAGACCTGATTTAAAATGTATTCTGAGGCCGGGCGTGTTGACTCACACCTGTAATCCCAGCACTTTGGGAGGCCAAGGCGGGTGGCTCACCTACAAGGAGTTTGAGACCAGCCTGACCAACATGGTGAAACTCCATCTCTGCTAAAAATACAAAAATTAGCCGGGTGTGGTGGCACATGCCTGTAATCTCAGCTACTCGGGAGGCTGAGACAGGAGAATCGCTTCAACCTGGGAGGCAGAGGTTGCGGTGAGCCGAGATTGCGCTACTGCACCCCAGCCTGGGTGACAGAGCAAGACTCTGTCTCAAAGAAAAAAAAATGTATTTTGACCCAATATGCTGCTTTCAAAACTAGAATCAGTCAACACAGCAAGACACCAAGAGGCGAAGGAAAATGAGAACGACTAAGGAGGCCACAGGCTGATGTCTCCCTTCCGTGTTCACTCTAAGGCATCTGAGTGAGTGGAGGAGGGGCAGATCCACCGACTTGCCCTCCATCTATCTAGGGATCTACCCACCCATGTACACATATGCCACACCCAGCTACACACATTACATATGACAAGCAGGAACGGCTGACTCCATCAGTCATATGTGCATACACTAAACCTGTTGAATACACTTTCTTCTTTTGCATTTTAAATTTGACGTATTTTAAGCTGGCACTGTGGCTCACACCTGTAGTCCTACATACTCCTGAGGCTGAGGCAGGAGGATCACTTCAGCCCAGGAATTCGAGGTTAATGAGCCATGATCACACCACCGCACTCCAGCCTGAGTGACAAAGCAAGACACCACCTCTACAAAAAAAAAAAAAAATTAAAAATTAGCTGGGCATGGTGGCACACATCTGTAGTCCCAGCTACTCAAAAGGATATGGCAAGAGGATAGCGTGAGCCCAGGAGGTTGAGGCTGCAGTAAGCTGACTGCATCACTGAACTCTAGCCTGGGCAACAAAGCAAGACCCCTCTAAAAATATAAAAACAAATCAATAAAAATAAATTTAAAAAAAACAAAAAATATGGCTCATACCTATAATCCCAGCACTTTGGGAGGCCAAGGCAGGCAGATCACTTGAGGTCAGGACTTTGAGGCCAGCCTGGCCAACATAGTGAAACCCTGTCTCCACTAAAAATACAAAAATTAGCCAGGTGTGGTGGCATGTGCCTGCAGTCCCAGCTATTCGGGAGGCTGAGGCAGGAGAATCACTTGGGCCCAGGAGATGGAGGCTGCAGTGAGCCAACATCATGCCACTGCACTCCAGCCTGGATGGCAGAGCAAGGCTCTGTCTCTAAATTAATAGATAAAGAAACTATGTTTTAGAGATCTTCCTACAACAGAAAGAAGTCTTCAATAATTTTGTGTTCTTTTCAAGTTTGAAATCCTTCAGAGGGAGGAGGATTAGAAGAGGAATGGTTTGGTAACTTTCTCTTTCTTCTATGTTTATCCATTTATTTTTCTTTACTATCTTTTCTGAGGTCAATTATGGTCATTTATATTTTCCTAGAAAATTATGCATCGCATACAAGTTTTCCAATTTATCTGCAAAGTTTTGCAAAGCACTCTTTTATGACTCTTGATTTCCTCAAATCTTGAGTTACTTCTCCCTGATTATCTGTGCCTTCTTCTTGGATTTTATTGGACTTCAGCTAAGATTTTTGTTTATAAAAATAAAACTTATAATTAAAAATTCTACACAAAAATGACTTGACTTCAGGGCATGTTCCAGTCCGGGGTAAGCAGCATGTTGATTAAGGAGCCTGCCACACATGCAACCCTTTAGAAGAGACTCTTCCTTATACAAGCCATGGGTAATCCTCCCGGTTCTGCTATGCGCTTTAAATCCTGCCACCCAGCCCTCCAGTCACAGGTGATTCTAGAGGGCAGCCTCACTCCCTCAGAACCAACCCACAGATGGGCCAGTTACACGGAGGACCACGTGAAGCTAAGCGGAGCTGATCGGCCTCTCTGGGTTGGGAAGGCAGTGGACTGCGCCGTCTTCCACGTGCTGGGCCGAGAGCCCACCGAGGGGAGCACCCTCACCACAGCCCGTGCAGCCCTCACCTGGGAGGGGTCTTTCCCGATTTCTGCCTCCATGGCTCCTCTGTTGTGCCTTAGCACCTGCATCAGTGGCCCTCAGGCATGCCCCCAGTTTTCTGTGTTTAAGACCCCACGGGGTGGGGGAATCTCCTTCTACTGTAGCCCAAAGTGAGGGTGCGACCCCCTGGCCTAGGGGCCACCATCACCCGGCACTGGATCAAGTGCACCCTCTCTCTCCTCTTGCTGGAAGTAAACGGCACCACCTGAGCCTGGCATCTGGCATCTGTTCTCAGGGACTTTGAACCACACACTCCCCTTGCCCCTGGGTGGCACTTGTCTGTCTTTTAACACTGGCCGTACAGCCTGGCCATCCAGGGAAGCATCAAACACTCTTGTGGGGGGAATTTAATCTTGAAAATCCAGCGACACAATGCAGTGGGCAGAGAGCTGAAGCTGAAGCAACAGAGGAAAGTCAGGAGGTGGTTTAGGACCAGGGACCACTAGGATGTGAACACAGCTGGCTCCTGTGGGGACCCCTGGGCCCAAGCAGATGGAGTCCCATCAAAGATGACTACATCAGAAAGGAAGGACCCAGCCCTCACACACAGGGAGGGGAAGGAACGTCCTGCAGCGTAACTGCTGAGTGGGGAGCAGAGACCCACAGGGCCGCAGCACGGCGGAGACCGGGCACTGGTGTGGACATGCACCGCCCCTCCTGCCAAGCTCCCAGTCCACTATGAGCCTCCAAGCTGCACCCAGACTTCACAGAGGCCCAGCTCCTCGGCCACTCTGCCTGCACTCACCCCGACAGGAGCTTTCTCCCGACATACACTCCAGGTGGAGAGACCACAGCTCTAAGAAAACCAAAAGACTCCTAACAAAAACACACAGGAATCTTAAGGGATTGGTATTAAATTATACAGTATATATATGATCAGTATAGTCAATAGTCAAAGAACCTCTTTTCTTTTTTTAATTAGAGACAAGGTCTCACTATGTTGCCCAGGCTGGTCTCCAACTCCTGAGCTCAAAGGATCCTCCTGTCTTGGCCTCCCACGGGCATGAGCCACGGTGCCTGGCTGAACCTCTTAACAGTTTTATGAAACCAATCTATCAAGACAAAGGCTCTTTTAAGAATTAAATGTTACCATGAGGCTCTCAGCAGACACCACACATATTATTTGGAAAGGAAACAAGTCCTCACAACAGAAATTATACCTTATTCAACTTAAAAGTCTCCATTTTGAACTCATAGAACTCAACAATAAAGACAAACAACCCAACTAAAAAATGGACAAAGGACTTGAATAGAGACTCCTCCAAATGGCCAATAAGCACATGAAAAGATGGCAACATCACTAATCATCAGGGAAATGAAAACCAAAACCACGATGAGATTCCACTTCATACCCACTAGGACTATCATAATAATAACAATGTAAGAATACAGAAAGTGACAAATGTTGGCCAGGATGTGGAGAGACTGGAGCCCTCATACACTGCTAGTAGACATGGACAAATAGTACAGCCACTGTGGAAAATAGATTGGGAGTGCCTCAGGGAGGTAAAATACAGGGTCACCATATGACCCAGCAACCCCACTAGTGGGCAGGGGCCCACACAAACACTAGCATGCACATATTCATAGCGGCATTATTCAAATAGCTAAAAGGTGGAAACCATGAAAGTGTCCATCAACAGATGAACCCATAAAATAGAAATGTAGACTAGCCATACAATGGAATGTTTTTCAGCTATAGAAAGAGTTGAGGCTGAAGCAGGATGATCACTTGAAGCCAGGGGTTCAAGACCAGCCTGAGCAATAAAGCGAGACCCTATCTCTACACATGCACACACAAGAAGGATTAAATTACTGATACATGCAATAGCATGGAGGAATCTTGAAAACATTCCAGATGCTAAGGAAAGAGCCCAGACGCAAAAGGCCACATACTGTATGGCTCCATTTGTGTGGAGTACCTAGAACAGGCATCTCCAGAGACAGAAGGCAGGCTGGTGACTGCCTGGGCCTGGGGGAGGAGAAATGACTGCCGATGGGCTTTGGGTTTCCCTTTGGGGTAAGAAAAGTGTTCTGGAACTAGACAGTTATGACAGTTATGACAGTTGCACAAGATTGCAAAGATGTTAAAAGCCAATTGAGTTGTACACTTTTTTTTTTTTTTTTTAAGATGGAGTCTCGCTCTGTCACCCAGGCTGGAGTGCAGTGGCGTGATCTCGGCTTACTACAACCTCCACCTCCCAGGTTCAAGCGATTCTCTTACCTCAGCCTCCGGAATAGCTGGGACTACAGGCACCCGCCACCACGCCCAGCTAATTTTTTTTTTTTGAGACGGAGTCTCACGCTGTCGCCCCAGGCTGGAGTGCAGTGGCGTGATCTCAGCTCACTGCAAGCTCCACCTCCCGGGTTCATGCCATTCTCCTGCCTCAGCCTCCTGAGTAACTGGGACTACAGTAGGCACCTGCCACTGCGCCCGGCTAATTTTTTGTATTTTTAGTAGAGACAGGGTTTCACCATGGTCTCGATCTCCTGACCTCACGATCCACCCGCCTCGGCCTCCCAAAGTGCTGGGATTACAGGCGTGAGCCACCGTGCCTGGCCATTTTTTAAATATTTTTAGTAGAGACAAGGTTTCACCATGTTGGCCAGGCTGGTCTCCAACTCTTGACCTCAGGTGATCTGCCCACCTCGGCCTCCCAAAGTGCTAGGATTACAGGCGCGAGCCACTGCGCCCAGCCAAGTTGTACACTTTAAAATGGTGAACTTGACGTTATGTGCTTCGTATGTCCATTTTAAAAAAATCTCCATTATGTGTCATACCAACAAGTAAATCGCGGACATTTGGGAGGGAGCTGTACAGAAGCCCTTGTGAACACCCAAATTCATGAACACCACTGTGACATATGGTTTCCCCTGCAAAATGAAATCAAGTACCGCAGACACTTTGAAGTGGCCGTCCCCCTCCAATCTGTTATTGATCGTTTCCCCCTTGATCAGCACTTTCCAATTTGGCTGGAGCAGGATTTTACAACTCTTCCTAGTTGCATATGGCGAGCATACGGTGGGTTCCTCATCGTCACCTCCAAATTTAGCTTTCCATTCTTTAACACATCACACCTTCCACTTTCTGACTTAGAAGCAGCACTTCCATCCCTCGCCTGGCACCTGCCTGTCCTTCAGAGCCATCTCCGCATCGCTCTGTATCACGGTCCCCAAGTTAACTCAGGAAACACACATGGCACGTGAGATCTGTGAAACGACAACAGCTGAGCTACAGTTTTAGTCCCCAGCCTGACGGTGGGGGGTCCTCATTTGCAATTTGTCATACACACAGACAACTCCCTTGTTAAAGGGAACATGATGATGAGAGATAATATCCTCGAGAGGCCTGTTAAGGACAGAGTTAAGCCCCTACTTCTCTCTAAAAGTATTACACTTCAAGTAGGTCAATTAATAGAGGAAGAGTCAGGAATGCAGTTATCCCCGCAAGAGGATAAAACCAGAGATAAGGCAGGATGGGGAGGGGCTTAAGGCAGCAAGACTCCTGGGCAGAATGTTCTGGGAGGGGCCTCCACCACCTCAACCATGAGGGAGAGGAAGGGATAAGGGACAGAAAGGGATGGGAAGTAAGGATCTGATGACCAACCACCATGGCCTCCCTGGTGCAAATGCTTTATATACTTTTATTCTGTCCATTAACTCTCATTTGCATGTACAAATTTTAAAAGTTTAAATAGTAATTTGTCCAGAGTTACATTTCTAAGAAGTGGCAAAGCCAGAACTAAACCAGTTCGCATTCTTTCCACAGTTAAGCTCTCCCCACCCCACCCCTCAGTGCACTGGTAGAAAGGAGACCACATTTCCCAGGGAGCTCCCCTACCAGTGAGAGGGGCGCTCCCGCCCAGAAAGGGAAGGAGCGGTGAGCCCAGCACGACTCTGCGGACCTACGAGGCAGAAGGGAGGAGGCGGACTCCACCAATCTTCCCTAGGCAGTGTTTAAACAGGCTGCGGCCCATGCTGCAACCCACTCTAGTCAACACGCGTGCTCTTCAATCCCAAATGGGCTCTCTAGTGAATCCCCTAGGTGGCCTCGGAGAGCAAGAGTCCAACACAGGGCTGGCCAGCAGGGGTCCCCTCTGGGACCAGCTCTAATGGACTGAAACCCTGAGGAGTCTAGTCACAACAGGCTGCCATCCTCCAGGAGGCTGCAGAACCATGCCTTTCTTTCATTCTTCTTTCTGTAATGTCTTTGGTGTGCCTAAAAGAATTTATAGGTCATGTCACTAAGGTATTCGGAGGGATAGCAGTAGGTGACAACACCTTTATGCTCTGGTGCAATTGGTCTAAAGAGTCCGGAATAAACTGCTTCGCATAATCTAAGCTTGCTTCCAGGAAGCTGCTTCCAATACCATGGCCTCTGGGGACAGGGCAAGGCAGGAAGTGCGTGGGCAGGGCTGACTACGAAGGCTTCTGGCTGAAGAGCATGAATCAGAGTTCTCACTGAACACGGCACGCACGTGGAAAAGCTTTCAGGCGAGAAGCACTAGAAAGGAGGGAAGACGAAGTGGGAGAGCACTGCTGAGGCCAAGGCAAAAATATAAGTAAAAACATTGATCATAGGAACAGTTCTTAACTTTCTGGGCAGTAAGCAGTTAAGTGAAACTGTCAAAGCACCACAGTTAACCCCAAGACCACCAGAAGATATTGTCTGTACCGTCCTGCAAATTTAATGAGTACACAGGCAAAGTGCTTCACACCAGGTACTGAATTATGCAAGCTGTGAGCCATCCACCCACAGTTCTGCCTTTGCCCATGAGTCCTCACTGGCAGCTTGTCACAGAAACTCAAGGTGGATGAAGCCCAACCTTAGGACCCACAGAGAAGAAAGTCAGGTGAGTTTGGGCAGGAGGAGGGAGGGCTGGCGGCAGGGCAGACAGCAAGACGGGATGGATGATGGAATGGTAATGGCATCAGGGCCGCACGCCAAGGGATGCTGCCAATCGCAATTATAGGGCCATTTTCACCAGCTGAACTGGACTGTCAATTTGGAACTAATGTCGCAACGTGAATGCCCCAAGCAGGAGTCACAGCGAGTAACGGTCCACCTTGGGCTGTTCCATGAATAGCTTTGGAGCACCTCCAGGTGTGGAGTACTGTCCTAGGGCAACTTAGCTGCTTCTTCCCCGATTATCCATATCTGAGCCTGAAAATCCTAAGAAAAGGTAGAACCCACTGATTTATGCGTCTTGACTGCATCTGTATTAGCCCATTTTCATGCTGCTGATAAAGACATAACCAAGACTGGGCAATTTACAAAAGAAAGAGGTTTAATAGACTTATAGTTCCACATGGCTGTGAAGGTCTCACAATCATGGCGGAAGGTAAGGAGGCGCAAGTCACATCTTACATGGATGGTGGCAGGCAAGAGAGAGCTCGTGCAGGGACGTGAGACTTGTTCACTACGGACAACAGCACAGGAAAGACCCGCCCCTATGATTCGATTACCTCCCACTGGGTTCCCCCTATGGCACGTGGGAATTGTGGGAGTGACAATTCAAGATGAGATCTGGGTGGGGACACAGCCAAGCCATATCAGCATCCATCTATAAAATTCATTCCAAAACATTTGGGGGTGGGGGGCACAAGGAAGCGAGTGACTTGTGCTGATACCAATTGCTTTGCCCACAAAGCAGAGGCCTGTCTAATCATCCCAGGGGAAAGAAGACAAGTGGATCTTAGAAGCCATCCATGCAGTGCTCCCCAAAGCCAACCCGGCTGCCTGACTAGGCGCCTCCCACCACACCTAGCAGTGTGAGCACTCAATACCAAGGGTTTCACAGTTTGTCACACATGGCCACATGACACTCCCTGTGAGGTGGACAGGTCAAGCAGCAGCCCCATTCAGGGACAAGGAGAAGATGCCTGGATTCCAATTATCCTCACTCCAAACCCCTAAACAACATGGAATTACACATAAACATTCAGTTCTGCAAATAACACTTGTGCCTAAAATCCAAAAGACACACCTGTTAAGTAGAACCAAAACTGCCCACCACTGGCCTTCTCAACCCCCTTGCTCCCCAAACCCCCTCCTCCCAACAGGAGGTATAGTCATCAGCTTCGGTTCATTCAAAGCATCTCATAAAAGCACACAAACAACTCTATTATCAATACCACGAAAGGATGACTGTCATTTACATTAAAATGCAATAACAATTTCTACTGGGCTAATGGACCAGATCTTGGGAGCTGTTTTGTTCTCTCCTTGAACATACTCTGCTTGGGGTTAGGCACTATAAAAAACATGTTTATCTAATGGCAAAACCAACTTTCATCCCTTAACCACAAATTAACTGTGACACATCTGAGAAGCACGGTGAACTGAAGGGAAGCTGACATTCAAAATCTGTTCACTGTAATCCACAAACCAGGGCTGTGCATGGATAAGTAAGAACTGTCCACCACATGGAAACTGACTCAACCTGACCGCTCAGCTCCCTGGAAGCCCCACGGCCGCCACACAGGACTTGCTGCCTTCACTACTCGCAGACCTGGACAAGATGAGAATGAGCTCCTACAACAACGTGGCTCCATGACTGAGGAGCGCCTTCCGCCTCCTCCCCTAGACACACCTGCCCGACGGACAGACTTGGTCAGTGGAGGCACCGCCATGCTGTTTCATCTTCCTTAGTAAATGATAGATATTCCCATAGAAACTTATTTTTAAGGCACCAGAAGAATTAAAGCTCACCCCAAGTAAAGAGGTGTGGCCTCTGCTTCTGGTGTTGTCCACTCTCTCTGGGGAAAGAAGGACACAGAGAGCGAGGCCCCTCCTGCTTGTCTTTTTCCACAGGCTCCAGCTCCTAACTTCCATCCTGTACTAAACTGCCAGTAGCCCCAATTTGTTAGAAAAATTCTCTAAAAAGATAAATTCTTCACTGTATGGTCCCAGCTTTATAATAATCTCCTACTCCCATTTCCCAATAAAACTTTCATTTGAGACTTATGATGGAATGAGTGAGGTTTTACTGCAGAATTTTCCACTGAAACAACGGTCGGCATTTTCCTCCAATCTCTGGCAGAACACAAATTTATACACCTACAAGGTAATAAGGCAAAGCCTTAAATTTAATCAGAAGAAACATTTCATCAGTGGCAAACTGATAAATTATTTAGAAAAGGGCTCAATGGGCCTAAGCAAGGAAATACGGGCCAGATAGTGGCTGGCAGCCTTCAGAAAAAAATATAATCACCATGGTTTCTCTCAATTCCTTTTGAACTGGAATCACCTATATCAAAAGCTAGAAAAATGAAGAACAAGTCCAAGCGTTCCAGCACCAGCAAGGAAATCATCAGAGGCTTCCAGACACCATTCTGGTGCAGCCGACGGGGGTTCCGGGGTTGGCTTTCTGCACCTCCTGGATGGACGCTACCGTTGAGAAAACAGGCATTTCCTACTCTGCTCCCATCCATGCCAGCGTGGAGGCAACGACTCCGACAAACTTTAATGAAAATAATCTCATTTTCATTAAATGACCCAAGGTTTTCCACTCTTGCAATAAAGACACAGAGAAAGAGAAAACCAGATATATGGGTCTTTCCACTGAAGGTCTGGGAAATTTAATAACGCCCCCATTGTTTTATTGCAGATGGCACATCAACCTCTCTTTATTACTGCAGAAACTCAAGAGCCCTGTAGAGTGCAATCAAGTGGTGCGTGTTTAGCCTTGCAATGTTTCAAAGGACCCTGATTTACAGTCAGGAACCAGGCCCCTTGCACACAAACATCTGAGTTTGCTAAGTGCCTCCTGTTTCATGCAAACTCTAGAAGGCAGCATGAGGTCTGCCCCACACTGAGAGCCACGCTATCTATGCCAGGCCTCCCTCCCTCTGTCCTGTAACCCACGGAAAGCTGTGAGGAGCAGTGTGCCACGCGCACCGGGGCAAGTGCTATTATTACCCAGTGCATATGGCACAGCCCCACGCTCACACCTGGGAGCCGGTCAGAGGTATCCTGTGACATCCGTTACCTTAGGCTAATTTCTAAAATAGATGAGGCCCGCTCATGGATAGTAGCAGGAAATTTTTAAACATTTTTATTGTACTAAAAAATGAATGCAATGGTGTTGGCATTCGAAAAGCAAATATTAGGTGTCCATTGTTGTGGTTTTGCTTCCTGAATGGGGACAAAAGATCCCACTCTGTGTGCAAGAACAGCTTCCTTCTAGGCTGCAGCGGATACTTTATTCCAGATTCCACTTTATAAACCAGCCCAGATGGGATCCCGCCTGCGCTGGTACCTTTTCCGAAGCATCCTGTAATCTTAACACATTCTCCATCTCACCAGCCCTTCAAACGATCTCTTACTCAGAGAATTATTTTGCACATCCATTCTTGAAATCTGGCCAACTTTAACAAATTTTCCCAGACTACAGATCATTCAGAGGACTGCACCCCTTTGCACCTGTGCTCGCTGTCCGAATACAACTGTGCCACTGTCATGGGCAGGGAATCCTCCATCCTGTACTGAGTCTACACTGTCATCTTTCTGGCTGTCATCACTGACCTACATGTAAAGGTCACCTTCCCTACATCATGATGCCGCTTCTCAATGCCATGGAGAGATCTGCTCGTAGACAGAAATTTAGATTAAAAATAACAGATGCCACTTTAGAAGATTCCATTTCCTGTCAGCTAGCATCAACTAGCTGATATCTACCAAGCGAAACTAATAATAAAGCCAGCAGTAAATCAACTCTTAGCACTCAAAAAAAACAATTGTAAATCAGAGCAAATGGAATACACATACAATATCTTGAAATATTAAACACATGTATTCTGAAAGGCTATATTTCCTTATCTAATAATTCTTGGAAAAGAAGAAACTAGTTTTAATAGCAGAGACTCATTCTAGAAAGAACACAATTGGTAGATCTGAATTTATTGGGTTACATTCTTTTTTAAACAAAGGTATCTAGTAAAACGCAAAGGTACAAAGCCAAACCCAGGAGATGGCCAGAAGTAGCCAGAAAGGCATTCCTCTGAATTCCCATAGTGTTGGTTAACGACATGCCATGTGCCAACACGGCCATGTCTTCTAATACTGCCACTCTGCCCCACACTCCTGCAAGTGCCCGTCTCACCATGCTGAGACCCTAGGGTACCTTCAAAGTCTTCAAAGAAGCTATTATCTATGGAAAACACGAGGCATCTCAACTACATTTTTACAGGACTCCACCATCCAAATCTCTCTCCAGTCCTCATGCCATCCCCAAACGCACTGCGCCCTCAAGAAAAAGGCTACAGCATGTGTACACAAACCATCAAGAGGCAACCAATTTAAGAGAGGAAAAAGTCAAGCCATTAGGCATCAGTCAAGAACCCATGAAGCCACTGCCTTCTAAAGAACAAAAGTCTGCTGTTATTGACTTGACAAGTTGGCAATGCAAGCACAAAGGTACACCCTAAGACACAGAGATGCTTCCTAACAATTAGCTCATGACTGGAAGCAACAGCAGAAATGACCTAAGGGCATTTTTAAAGGCAGGAAAAAATTCATTTTTGGCTGTTCTCTTACTCTAAGAATGTAAATAATGTATAAGGAATCTCTAAATCCCACATCATGTGGATAAATGATCCACAAATCAAAATTCCAACCAAATAAGTGTTCAAAAGGTTCCATAAATCATGTGTTTTCATGAGGCTTTCATCCAAAAGGGGAGAGTAAAACTTGCAGGAGACGCGCACCTTCTCAACCTGCATTCTTCATTATTTCCTTTAGGTAACTCGAGTCCATCTATCATGCAAAGCTGAATATAGGGCACTTCCATAAGTGCCCAGATTCTTAGTTTTTTATTAAATTTATTAAATCTCCAAACCAGTTAATAAGAAAGGCTAAAGGTCTTTGGGTGGATTACAAGTAACTTAAGATCTTAAAGGCAATTTGACACAGTTATATTCTAAGCCACTTTTCTTTAAACAAACAAACAAAAAACTGTAAGATATAAGCCAAAAAAAAAAAAAAAAAAACCCACACACTAATTGGTAACTGGCTCCCTAAAAAGAACCTTATCTTTTGAATCAAAGGCAAAGCATATAATAAGTGTTATCTTTTGACTGTTGGGTGTTTTTTTCTCAACTATGTGAAAACTGAAGACACGCGGAATAGCGTTAACTAGTTGAGGTTGCAGAAAAATTATCGAAAATACATTTCCTGAGAAAAATTAAAACCATGGTTAAGAGCGAAAAGAATACTTTTTCTTTTCTAAAAATCTGGAACAAACTTAAGCAAAATAAGTTGGACTGTCCAATGCAAGACTCACAATAATGCGGACGCTGTCAAGACAACACAGCCACCAATAGCCAGCAGGCAGAACGCAGGCACACGAAACGCAGTGCGCAGGCGCCATGCCACACAAGGGCAGGGTGTGCACAGAATTCTCACTTGGATCCAAAGAGTGTTGGAAACCAAGGAACTGGAGTTTCCCTGTAAGAAGGAAAGGGAAGAGCAAGTGAAGCACACTTACCCTTGGCTGCCAGTTCTCGTACTGCTTCTGTAAATTTGCACCGATGGTTTCCAGAGCTTTCTGAGGACCCATCGACAGAGGATCTGAGGAAGCAATGGAAAAGAGAAAGTTCTTTACGTCTGCATTTCCTCCTCTGCTAGGCCTCTCTTCCACAGTTTCTCCTTATATAACACACTTCAAAGTCACCTTTGACTAAAAGTAACACAACGCCTAAGGTTGATCAGTGTTAACCAGATTTACTGAACAGCTAAGGTGCTCAAACAAGCTGACACGCCGTGAAGGCCAGTGTTTTAACATCACGGGCAAGTGAATGCTGTTATTCTACCCACGTTCATTTGTATTTCGGCACCTGCAGCTTTCCCGCACTTGCACTGTTTTATTCTCAGGCTCCTGCTCAGGCTTTCTCTGAGAAGGCAGCTCTGCAGTGACAGCATATGCTTCCTCCTGTTCAAACTATGGCTCTCATGGGTACAGGAAAAGGAGGAGAGAAAAAGACAAAGAAGTGATACTTTTTAATTAATTTTCATCTGCACTCAGTATTCCCACAAAAAAAATCCGTTTCACAAATGTACATTCATGTCCAGGATTTACCCATTTATTTCAGGAGTGGGTTCCAGGGCAATTAACTCTAAATCAGCAGTTCTCAAACTTGTTTGGTCTCAGGACCCCTTTGCACTCTAAAATTATTGAAAACCTCAAAGAGCTTTGGTTTATGTTGTTGAATCTATCAATATCTACTCTATGTGAAATTCAGCTAAGATTTTTTAAATATTTTTCTTCATTCATTTTAAAAACAATAACCCATTATATTTTAACATAAATATTTATTACAAAAATAACTATTTTTTCCAAAAAAGTTTAGTAGAAGAGCAGCATTTTTGCATATTTTTGCGAATTTCTGGAATATGTGGTTTGATCAAGGATGGGTGACTCTCATCCATTTTTGCATTCGCCTGTGGCATTTCATGGTTTCAGTGACTGCATATGTGGAAACCCCTACCTCACACATATATCTATCATTAGAAAACAGAAGAGTATCTTAAAATGCTATTTTACATAATCATGACTCTTTTTGTTTGATACTACACCAAAAATTATCAAGTGGTAATTTCCTTCAGATTATATGAGATGTAGTATCTGAAACCACATCAACGAACTTTTTGTATGCTATGACATTAAAATTCACTGCTGTTTGCTGCACCTTGAGTGGATTTTTTACCCATAGATTATTTTGTATCATCATGCATTGATCATCTGGAAAATATCAGCTCATTGAACTATACAGATCTTGTATATTTCATTCCCCAATATTTTTTTAAGAATCCACACTCATTAACATTACCATGAGCTCATCAGAAATGTCTTAAGTACTAAGAAGTTGCCAGGCTCGGCCAGGTGTGGTGGCTCACCACCGTAATCCTAGCACTTTGAGAGGCCAAGGTGGGTGGATCACCTGGGGTCAGGAGTTTGAGACCAGCCTGAGCAACATGAAACTCCGTCTCTTCTGAAAACACAAAAATTAGCTGGGCGCCTGTAATCCCAGCAACTCAGGAGGCTGAGACAGGAGAATCACTTGAACCCTGGAGGCAGAGGTTGCAGTGAGCCGAGATCACGCCACTGCACTCCAGCCTGGGCGACAGAGTGAGACTCCATCTCAAAGACAACAACAACAACAACAAAAAAGAAGTTGCCAGGCTCATAGTGGTAGGTACAAGGTTTCCAAATTTTATTTTTTTTATTTGAAATCTCAAATTTTATCAGTGGAAACAAACACTGTCAGTTGTTTTCCTTAATGTGACAGGCTCATGTCATTCATTTTCCAGAAAACATCTGCCAACTACTCCAGGTCTGTCTGTTGGGGGTAAAATGCTATCAAACAGCACCACATGCTACAGAGAAATGCTGCGTGAAAGCAAGAGCCAATCAATGCAGCAAATTTTGTTATTGTCTTATTTTAAGAAATTCCCATAGTCACCCCTACCTTCAGCAACCACCCCTCCTCCATTAGTTGGCGGCCATCCACATGAGGCAGGACCCTCCGTCAGCCAATTAAATGCTAAAAGATTACAACTCGCTAAGGCTCCAGTGATCATTAACATTTTTCAGTTTTTAAAATAAAGTGTGTATGTTCTTTTGGACACAATGCTACTGCACACTTCACAGACTACAGTACAGTGTAAACGTAACTTTTATATGCACTGGACACCAAAACGTTCATGTAGCTCACTTATTGCAGTCGTCTAGAGCCACACCCGCAGGATCTCCAAGAGCCACCTGTATAGTTTTTGGCATTATTTAATTATTATTTTTTTAGCTATATGTATGTTACTCTGATAAAAAAATAAAATAAAAATCATGACGTTAATAAGATTTTACAACTGGAAAGGGCCTTCGCCCATAGATAGGTCAAAGTCATCAAGGGCTTTTCAAAACAGAGATGCCAGGCCCTAACCTTCTGGAAATTCTAATTCAATGGTTCTAATTCAATGGACACCTCTGGCTGAGAAAAGCTTGGTAAAAACCAGGTAATATCTAACTTCTCTGGAAGAATTGTGGTAAATTTGTTATAATCCGTAATCTGTGACTTCAGACGTTACATGTTTGGTCTTCATTTCTCTCAGGAACAAAGTTCTAAGGTCTCAAAAAAATCATAGTGACCCAAATCAACTGTGCTGTGATCAGACCCACAAGATAGGATTGGATTGGGATCTGAAAAACAAAAAATAGGGGCCACGAAGTACACAAACAAGGCAAAGGAAAGCAAAAAACAGCTTTAACAAACAGATGCCAAAGAGCGACCTTGCCGCATGCATGAGGAGGAGCAAAGTAAACGCACAGGGCTGGCTGGAAGGCGTTGAGTTCAGTCACCCATACTTAACTGCAGCAACCAGCATGGTCGCGGCCCGCGGCTGTCATCTATGGTCAGAAAACTGTCCATGCATCACGACGGTCAGCGGTGGCTCACACTATGCATGCTCTCCAGTGAACCACGGACAGAGGAAGAAGGGAGGGAGTTCCCATTCAAGGAGTACCCCCTCCTTGGATTTCACCCCTTGGAAAGTCCAGGCCCTTCTCCCATCCCACCCTCTCCCCAGTGTTGGCAGGAGGCAGCCACTTCCCTGCATCCCTCACAACATCCTGCAGAGACATGGCGGCCCTCGTTAGTAGAGACAGCCTGGCAGGGGCCCCACTCTCCCTGCCCTGACTCAGGTCAGGATACCTGCCCACCCAGGAGGGGTGAAACCACTGTCAGCTGCTCACCAGGCCGTGACCAGCTACATGGCACTATAACCGCCTATCCACTGGGAATCCCTGTGGTCAGTTAATTGTATGGTTCCCTTCCAAGAATAGGGCAGTGGGTGGGAGAGCTGAAATGAGAAGCAGAGGAAGAGACGGGAAAGAATGAGGTCAAATGAAACGATGCATTTAGCATTTGATTAAGTATAATTTAAATAAACTAAAATTAAATTCCCCGATAGATATTATTGACAACAGTATCAGTCTGATGTGGGGTGAAGTGGACAGATCATAAATGTAAAACTGTAGTTGTGTCTTATAAAACATTTCTCTTCTAATTCCTTTATGAGCTCCTATTTAAGGGGAATCTGGGAAAGAACTAATGAAACTTCAGCGGCGAGTGAGTGTGTGGGTAAATTGATGAATGAAATGGATGGGTAGGTGGATGGAAAAGGAGATGGTAAATGGTATTTGCATAAAACTTTTAGTTCTTTATAAATTTTCCTATTTGCAAGATTTTCAGCATAACCCCTCTGAATTTCAAGATACTTAGAACTTTACACTGAAAGGAACTTGGTCCAACCCACCTCATGGGACAGAAGGGCAAGCTGAAGTTTAAAGCAGTCAAATGACTTGCTCCAAGGTTATTGATAGTGCTGGCATTCAGCCAACCTGAAGGGGTGCAGCTTTTTCTTTTTAAACCTCTCCATCTTCTTCCTATGTACCCAGTTTGATTACCCATCCTATCCATTTCACCTTCCAAAGAGCTGGCACTCCACCAGCCACTGCTAACATGTTCACCCAATCCGCAGCCCTTCACGATGCTACTGAGACTCTCCCACCTCCCAGCTGGGTTCCTCAATCTGGCCCAATGGCCCCAAAGAGTGGTGCCCCAGGCACAGACAGGGCCACCAATGACCTAGTCTTTCTCTTCTCAGTCCACCCTGAAGATGAGCGCAGGCTGACCCCTCCCCTCAGAAGCCCACAGTGCGGGCTGTGTGCTCCATTTAGATGGAAAGCTGCCAAGAGTGGAGACCCAGCAGTGCAGCTGGGGGAGGGGACCCAAAGGGGACAAGATAAGACTTCTGGGCCAATGGTCATCTTGTTCCTTGATCTGGGGTCCATGGGTATGATCAGTTTAGGATACACCCGGGTTAGGTGCAGTTTCCTCTGTGTGCTATCCTTCAGTGAAAAGTTCACACTGAAAGCCCCATCCAGCACTCACTGCTCGGACAATCTTTGTAGTTCTTTGTACCGTGTATTTAGCAGACACTTAATAAACATTTTTAATTGACATATTGAGTGCTGCCTACTAGATGAAGTGCAAATTTCTCTGTGTGGTTTTCAAGGACTCTGCCACTCATTAGTTGTGTAGCCTTAAACAACTCATTTTTGACTGAGAAAATACATAATAGCAAAGGGGCTACTTTGAAATTAGAAATGATTTTTAATGAGTCTATATTTTCCTAACCATAATGCCATCCCTGTCTATTTTGTAATAATTAGTCCTGTATACAGTGAGAGGCGTGTGATCTTCCTCAGCTCAGGCGCAAAGCTTGGAGCCACACAGCTGCAGGCATCTGGGACAGGAAAGCTTCGGCCGGGACCCGCGGCCCTTGCAGCGTCTGTGGGACTAGGACGGGAGCCGTACAGGAGCGAGATCTTTTACAGTCTGGCCCCGTTCTAACACTAGGCCTCACTCCTCACATAGCTACAAAATTACGTTCCTGTGTTGCCTATTGCTGTATTATACAAAAACCAAGAGCTAGACGGATTTTCAGCAGATATGAGGGGATGAACATGTCCTGTTTTAAAAAACTGTCCTCACTTTGGAAAGTAGATACAGGAGAGAGGTGGGCTCCAAGCAGTTAACCCCCTTCTTTCAGATTCCTTCAGAGGGGAAGCAGAGATACCACCTTGAGACACCAATGGAACTGGCAGAGAAAACAGTATGTTAAACCTGGGCAACAAAATGAGACCCCGTCTCTACAATAATTTTTTTTTAATTAATCAGCGTGTTGGTGCATGCCTGTGGTTCCAGCTACTCAGGAGGCTGAGGTGGGAGGATCGCTTGAGTCCAGGAGGTAGAGGCTACAGTGAGCCATGATCACACCACTGCACTCCAGCCTATGTGACTCCGTCTCAAAAAAAAAAAAAAAAAAGAAAGGAAGAAAAGAAAACAGCATTTTAAACCATAAGCCCCAAAGAGCCAAGGTTTCAGCTGTGGGCACAGAGCTGTGTGCACAGAGCATACGGCTGTGACTGGCCGTGGCTAACGGGTGCTACTGACCCCCCAGGCCCAAAGGGAGCCCAGCTGGTGTGCGAAAACCCAGCCCCTCGGACCTCAGAGTGTGGGCTCATGCTCTTCCTTCAGCTCTTTGCTCTTGCCTCCCACTGCCTGCCCTGACGTCTCTACCGCAGCATTCTCTGGCCTTCCAGGCCGTTCAAGCTTGACCTCGTATTGGTCTCTGTTCTACTGCATGGATCCTAGTCTTACCTCCCCAGGTGTACTATCAGTGCCTTGAAAGCAAGAGCACAGCTTACAGTTCCTTGTATATGGCACTATGCTTAACATATACGTTTCCACCTAATCAATATCTGTTAACCAACTTGACTGGTCTATGAATCCCAAATGGTTGCAAGAATCAATGACGAAGTCTGTGCAAGTGCTCTGTAAACCCACGAGCCGCCGCCAAGGGCGATCACGACTATTTTCAGCTCATCTACCCAAGGTCTCTTAATGCTCACGTGTTTGCATTAAGAAGAGAAAAACAAAGCTAAGACCTCCCAAACGTTCCCTTGGGATGACAGAATTTCCACACATCTGACAAACCTTTGCATTCTCACCTCTTCTGATACACAGCTACCATTAGCTGGCACACAAAACCATTTCCGCTAAATGACACTCCCTGCTCAGCATGCAGCTCATCCGCACTCTGCTGCCACAGCAGAGTTCCCCAAGAGTGGGGCACGCGCAGCTCTTCAGCAGGATTGTTTTTAGTATTACTGTTGTAGTATTTAATGTCGGGCCATAAAACAAAACAGCCTCTCCCCTGCTTCTCTGAAAAGGGACAAGTGTCACTTCTATGAACTAGAACAGCAACTTATTATCCAGAGGGGGGCGGAGCAGGGGTGGGAAAAGAGGTCTTGGCCGTCAGCAGGGGCAGGGCTGGAAACGCAGGTGTGTGCTGTGACCCCGTCTCGCCAGTTCCAGCACGCTCAGGACCTGGATCCCATTTCTCACGAGCTGACTCCACAGCCCCAGGCTTCATCCGGATGACCTAGCAGGGAGGCCATGACACCCAGAGCCACGCTGGGCATGGGCCCCTTGTTTGCTCACAGACATGACGTCTGCTCTCCCTCATCTCTGGAAGGAGTGCTGTCTTCCTGCATGGTTCAGGCACACACAGTTACCCTTATTTTTCAAGCTTCTCAGACCCCTCTGACATCAGCACAGACCACCTTCCGCTCCACCCCACCCTGCCCAAAAATGAACCCCATACTCAGGGTTCTACATAAAGCACTGGGGATTCACACACATTGCTACCTGCATATTGGATGTTTAATTTGTAAAACGAAATAAGCAGCACCGTGCATCTACTCCCAGAATCTGCTGGAGACCTTCAACCCTGAGTGAGCGGCCGTCCTGCAAGGCTACATGCCCGGCAGTGGGGCTCAGTGAGGTGTGTTCACTGCAGCCCTCTTTCGTAGTCAGCCCTACAGAAAGCAGCGGAAGAGGCACGGATTCAGGAAGCAGCTCATGCAGCACCTTGGCCCCTGCTCCCCATGCAGCACTGGGGCGTGTTGGGGAGGGGTGTGGGTGATCTGGAGTGGCGGTACTGGGGCGTGTTGCGGGGGTGTGGGTGATCTGGAGTGGGGATACTGGGGCTAGTGCTATGTTCTGAATATGTCCCCAAAAATGTACGTGTTGGAACGGAAGCCCAATGTGGTAGTATGAAGAGATGGGGCCTTCAGGAGGCGATCGTGTTTCATAAAAGGGCTGGAGGGAACTAGACGCACACTTCTGCTTTTCTGTCCCTTTCACCGTGACAGGACACAGTGTTACAGCCCCATCTTGGAAGATGGACAGGGCCCTCAAGAGACAACAGACCTGCCAGTGCCTTTATCTTAGACTCCTCAGCCTCCAGAACTGCGTGAAATACATTTCTGTTGTTTGTAAATTACCCAGTCTCGGGTATTCTGTTACAGCAGCAACAACAGACTAAGACAGTGTTGCAGGGGTCGGGATGCTTGAGGCGCTGTGACGTAGGGGTCGGGGTGTTTGAGGTGTTGTGATGTTGGGGTAGAAGTAGGGACTAGAGTTGGGGCGGCGGAGGTGAGGACCAGTCTCTGCACCAAACCAGGTCTCTGCTCCCAGTTAATTCCCCCACCCTGCCATGAGGTACACGGCATCACTAGCTCCACTTTACAGATGAGGAAACTGAGGCCCAAAACAGTTAAATGTGTAGCACAGCTGGAAGGAATAAAGCTGGAGTCTTGATTAACACAAAAATCTCGATTTCTAGTAATAGACCTCAAAATGCTAAGACCAAATATAAAATCCTGAGGTCTGCCTTCTAAACGGTAACATGTTTGTAAGTAATTTGATTGCACCAATCCCTGTTTTGGCTTCCTCCATGGCCCCCGTCATTCTCATCTTGAGGAAGGCAGAGCAAACCCATCACTGAGCCCAGCCCCAACACTAGTACCCCACTCCTCACCTTCCTGGCCAAGCTGCCCCACAAGCTTCACCACCTCATCTGCCTTCACTCTTCAGGTTGCTACAATCAGCCTGGACACCACCTCAGCCTTGACAATGCTGACCAGAAGCTCCTCCACGCACTCATCCAGAACCACCCTGGTCCTCCTCTTTGGCACCCCTCTCTGCACCCTCAGGGCCCTGCCTCTGCCCGATACCCTCTGGTCTAGTTCGTACTAGGCGCTGACCTCCCCTGGGTCCTCTAGTCTACAATGAGCCCTCTTCTCCCACCAGATCCACTTTCCACTGGATGGTGGCTCCGCTTGGAGGTTCCTACAAGCACCTCACCATGTGCGAAATGGTACCCCACCATCTGCCAGCCAGCCCAGCTCCCGTCCCAGTCTTGGTTACTGGTGTATCATCCTTCCCTCGGCTGACCAGGCCTGAAACCTAAAGCACTTGTTGAAAATGCTAAAATCCCTTCTTCAACAATCCTAAAGCCACAAGGTGGGTCTGGGCAAAGCTGGCATCTGTCTCAGGATGATGGGAGCCACACTGGCCTGGAATGAGCTCTCAAGTCTGACTGGGCCCTGAGCCCGTGCAGAGGAAGAAGGAGAGGTGTGGCTGCAGAAAGGTGACCATATGGGTGTTGGACCAGGGCAGTGAGAAAGGCAGATATTGGGGTGAAATGGCAAAGGATAACCGGGTCTGAGAGGAGCAGCAATGGCAGAGAGGAGAAGAGGGTTCACACAGGAGGAGGCACCACATTAGCCAATACAATAAGGACAAAGGATACCAAGGTTGTCACTGTCAGAAGATGGAGCTACAAATATGGAAAACCCCCATGAGGTGGAATAGGAGGCATGAATGTACATGTAGAGAGGTACAGAAACGCTGAGACAAATGTGTACAGAGAGAAGCACACGCACATAGTATGCACACGCGGTATGCACACACAGTATGCACACGCACACACTATGCACACACAAAGTATGCACACAGTATGCACACACACACGGTATGCACACACACGGTATGCACACACACACAGTATGCACACACACAGTATGCACACACAGTATGCACATGCACACAGTACACACACGCACAGTACGCACACACACAGTATGCACACACACAGTACGCACACACACAGTACGCACACACACAGTACGCACACGCACACAGTACGCACACACAGTACGCACACACACAGTACGCACATACAGTATGCACACACACAGTACGCACACGCACACAGTACACACACAGTACGCACACACACAGTACGCACACACACACAGTATGCACACACACAGTATGCACACACACAGTACGCACATGCACACAGTACGCACACACACACAGTATGCACACACACAGTATGCACACACAGTATGCACACGCACACACTATGCACACACAAAGTATGCACACAGTATGCACACACACACGGTATGCACACACACACGGTATGCACACGCACACAGTATGCACACACACAGTATGCACACACAGTACGCACATGCACACAGTACGCACACGCACATAGTACGCACACGCACAGTACGCACACACACAGTACGCACACACACAGTACGCACACACACGGTATGCACGCATACAGTATGCACGCACACACAGTACACACACGCACACAGTATGCACACACAGTATGCACACACAGTATGCGCACACACACAGTATGCACACACACACAGTACGCACACGCACACAGTATGCACACACACACACAGTATGCACACACGCACACAATATGCACACACACAGTATGCACACATACATAGTATGCACACACATGCATTTCCTTGCTCTGTCCAGCGAGAGAGGTCCTGGGAGCAATAGCACGCCAGTTCAAAGAGAACACCTGGCACCCAGATCTCAGTTTCTAACACCACATTCCACTAAGAGGAATGAGGCTGGGAAAAAGACTAGATGAGACAAAGTAAGCACATGCTCCACGAATGATGCAAACAAGACAGAAGCCAAAGAAGCCGGCCCAATGGGTTCCCAACAACCAGAGGGAGACAAGCTCGGCACCAAAGGATAACACTGGATTCTAAATCCACTGAATGAAAATGGAGGCCATGAGTTCAAAATGAAGAAATTGAAAGTCACGAGGAAAGGAATATTTGCACAATCTCAAAGCACTTCTTCCCGAAAATACCTATCAACTACAAAGGGGAATTTCACATGAGGTCCAGCAGGCGCCAGCTGAATCAGGTGAGAAGATCTGCATGACCAGTAATGGATAGATCACAGCCCCGCATCACCTGGTGCAGCCCGCGTGAAGCAGGCAGCTCTGCGTGATGCTCCTGCCAGCGAAGCATGACCTAAACGGAATCATTAGGAGACACCGGAGACATTCTACAAAACAAAGAGACTGCCACCTTCAAGCGCCAGGGTGAGGAGGGTCACGGAATGCCTGTGGAACTGCTTCAGACTGAGTGAGAGGAAGTTAGGATGGCGCATGGCTGAGCAGGATCCTGGCGCTACAAAGGACATTCCTGGGACACTGGCAAACCTGCATGCAGCGGACGCTTACGTGGCAGTCACACGTCCACGCGAATGCTCCTTGATTTTGGTGACTGCGTTGTCATCTGGAAAGAGAAACTCCCGGCTGGCAGGAATTACACACTAAGGAATTCAGAGGTGCTGAAGCACCATGTCAGCCGCCTTCTCTCAGAGAATCAGAAAGGAAACAGCTTAGTACTATACTTGCAACTTTTGGAACTTTTTTTTCAAAATGAAAAATGGGCCTAGTGTGGTAGCTCATGCCGGTCATTTCAACACTTTAAGAGGCCGAGGTGGGAGGATCACTTGAGCCCAGGAGTTCGAGACCAGCCTGAGCAACAAAGTGAGACCCTGTCTCCATAAAAAATTTTAAAAGCGTGGGGGATGCACATCTACAGTCCCAGCTACTGAGGAAGCTGAGGGAGGAGGATGGCTTGAGCCCAGGAGTTTGAGGCTGCAGTGAGCTATGATCACGCCACTGCACTCCAGCCTGGGCAACAGAGTAAGGTCTTATCTCACAAAAATAAAAATTTTCAAGTAAATAAACTAAAAAATAAAAGTGGGCTGCTACACACTCCTGCAAATGTGCTGATTCAAATCACTAGGCTTCTTATTCTCTTATGCCATATTGTTAAAACCACCATCACCAGGACCAGGAACCTACCCATTTTTTAATAAAGGCCAAATAAAATTTTTCCAACTTAGAAAAAGCACATGCCCTCCTAAACTCAAAATTCACTTGAAATTATTAGAAAGTAGACGATATTCCTAAACTGCAGGAAAACTTTTAAAACTCAAGTTTTAGAAATCTCATTTGCTGGATCTTTCACACCAAGAAAGAAGCATGGAGTTTTTCCATTCTCATTAACATTGTGTAAATACTGATCAAAGAGACTGTGTGGGAGAGGGCGGTGAGCTCTGATAAAAGCTCAGGCTCCTCAGGCAGGGAAGAGCAACTGGATCCTCAGATGACACCTACACAACCCCGAAGGGCCTGCGCGTCCCGTCCCCGGAGCACACACAGGGATCCGCATGAGGAAGGCTTGTTCGAAAAGCCTAACATAAGCATTGCTGTAGAGGAAGAGAAAATAACTGATTACATTCAGCTGTGACGAGGGACGGATGAAGTGGAAAGAGTCCATGGTGGCTAATAAGAAGTCAATTTCAACCAGCACAGTCACCGGGAGCCAGCAGTGAGCCAAGAGAGCATCTGAAGAAATCAGCCACAAAACACAGCTGCTCCATCATGGGGTGTGGGGGACAAGCAGCCTGGAAGGGGTGAGGGAACTGTCATCCTAAAACACCCTCACATAGTGTGACAGCCAAATAATGCAGGAAAAACAACATTTATTTCCAATTCAGATTAGATGAGATTTAGATGAGAAGAATTTGGGGTTTTTTGAGACAGGGTCTCACTCTGTTGCCCAGGCTGGAATGCACTGGCACAATCATAGCTCATTGCAGCCTCGACCTCCCAAGCTCAAGCAATCCTCCTGCTGCAGCCTCCAGAGTAGCTGGGACTACAGGCATGCCTGTCATCTCAAAATCAGCCACCCTGCCCTCCTAATTTTCTGATTTGTTGTAGAGACATGGTCTCTTACTATGCTGCCCAGGCTGAGAATAATTTGTAGTTTTTGTTAAAGCAATAAAGGGAACTTCTGCTTTTGCTTAGGATGTAGAAAGCTGGGGGGAAAGAGTGGCTCCAATCCTATCAACATGAGAAAGCTGAATAATCACTGACATCATCACTTTTCTTGAGCTCATAAGGGAGCTGAGACCGCAGGGCAGACAAACCGAATCCCACAGGCCCGTCCTCTCCGAGAAAGCCCGGGCACATGCACAGCCCATCTTTGAAGAGCGCAGGTCTGCACAAGAAACCAGCTAAGATGGTAATGTGTCCTCGAGGCCCCAGTGTGCGCTTGCATATCCGTGTGGAAACACAGGGGGTCCAGGCACAAGGGGCACTCACACTCTCCTGCATGCACCCCCACTGCACCCCCACTTCATGAGAAGCATCTGCTGGAGGCAGCACAGAGTGTGGAGAGGCTTGAAGTCCACCTGCCCCCAGAGACCTCCTCCCCTAGGAAGCAAAGCAGGAGACCCTCAGTCCACAAGAACAGGCACACATTCCTGTACCTGGGGAGTGGGAGGAGGTACAGACAAAACCTACCTTGCTCACCATGGGCATAGAACACACTGTCCCAAGACACAGGTGAAGAGCATGGAGGATGGGGTGAGGGAAGGTGCAAAACAGCCTACTCCTGGGATAGGAGCAGAACACGCCCTGGGCACAGAATTCTACACTGAATCGAGGCAGACGTTTGCCATCACTGGGGGACAGGTGAAAACACTGCAACCGCACTACGCCCAAGGCCCAGATGCCCAGGGCCTGCCTAAGACTAAAGAGAGACCAGGACCACAGAGAACTCCCACCACTCCACAGCCTGGCGCTGAGTAACTAGCAATGGAAATCCTGTGCCAGGAGACAGGCAAAGCCAGGGACCACTCAGTGAGGCACGTGGGCAGGCACAGCTCAGGCTAGGGGTGGAGCAGGAGCCCTGGGAAAACCCCCTGGCCTGCCTGTACCCACCCTAATGCACGAGGACTGTGCTGGTCAGCTTTATGTGTCCACTGGGCCAGGCCGTAGCACTCAGCAATTCAATCAAACACAAACCCAGGTGCCACAGTGAAAGTACTCTATACATGTGGTGACATCCACAATCAGCTAACTTAAAGTAAAGGAGATTTTCTTTGGTAATATGGGGGCCTCATCCAATGAGTTGAAGGCCTTAACAGCCAAACTGAGGTTTTCCTGAGAAAGAAGAAATTTCTGCCTCAAGATCACAAGACATGCATGCATACATACATACATACTTATACACACATGCAGGCACACATCTACTGCCCCTGTTTCTCTGGAGAACCTTGACTGACACAAGCACCAACTAATCACTCTAAGAACTAAGAGTGCTGTTGCAGTGGGTATAACCATTACAACAACAAATTCTAACCCCAGTTAACTACTTACTAAACTATAGACTATGCAACTTACCTCATTCGCTATTGTTCTTCTACACACAATGTCCAGCATGCAATTAAAATTTATAAAGCACAAAAAAAGCAAGGAAAAGCAAATTACAGTCAAGAGATGATAAAGGAATTAGGAGACTCAGACTCAGGGCTGACCCTGTTTTCTGAACTATAGATCAAGGACTCTAAGGTAACTATGATGAACACAGCAGAGGCTCTAGAAGGAAAGGCAGGCAATATGCATTTCCCCTAGAGATGGAAACTAAAATAGTCAATGGAAATGCTAGAAATAAAAAACCCAATATCAGAGAAAAAGAATTTCCTTGGCTGGTTTATCAGCAGACTAACAAAAGCTCATTGTGACATGGGAGAGAACAAACGGAGGAGCTGCAGTACAATGTCCAACAGCGCAATACATAGAGAGCTGAGTCCCAGAAGAGACAGACACACGGAAGAGCTGTGGTACAATGTCCAACAGCACAAAACATAGAGAGCTGAGTCCCAGAAGAGAGAGACACAATGGAAGAGCTGCGGTACAATGTCCAACAACACAATACATAGACAGCTGAGTCCCAGAAGAGAGAGACACATGGAAGAGCTGCGGTACAATGTCCAACAACACAATACATAGAGAGCTGAGTCCCAGGAGAGAGAGACACACGGAAGAGCTGCGGTACAATGTCCAACAACGCAATACATAGAGAGCTGAGTCCCAGAAGAGAGAAACACATGGAAGAGCTGCAGTACAATGTCCAACAACACAATACATAGAGAGCTGAGTCCCAGAAGAGAGAGACACACAGAAGAGTTGTGGTACAATGTCCAACAGCGCAATACATAGAGAGCTGAGTCCCAGAAGAGAGAGACACACAGAAGAGCTGCGGTACAATGTCCAACAGTGCAATACATAGAGAGCTGAGTCCCAGAAGAGAGAAACACACGGAAGAGCTGCAGTACAATGTCCAACGACACAATACATAGAGAGCTGAGTCCCAGGAGAGAGAGACACACGGAAGAGCCGCGGTACAATGTCCAACAGCACAATACATAGAGAGCTGAGTCCCAGAAGACAGAGACACATGGAAGAGCTGTGGTACTATGTCCGACAGCGCAATACATAGACAGCTGAGTCCCAGAAGACAGAGACACACGGAAGAGCTGCGGTACAATGTCCAACAGCACAATACATAGAGAGCTGAGTCCCAGAAGATAGAGACACACAAAAGAGCTGCGGTACAATGTCCAACAGCACAATACATAGAGAGCTGAGTCCCAGAAGAGAGAGACACACAGAAGAGCTGCGGTACAATGTCCAACAGCAGAATACATAGACAGCTGAGTCCCAGAAGAGAGAGACACATGGAAGAGCTGCGGTACAATGTCTAACAGCACAATACATAGAGAGCTGAGTCCCAGAAGAGAGAGAAAACAAACAATAAATATTTGAAAAGATAATGGGAACTTTTCAAAAATGAAGACATCAAACTACACATCCAAGAAGCTCACAGAAACCCAAAAAGAATAAATTTCACAGGTGCAGTACTGGGCATCCATAGTCCCAGCTACTCAGGAGGCTGAGGCAAGAGGACCACTAGAGCCCAGATGTTCAAGTATAGCCCAGCCTGGGCAACATTGAGAGACACCCATCTCTAAAAGAAAAAAAAAAGGGTGGGGAGAATAAATTCCAAAACAAACAAACAAAAAACTAATAGGTTATAGATAAAGCTACTGAGAATATAAAGGGAACATCTTGAAGATTGCCAGAGAAAAATGAAGCAAAATATACAGAGAAACAAAGAATTACAGCAGACTTCTCAGAAACTGCTAGCCAGAACACAACAGGTGACTGTTTTAAAAGACAGTGCTAAAAGAGTCAACAGAAAATTACATACCCCGAAAAAATACCTTTCAACCACAAAGACAAAATGAAGAATTTTCCAAACAGAAATCTAGGAAAATTTAATGCCTACAGACCAGCACTGCAAGATATGTTAGAGTAAGTTCTTCAGGCAGAATGATTATGATACCAGATAGAAACTTGGAACTGCGGAAAGAAATGAATGGTCCTCAAAACAATAAATATGAAGGTAAATATAAAAGACATTCATTATTTTTAAAGATCTTTAAAAAACCGACAGTTCAGCAGTTCCTTAAAGAATTAAACATACACTTGGCCAGGCACGGTGGCTCATGCCTGTAATCCCAGCACTTTGGGAGGCTGAGGTGGGTGGATCACCTGAGGTCGGGAGTTCGAGACTAGCCTGACCAACATGGAGAAATCCTGTCTCTATTAAAAATACAAAATTAGCCAGGCGTGGAGGCGCATGCTTGTAATCCCAGCTACTCGGGAGGCTGAGGCAGGAGAATCGCTTGAACCCGGGAGGCAGAGGTTGTGGTGAGCCAAGATCGTGCCATTGCACTCCCAGCCTGGGCAACAAGAGCAAAACTCCATCTCAAAAAAAAAAAAAAAAAATTTAAACATACGCTTAACATATGAGCTAATAATCACAGTCCTAAATATTAACCAGAGAAAATATGTCCACACAAAGATCAAGTGCTTATAGCAATTTTATTCATAATTGCCAAAAACTAGAAACAACCCAAATGTCTGTCAACTAGTAAATGGATAAACAAATTGTGAGGGAGCCATAAAAATGGAATAAAGGAAAAAAACTACTAATGCACGTAGCTACACAGATGAATCACAAATAAATTCTGCTAAAGGAAAGAAGCAAGATACAAAAACTACAAACTATATGTCGCCACTTAAATGACATTCTGTAAAAGGAAAAAATCAGATCAATGGTTTCCAGAGGCCAGAGAAATGAGAGGGGATCGATTACAAAGGGACCCAAGGGAACTTCCTTGGTGTGACAGAAATATTCTATACATTGATTATGGCATTTGTTACATGGCTGTACATATTTGTCAAAACTTAAAGAAATGTACAGCTAAAAAATGTGAACTTTACTGTATATAAATTGTATCTTGGCCGGGCATGGTGTCTCACGCCTGTAATCCCAGCACTTTGGGAGGCCAAGGCGGGTGGATCACCTAAGGTCAGGAGTTTGAGACCAGCCTGGCCAAAATGGTGAAACCCCATCTCTACTAAAAATACAAAAATTGCCTGGGCGTGGTGGCAGGTGCCTATAAGTCCAGTTATTGCGAGGCTGCGGCAGGAGAATGAAATTCTGACACATGCTACGACATGGATGAACTTTGGGGGCATTATGCTAAGTGAAAGAAGGCAGAAACAAAGGGACAAATATCAGTCTACTGATATGAGGTCCCTAGAATGACAAATTCATAGAGACAGATGGTGGAATGGCGGTTACTAGGGGCTAGGGGAAGGCAGGAATGAGGAGTTGTGTAATGGAGACAGAGTTTCTGTTTGGGATGGTGAAAAGGTTCTAGAGATGGACAGTGAGGATGCTTGCACAACATTATGAATTATTTCATGTCGTTCAATTGTACACTTAATAATTCCTAGAATGAAAAATAATAATAATAATAATAATAATAATAATAATAATTCCTAGAATGGTATTTTGTGTTGTCTATGTTTTACCACAATTAAAAAAAAAAAAAAAACAGTCTCTGGACTTGAACTGCATAGGTTCAAATTCCAGCTCTACAGGACAACCGTGAGCAAATTACTAATCTCTATGTCTCATGTTCCTCAGCTCTCAAATGGAGATTAGCAAAAACCCTACCACACAAGGTTGTTGTGAGCATTGTAAAGTGCTTCCAGTGGCGTCTGACACACTACAAGCATTCAGCAAATGATGGCCATTATTATTATGGGCCATGATCCATTATGTGATGCTTTGCTGGAAGTGGTTCCATTTACCTCTTCTACATTTCCATGCAGGTATCAGTCATTCCATTTTTTTTTTAAGTGTACATAGATACTATGTGTGCCAGACAGAACAAATATAAAGTAGAAAATTGGCCGGGCGTGTAATAAAGTAGAAAATTGGCCTGTAATCCCAGTACTTTGGGAGGCTGAGGTGGGCGGATCACGAGGTCAGGAGATCGAGACCATCCTGGCGAACATGGTGAAACCCCATCTCTACTAAAAATACAACAATTAGCTGGGTGTGTTGGCGGGTGCCTGTAGTCCCAGCTACTAAGGAGGCTGAGCCATGAGAATGGCTTGAACCCAGGAGGCAGAGGTTACTGTGAGCCAAGATCATGCCACTGCACTCCAGCCTGGTGACAGAGGAAGACTCTGTCTCAAAAAAATAATAATAATAAATAAAAAAATAAAGTAGAAAATTATATAAGCCAATAATCATCACTGTATTGATTTTTCTGGAAACACTCTCTCCACTACCAATCACAGGTGAGCGCATCGGAAATTACTCAAAGGTGATGTGACTCCAGAAAGAAAAACCCCTCAGATTTGCACAGCTGGAGACGGGCCCCTGGACCAGACCACAGGCTTGGCGAGCCCCGCCCAGGCCAGAGCCGGCCAGACGGCCTTTGTGGCAGCGCGTGAGGGAGGCATACTCACCGATCCAGCATTCCAAGCGTGCACAGGGCGTGGTCTTCACCACATCGGGAGGGTCCACACCAACATTCAGGCACAAAACTAAGGCAACACTGACTGTCTTCATCTGAAAACACAACAGAAAAAAATAAATAAATATTTCAATATGGAACTCGTTTATGTGTTTTTCCAGCTTTTAAAATGTCCCCCAGAACATTGAGCCCCTTCCCTACCCACCTGCCCTCCAGCCAGTCCTCCGCCTGTCACCTGGCTACCCCAGCCCTAGTGCAGGAGTAACGCCCTTCTTTGAAGGCAGGGTTTCACAGCAAAGGGGACAGGTGGTGAGAGGGACGTGGCAGGAAGGGCTATTCTCAGGCTTCCTTATGATAAATCTCCAGAAATGGAATTATTTGATCAAAAGATATAAACATTTTAACGCACTCAATACATTCTGCCAAATTCCTTTGCAAAAAAAATTACACAAATTTACACTCCCACCAGATATTAAACCAGATGTAAAATTCTTGTTATTTAAAACCATCAATCATTTAATGAGAAAAGCTGTCGTATTGATTTAGTTTACATTCGTTCACATCAGTGATGCTGCCTGGTTCTCCTAGAGTGCCTTCACTGCCTGCGTTGTTCACTCTCCGTGGACCATCTACTCACTACTCATTCCTCGTACTTACACTGCGGCCTGGCCACACTCACCTCTCGGCCCTCAAATCCACAGTTCCCTCTGCTGGGAGTTCCCCTCCCCCGGGTCACCTGGCCGGCTCTGACTCTCTCTTCAGATCTCAGTTTAAAGATCAATTTCTTGGGGAGGCCTTCTCTGGATACCCCTCAACACACCTTCCACACTCCCCATCGGGGTGGAGCCAGCTGGGGAACGCTGCGATCACACCTGTCCTTTCCTCCCGGCAGAGCTCCGGCCCATGGATGCTCCTCAGTGGGCTAGAGACTCAAGTCCACTCATTTGAACAAAACCCTGGCCTGGACCAGGTGCTAACTACCTGCTGAGTGAGGGAAGACATGTATTTTGGTACAGTGTTTCTGTTTTACATTGACCCTTTAAGCCGTCTGGATGTTATTCTGGTATATGATACAAGATAAAGATTAATTTTTTCTCATAAAACTAGCCAGTTGTGTCAATCCCTGTTAAATAATCTGCCCCAAACTCACAGGTGTGCACAGATATATGTATTAATTCTCACAGAGACAAAATTCTATTTCTGGGTAATCAAATTCATCCCATTAACCTATCAACCAATACTTCTACTAGTACTACATTAATTTAACTAATTTATCTTTATATTTCATAATACTTGGAAGGGTCATTTTTCACCCTCAAATTTTAATTTTACTTAGCTATTTATATTCACTTATCTTTTTCAAATTAATCAGTTCTTCAATCTTTTAATCCCATTGGGATTTTTATTAAAATTGCACTGAACTAAAATTGCAATGAAGTTTAATTTTAACTTAACGTTAAGAAGTAACATCCTCATAATATTCTATTTTTCTATACAGAACATAATATGGTTCTCCATTTATTCAAATGTACCTTTAACTGTTCTCAGTAACATTTTTATAGTTTTCTTCACGAGTAAGTCCTGTGCCTTTCTTATTAGGATTATTCCTAAGACCTGGTGTTCCATAAATCAGTGGAGCGATGACAGTTAACATTAATTTAATTGACAGTACGGTTAACATTAATTTAATTGAGAGTACATTTCAAGCAGCTAGAAGTGTGTGGTGGTGCACACCTGCGGTCCCAGCTACTCAGGAGGCTGAGGCAGGAGCACCACTTGAGCCCAGGAGTTTGAGGGTACAGTGTGAAATGACTGTGCCTGCCAACAGCCACTGCACTCCGGCCTAGGCAACACAGCAAGACCCCATCTCTAAAAATAAATAAATGAATAAATCATTTTTTAAATACCTAAAGAAAATAATTCGAATGTTCCTAGCATAAAGAAAAGATAGGCTGGGCACGGTGGCTCACCCCTGTAATCCCAGCACTTTGGGAGGCCAAGGCGGGCAGATCACCTGACATCAGGAGTTCAAGATCAGCCTGGCCAACATGGTGAAACCTCGTCTCTACTAAAAATATAAAAATTAGCCAGGCGTGGTGGTGTGCACCTGTAATCCTAGCTACTCCGGAGGCTGAGACAGGAGAATCACTTGAACCTGGGAGGCAGAGTTTGCAGTGAGCCGAGACGGTACCACTGCACTCCAACCTGGGCAATAGAGCAAGACTCCATCTCAAAAAAAATAAAAAGAAAAAAGAAAACGATAAATATTTAAGGTGATAGGTATCTCAATTACTCTGATTTGATTATATGAATGTAAAAAATTATCACCAATAAAAGTATTTTTAATTTTTAATTTTAAGATTTCCAGATATTTCATGAGTGTTTCAGGGAAATATATGTATTTCCCCATAACAGTTTCTTATTGATAATTGCTGATATATAAGAAAAATGGTTAGTTCCTTTACTAAATTCTTAGTTAAATGTAATTGCTTTTTGGTGATTCTTTTCAGGTTTTGAAAGTATACAGCTATATTATCTAAGAATAATAAGTCTGTCTCATTCTTTCCAATAGATCATTCCTCCTGTTTCGGTTTTAGATCTTAGCGTATTGACCAGAACTTCTAAAATAACACTAATAATAACAAAATGATGACAGTGGAGATCTTTGCAGTTGATTTTCATGAGACATAAATGTTTCATTGTTCAGAATGATGCTGGCGACTGATTTTAAGTACAATCTTTATCACATCGAGATAAGATTCTCTATTCAAAACAGAATTTAAAGTTGTATAGGAAAAAGGAAGCATTTTAGTGCCTCCTCTCTTAACAGTTAAAAAAATTTATTAATTATATCACTTTCTTTTTTTGTTTTGTTTCATTTTTGAGGTGGGGTCTCACTCTGTCACCCATGCCGGAGTGCAGCGACATAATCTTGGCTCACTGCAACCTCCACCTCCTGGGCTCAAGCGATCCTCCCACCTCAGCCTCCAGAGTAGCTGGGACCACAGGGTGTGCCACCACACCCAGCTAATTTTATTTGTATTTTTGGTAGAGATGAGGTTTGTCATGTTGCCCAGGATGGTCTCCAACTCCTGAGTTCAAGCGATCCACCAGCCCAGGGCCTCCCAAAGTGCTGGGATTACAGGCATGCGCCACTGCACCCAGCCAATAATATCACTTTCTAAAGGAACTGCATCTCTGCCTCCGTGGATATACTAGGAGAAGAATGTCTTCCCACAGACATGTAACAGAAGCCTCCATTATGAAGCGTAAGAGACAAATGGCCCCTTCATCTATTATCAGGAGAAAGCACTAAAAATCAGAACAACAAAAGTCACTGTATTTAATTAGTCATCCTCCAATATTTAAGTGATCAGTATCCATAATCCCAAATCCCAATTATTGTATAGCAAACTCAGCCTTTGAGGATAAACTGCTTAAAACTAGACATTTCCTGGAAACGTTTCTGTGGTCTTCCTGTGGCCATGGTGAACAGCTGTTAACACCTGCCTCACAACACTTTTAAATCAAGGGTGTTCCTTTCATGCCCTGTAATATGGAGAGGGATTGATTCAAACCCTGGCGCAAGTTCCAAGTTGCTTCCTAAAGGAAGAGGCTGGCTTTGCCTACAGTCATCTGCAGGGTCCCTCTGTGGGAAGGGAAGCCTTCTAATAGACCTTGTGCTTCCCCACAGCTTAACTGGTTCCCCACTGGCTTCTTATCTTGTCCCTAATCTGCAAAGAGAATAGGCCTTAAACTGATGTTAGGCTCCTCTAGCAAAAGCCCGTGGAAGAAACAGCATTAACGGGCCGAATCTGAGACACCCACCTGCTGCTCCCGTGGCCAAGTGCCACCGCCGCTGCCCTGGGGCTTGTCTGGCAGTGCTTTCTCCCCGTTTATCCACATGCTCCGTGCGCCCCAGGAAAAGGTGGGCAGAGCTGTTTTTCTGGGCTGATGTATGCTCAGTAACTTCCCACACAACCCTGTTCTTTCTTGCCCCCGGGAAATTCACAGCCAGGTTTGGGACTCAGTCCCAGCACTTCGGATCAATGGTGACTCCCTGTGCTAGTGCTTATTCCCTGAGCCGTGCAGTGTAGACGCACAGTCCACTTCATCCTTCACCACAGGGACATGAACTAGGTGGTGGCGTTCCCCTCCCAGCGAGGAATCCAGGGAGTAAGGGGCGGCTGCAAGTCCAGGGAGCGAGCAAGTGGGGCAGCCAGGACTAGGGCAAGCTCGCTGGGTGAAGAGGCTCTGCGGCTGCTGGGTCTGCTTCCTCCTCTGCGTCTCGGGGCTGGGGAGGCGGCAGAGGCCGACACAGGGCGGTGATACGGCATTCCCAACACCTCTGACTGATTCCTATTTCTGCTACCTCGGCTGTCATTTTAGACAAGTCATATTCCCTCCACCTCTACAAATGCAGCTAATTAAATTTTTAAAATTTAACATTCTCAGTCAAATGAGTAGCTCTAGTTAATTATAAAAGTATCTCTGAAGATCTCTGAGTCCCTTACACAAAAGTATTAATAGAAGCCCAAGAATCATCCTTTAGTCCCATGGGATGGCTAGGGGCCTCACCTCACTGTGCCTGTCAGCAAGTGTGGTCTTCCTGACTCACCAAATGCTACCTAGAGAGACCATTTCTGACTTCTTTACAGGCCAGCAATAGGAAGGCATGGCCCTCAGCTGGAATGTGTGAAAGTAGCTACACTATACAAAGACAAGAATGAAGACAAGAAATAAATTAATTTCATTCATCTTGTTTATACAATACACACCTAACCCTACATCCTGCATTATACTTTTAAAGAAAACAAGAAAAGCACCTCGCGAATACACTCACACATGAACTAGAACAACGTGTTAGCTCTAATATCTAGCTACCAATTTAACTCCAAAACTGGGCAAAAGACAGTACTATCACATATCCTTAAGCCAAAAAAAATACGTCTTGCTCCTCTGCAGATTTTAACACTGTGAGCCTAATTTCAAATTTGGTAAGTTTTTTGTTTTGTTTTTTGAAACAGACTCTTGCTCTGTTGACCACGATCACGTGCAGTGGCACGATCTCGGCTCACCGCAACCTCCACCTCCTGGGTTCTAGCGATTCTCCTGCCTCAGCCTCCCAAGTAGCTGGGATTACAGGCGCCTACCAGCATGCCCAGCTAACTTTTTGTATTTTTAGTAGAGATGGGGTTTCGCCATGTTGGCCAGGCTGGTCTTGAACTCCTGACCTCGGGTGATCTGGCAGCATCCGCCTCCCAAAGTGCTGGGATTATAGGTGTGAGCCACCACACCTGGCCTCAAATTTAGTAAGTTTTTAAATTCTTAGCTATACCTAAAATGTCTTTTTGGCATTGTATTTTCATTTCTATGGCAACCTCGTTTCAAAAACTCTTGATTAATGTTTTTTAATAACAGTTACAGAATGTTTAAAATGTAAGGGCTATCAAATTTAATGTGCCAAAAACTGCATAATATTACATAAGTTTTTTGACTTTAAGACATTTTCCTCCAATGCAATGTAATTTAAGATGACATCGTTATATCCCCATAGGTTAATTTTGAATTTGAAAAGAGTATCATTTTGAGAAACTATAAAACTATAAATGCTCACTAACAATGCATGGCCTTGGACATGACGGTAAATTTCAATCCCTCCTGAACAGTTTCCTCATCCTTAAAGTGAGGGGGTGGAGACAGATGACCTCTCAGGTGCTAAGGATTTTTCAGATTCTGAAGTTCTGACTCATGACTGGTCTTCCCAGCCATCCTGGAGGCACCCACTAAAGGCTGGAGCACACGCCTAAGGATCCTGTGCCCCGGCTCAAAGATCTCCACGGCACTTTGGATTCCAGGTGGGAGAGGCTGGGGGCCGTCAAGCAGTGGGGTCCTGATGTTATTATAACAGCCTGGGCAGTGTTCTTGATGCTCCTTTGGTGCCAGCTTGGTTTTGAAATTCCACAGTGTTCAGCTTGGTGAAAGGATAATGTGATCCCTCTGCCCCATCTCACATAACACACCCAGGAGGGTTAACACACCCAGGAGGGTTTGGAGCAGCACCCAACACTCACCACGTTAACATTTCCACTCTCCATGGAATCAATCAAGAGTGTCCAGTCTCACCCCAGCTCAGGCCAAGCGTTGCCACCAAATGAGCTGTGGAAATAATCCAGCGTTCAGAGCTTCTGGGTTTCAGAATTGCACACAGGGCCTGCAGACCAGATCACCTCCACTCGAAGGCCTGTAAGCTCAGAGCATGTCACCTCACAGGTGAAAAACCTATTAACGCCTGTCACCTCCCAAAGAATTCAAAGCAAATCACAAGGGATTTCCTTACTAGAGTCTTCCTTCATAACTGATTGGATAAAATCATATATATTTAAAAAGATACAGGTGATCAGGTGGCACAAACAAGCTTGGGTATAAATTCACAGGCTGACGTGCAGTGACACCTAAGTCACCATGCAGAATGAAGAAATTAAACATGTTCAGCAGCCCAATCACTGCCTTCTGTCCCCCACACTGAGAGTGTGGCTCACACTTATCCTCCCAACATCAACAACTGAGAGTTGTGGAAAATAAACACAAAGCAAGACTGGGGCTGGCCACACAGGTCACAACATTCACTATCCCCTGGTTTGTCTGAAGGCAGAGCCACCCAATTCCCGGGAGCGCTCATTAGGATTCACAGCATCAAGCAGAAACTCGGAGCAAAGCCGAAGCTACACAAATGCATAATTTATAAAGAGAGTCAGAAACTAGAACACATAGCAAAGAGAGTAGATATACCTCGCAGGGAAGGGGAGGCGGGTAACCAAGTTGTCCAAGAGAAGGAAAAGCCAGTTTGCCCCTCACTTCCATCCCCAAGCACTGCTACAAAGTGAGCACCAAACCCGCAGGAAGCACATCCAACTGAATTTCTGCAACCAAAACCTGCAGTCCAAAACAAGATCATCATCACCAGCAGCAACTGTGTTAGCTTGGGAGACTCTCTATTTTTATATTCCTTTGTTCATTTCAATGGGAATTGGGAATGAGGGGAGAGGTGCTTGAATCTATGAGCTCAGCTCGTTACCTTGAGCCAGAGGCCTCATTTAGATTTAAGTACTACTCTTTTTTTAGGCCAAATTCTGTCTATGTATCACTGCTTTTAAAATCTGCCTCCACCCCTGTAGAACATCCTGATCAAAAGGAAACGAGAAGAGGAAAATTTCGGCCTCAGGGATGAGGAGGCCTCGCCCACGGCGACCTTCGCACACGTGAGTGCTACAGTCCTCACTTGGCTCACCCCTTCCTGCACCACGCAAACTGCACAAGGGACTTGGTATGAGTTTAGTTCCAACATCACAGACCCTTGAGAAATTTAGATTTCTGAAAGTCAAAATAAGAACTGCATACAAAATAAGTTTCATAAAAGGAATCGTTATAGCTCACTTTAAAGGTGCTAGTTTTATTCTGGGGGAAAAAAAGTTTATTATAGAAACTGCAACTGTTTTGGCCAGGCATGGTGGCTCACGCCTGTCATCCCAGCACTTTGGGAGGCCAAGCCTGGCGGATCACCTGAGGTCAGGAGTTTGAGATCACTCTGGCCAACGTGGTGAAACCCTGTCTCTACAAAATATAAAAATAAATAAATTAGCCGGCTGTGGTGGCACGCACTTATGGTCCCAGCTACTCGGGAGGCTGAGGTGGGAGAACTGCTTGAACCCGGGAGGCGGAGGTTACAGTGAGCCGAGATCACACCACTGCACTCCACCCTGGGTGACAGAGCAAGACCCCGTCTTAAAAAAAAAAAGTTGTAACTATTTTAAGCAAACTAAAGAAACTCCCTTCTTAAGGAATTCCATACTGAATCCTTTTGTGGTTCCTCCAAAAACAAATGGTCAGCCCTGGTGCGGGTGTGTGAAGCCATGCGACTATGCCTGGGGGTCTCTAAATGAACCGCTTCTACCTTGAGGCCTAGCGTGCGCAGCCAGTCAGCCCACCGCCCACCAAGGACTGCGTGAGGAGCTAGGAACCATTTCTTTGCTGTTCTTTAGTCGTCGATAATCCCCAAGGATACTTGTGGGATTTGCCTCTACCCGAAACACCTTATGGGGTGAAATTAACAAAAAAAGAAAAAGTGAAAATAAAAATACTTTGTCACAGAGCAAAAATACGTGATCTGCTGCAGTGCTCTGAGCCCTAGGATTCATTTTTCTCTACACTTACAAATTAATTCCAAGTCATTCAACAGCATAAAATCTAAATACGATAAACTGTATCCTATGGAAGCCTAAAATTCCACGTTGAAGGGCATAATTAAATGGCGTATATTAAACAGTGTTACATGATAAAATAGTATATGTCCTTTACAAAAACATACTTTCAGATTGCAACTGTTGGTGAACTCTGTTGGTAAATGGGTGAACTCTGGGGTATGTGAATTGTATCTCAGTAGAGCTGTTTAAAAAATATGTTCTCAAAGAATATTAAATGGCACAGGACATGCTCAAACATAACTGAAAAGAGGAGGGTACAAAACTGTACCCACAACTGTGATTCCAAATATAAGGTCGTACCAAATGAAAACACAAGATGTCATGAGTGATTCTGACCTCTTCAGAGGAACGTGGATGATTCTTCTTTTCTTCTTTGTACCTGGCCCTTCTGTGTATGCACTTTCCATCTACCATAAACATGTTATTTCTATAAGCATGGGGGGGCAGAAGTGGGGATAAAAATGACTTTACCACAATAGTCAAAAATTTTTTTCATGGTTGTGCATGTATGTCTATACAACTGTTTTTATACCCTGAAGATATAGAAAATAACCTGCGCAGTCAGCTGAAGCTTGGGCGAGTATCCAAGGTAACTAGCAAGCTGGACCGGTGTGAGGAATGTTGTGCTGGCAGTATTGGGCACACTTAAGAGATCGAGTCGTGTTTCACTTACTCCTGGGAACTCTGGTCCTTAAAAACCAACAAATAATTGGTCTTCGTAAAGTAAGTATAGCAAAGGGCTCTAATATTTTTTTTTTCTCCACTCCTTCCCAGTTCAAGATACAAAGTGAAGCCTATTGCTTCAATAGGGCTCAAACGGATCCTCCCATCTCAACCTCCCGAGTAGCTCAGACTACAGGCATGCGCCACCATGTCTGGCTAATTTTCTAAAATTTATTTCATGGAACAAGATTTTCAACTTTCAGGCCGGGTGCGGTGGCTCATGCCTATAATCCCTGCACGTCGGGAGGCCGAAGCAGGCAGATCACGAGGTCAGGAGTTCGAGACCAGCCTGGCGAATATGGTGAAACCCCATCTCTACTAAAAACACAAAAATTAGCCAGGCGTGGTGGTGTGCACCCATAATCCCAGCTACTCGGGAGACTGAGGCAGAATTGCTTGAACCTGGGAGGCAGAGGTTGCAGTGGGCTGAGATCGTGCCACTGCACTCCAGCCTGGGCAACAGAGTGAGACTCCGTCTCAAAAAAAAAAAAAAAAAAAAAGATTTTCAATTTTCAATAAATGGATTGATTTCAAGGCTGTTTAGAGATTTATTTGATAACACACTGGGCCACAGCTTTACTATTCCTGATGCAAATTAAAATTAGCCACATTATCATGGGACTGAGTCATTCATTCAGGGCTAATTTTCCTTCCACTCTTCATTATCCAGCAATATGTTACCCATGGTACAGGCTTCATCAAATCAACCCCAAGGCAAGTAAAAATATGCAGGGCTCCCAGGCAGGCTGAAGACATAAGCCCATGGCATTTCTCAACAGAAAACTCTCAGAATGCTCAGAGCTTTGTTCTGCTTCTGTACCAGCCTTCTGCTTGGGCCAACGCATCTCATGAAGCCGTTCCAAAGGCCCCATAGCTCCAAATAGACGCGGGAGGTGGATTCCAATAACAGAGGCCTGGAAGAAAGGCCTCCGGGCCCCACTGCAGCTGCCACGGCATAAACCTGGCTAAATGGATATTTTCAGGAAGATGACGTCTAACATTAATGACAAGGGCTAACATTTACTTGGGAAGAAAAAGAATGGAGGAAGGGAAATTAGCCAGGAAGCTGTCACGGTGGAATAAGAAGGCCTGAGCTAGGTGTGGCAAGAGTGGAATGGGACAAGGAAGAAAGAAATCTCAATTTCAAAGAGAATAGGTAACAGCATGTGCTGCTAAGTGGGTATCAGAGATGAAAGGCATGGGTGAATCAAAGGTCTTGCACAGCTGAAAACCTAGTAATAAGCCGTCCATTAAGATGCCCCATGGGGAACCACGGCAGACATCTGCCATCTGTAGTTCCCCATAATCTTCTTAACACCTTCCATATATTTGACAATTTCTTATGCTACGGTTCATAGCTTACTAAGGTGGGGAAAAAAAGACTGTGTCCTGACTCCTGCAGCTAAGGGGCCAGCATGTGACCTGGGTTCCTATGATCAGATGCACCTACAAGATCCAATTCTAGACCCTGAGACTCGAGGCCCCCGTTCCACAGGGAGGTGAGCACCCTGTGAGCTGTGTGGCAGAGGCACCTGGCTCTTCAGGAGGCGGTGGCAGGTCTTCTAGGACTCCTCCACTGTCTCAGTTGCTCAGCAGCTACAGAAGCCCCCTTGAAGCCTACCATAACGTCAGGGACCGGCTCTCGGGTCTTCTGGAGATCCTTGGCAAATCCCCTTTCTATTTAACCTGGCGGGAACAGACTCAGATATTTTCTCCGAATGGCTTTTTCTGCCATCTACGTAAGAATGATGGCTTAGCAAACCTCACCTTAGTAAAATAACGTCAGAACTCTCCCCATGACCCAACTATTCAAAGGAATCCTAAATGAGGAATTACCGCAGGACAAGGCCAAAGGTGGAAGGAAATATCAACGTGAAATAACAAATAGCAACACTGCAGTTTCCTCCAAGTCCTGGTGACGAAGGCAACAGCACACGCAAGTATCCTTGGGGATTATCGACGACTAAAGCAGCTGTCGGCAAAGCGAGCACTACAATAAAGTCCATGGTTCAGAATTTTACAAAATGCAGAGTGGCACATGCATCTTCCCTGGGTGCTTCAAAGCCTCTCTTGGCTACAGATTTTAAGATCTGAGCAGTGAGATGGTTTCTACAGCCTGCTATTCACTACACATATTTCTTCTTGACATTCTTGCAATTCTAATTGCCCGAAATATTTTTTCTTTAACATTCTCTATCTGGTCTGATCTCATGAAGTTGAGAGAAACACGTAACATAAAACAAGGAAGGCCACATTTACCACCACAGAGCTCCATCTGAACAGGAAAACCTCACCTACAGACACAGGCCTGCAAAGGCAACGCAGAAGCCAACACAGGAATCAGATATTCTGAAGGAGCCACCTAAATCAGAAATATTTTCTTGATATAGTAATTGTTGACAAAAATTCAAGCAGAGCCTTTCAATATTTGGATTTTTTTTCTTTAGAAAATAAATTTCAAAAATGGCATTCTTCAGGAAATATTTCAAGCATGAGACAAGGTGAGGCCTCTGAAACACTGAGGACAGGCCCCCTTCTCGGGGAGGCCACTTTGCTGTCCCCACAGGCTGGCCTGAGCACACCTCTGGGACCCCCAACCGCAGCATGTGGCTTGGTGAGTATGTGTATTGGGGGTGGGCTCCCCTGGCTCTGGGTGGGTCTTCCAGGCCTGGCTTATCTTTGAGCCCCCAGCACCTAGGGGTGCTGACATGAAGAGAGTGTCCAGCCATTTCCTTGTCAGGAAGGGACAGGACAATGAAAGGCCCCAGTGGAGTGCAGCAGTGTCGCCGGGGAGGCCTTCCACCAACACCAGGAGGAAAGCCAACCTTCTTCCCAAGATCTGGGGCAGGAATCCACTCAGCACGGCCACATCTGGGTGCAGAGATGATGCTGCGATAGACGCTTCATCGTGCTCCACAGCCACTTATCCAGAACACGCGGCCCAGCCCGAGTCTCAACACCGCTTCATTCAACAACAGAGAGCACCTGTGTCCACACAACACGTGGCCCAGCCCGAGTCCAACACCACTTCATTCAACCATAGAGAGCACCTGTGTCCACACAACACGCGGCCCAGCCCGAGTCCAACACCACTTCATTCAACAACAGAGAGCACCTGTGTCCACACAACACGCGGCCCAGCCCGAGTCCAACACCACTTCATTCAACCATAGAGAGCACCTGTGTCCACACAACACACAGCCCAGCCCGAGTCCAACACAGCGTCATTCAACCATAGACAGCACCTGTGTCCTGTTAGTTCTTGAAAGTGTCCATATATGAATGTTACTACATACTAAATATAAGCACAAGAAAAGAAGTATGAAGAGACAGAGATTCTGAATGTTCACTTTGAACGTCTTCATTAAATGCTTGTGGCATCAGAGTCAGGTCCTGGGGCTGCGGTGCCCTGATGAACAAGATGTGCCCTGTCCCTTCCAGGGACAAGAGACACACATAAGTTTCCTTCCAGAAATGCCCAGAGTGCCACAGATCTCCCAGGAAAGACTTAGAACTAACCCTGTCTGACAGCACTGGGGAAAGCTTTGCAAGGCAAAGTGTCACTCGAGTCTGGAGAGAGAATTCACAGGCAAACAAGAAGTGACGGGCCACGGAGGCTGCCAGGAGCAGAGGCAGGAAAGTGGCCAGGTTCTCCAAGCAGAGCCAGCAGGACTCTCGGACAGGATGATGATGATCACTGAAGGCCACACATCACACCAGGGCAGGGGGGCCTTCATCTTACAGGAGATGCATCCAAGGGGGGACCCTGGCTCTGTGGACAGACGCTGATGCTGACGGACTATGGACTTTGAGATGCTTTAGGTTCTTTTTATAACTATACATACACGCTTATATATTTTACTTTCCCCTTAAAATTTCCATCCACATTATGGCCTTACATCTTTGACAAAAGTTTTGTTTGTTTGTTTTTGAGACAAAGTCTCATTCTGCCTCCCAGGCTGGAGTGCAGTGGCGTGATCACGGTTCACTGCAGCCTCAACCTCCTGGGCTCAGGTGATGCCCCCACCTCAGCCTCCCAAGTAGCTAGGACCACAAGTGGGTGCCACCACACCAAGCTAGTTTTTTTGTATTTTTTGTAGAGACAAGATCTCGCTATGTTGCCCAGGTTGTGACAAATGATTTCCAAATCAGTTTCAATTAAAAGTCGAAGAAGAGTATTTACACCTTTCTTTGTACATAAGACACAGGCTTCAGAGAACAAATGAGCCACAAAGCAAAGGCTGAAAATCAGAATGGCTTCAGATAATTCGACACTGGAAGCTAAGCAAGTCAGATTTACAACACAGAATTTAATAACTAGACAATCAGTTATGTGTGAAGACAGAGTAAACATTAAGATTCATATATTAGGCCCAACAGTGGCTCACACCTGCAATCCTAGCACTTTGGGAGGTCTAGGTGGGAGGATCTGTTGAGCTCAAAAGTTCAAGACCAGCCTGGGCAACACAGCAAGACCCTGTCTCTACAAAAAAATTTTTTAATTAGCCAGGCATAGTGGTGCACACCTGTAGTCCCAGCTACGTGGGAGGGTAAGGTGTGAAGATCACTCGAGCCCAAGAGTTAGAGGTTACAGTGAGCTATGATGATACCATTGTACTCTAGCCTGGGTGAAAGAGTGAGAACACTTCCCTTAAAAAAGATGCCTATTTTTAAAACTATCCTATTTTAGAGTGAGAGCAAATCTTCTAAGTTAAAGACTGATCACTTCCTGGTGTAATGCAATGTGAAGTCATCAACAACACTTATGAAGCGTTCTTGCCAAAAAGACTTAATGTGGATACAATCAAACCTCTAGATTGAACTTCCAGTTTGCAGGAAATGCAGGGAATGAAAAGACAAGTGAAATGATGCCATGAGGAAACACTCAGCAAAACCTAAGTGGGACATTCTCCAACACAAGCAGCAGGACCCTTCCACAAGAAGTCTGTGTCATTTACAGGGGGGGAAAAACCTCTGCATTTAGAAAAGACTAAAGAAACAAACATAATGAGTAGATTTTGTTTTTTTTAAAAAAAAAAAAACAGCTATAAAAGATGTTATTGAAACAGCTGAAGAAATTTCAATATAGACGAACTATTTAGATAATATTGTGGAAGTATGGTCAATTTTCTTAGGAGTGATATTGGTATTATGGTTAGACGGGTGAATGATGTTTGAATTCTTATGAGATGTGTGCAGGAGTATTCAGGAAGAAAATCACTAGCCAGGCATGGTGGCTCACTCCTGCTCACGCCTGTAACCCCAACACTTTGGGAAGCCGAGTTGGGCAAATCACTTTAGGTCAGGAGTTCAAGACCAGCCTGGCCAACATGGTGAAACCCCCTCTCTACTAGAAGTACAAATAAAAAATTAGTTGGGTGTGGTGGTGCGTGCCTATAATCCCAGCTACTCAGGAGGCTGAGGCAGGAGAATCACTTGAACTCAGGAAGCAGAGGTTTCGGTGAGCAAAGATCGCATCACGGCACTCTAGCGTGGGCAACAAAGTGCGACTCCATCTCAAATAATAATAATAATAATAATAACATGTGCTACTTACTTTCAAATGATTCAAAAACAAACAAAAGTGTGACAGAAAGAGCAAATACGACAAAATGCAAACAAGCCTTGTGTCAAAGTGGTGAGTGTGAGGTGTTCATGGTACCATTCTTTCAGGTCTTCCAATTGTGTGAAAAGTTTTCAAAATAAAGATTTGGAGGCAATCTGCATTGGAAAAACAAAACTGACCACAAGACTCCCAGGAAAAATGCAATCTATTGCTTGAAATTAGTTTCCAGGTAATAAAAAGCATTTTACTTTCCAAGAAAGGACAAGATCGAAAACCCATTATATTAAACAGACTGCACATATATCTGCACTCGAAAATTCAGTTGGAAAAGCAGACGTGCAACAATATTCAAGTGTCTGACACATTATCTTCCCTTCATGCTAAATTGGTGTCTAAGATGATGATACCTTCAGTACGACAGAAGTCAAAAAGAACTTTCTGGGTTTTCTTTCCTTCAAGAGAAGCACTCTAACAAGTCAGGGAGGGTATCACTTCCTCTGGGCTTCTCCTGGTGGGTGGCACGGGGTGCTCCTCAGGGTCTACTGTCGTGGAGATCATCCCTAGGTTCAGCTGAAGGATCACATCAGGAAGTTTCCCTTCCCATTCACTCCCACTCAGTGAGAGCCGCCCAGCAAGAAGCACCCGGGAGTACAGCCACGAGGCCATCAGCCTTCTGCCCTTTCCTCAAGCACAGGGTCCCTATTAGGCACCTCCACACCAGTTCATAAACGCCCCCTGCACCATTACCTGCCCATACCATGGAGACAGCAGGCAGCATCTCAGCCCCGTCATCTCAACTCCCTGAACCTTCTTACTAACAAGACATACTTGCTCACCGTAATGAGCTACAGTAATTGACAACCATGGGAATGCTACATATTCCATGAACACAATTCAGACGTGTTTTCTGTCTATATCATCATAATGTTGTATAATCAAGCTTTTGCTGCATGTACCAGGAACAGGAAATGAAAGGTTTCACATTTTGCTGGGTGTATAATGAATGTGGTAAAGATGAACAAATGCAAGGAGGGAAGGAGAAGGAGAAGGAGGAAGAGAAAGAGGAGGAGGAGAAGAGCTGGAGATAAAGGAGGACGCAGAGATAGAGGAGGATGAGGAAAGGACAGTAAACCAATAAATGAAAAGAAAAGCAACTCTATGACCATTAGTTGAAGTCGAAAATGAGAAAACCTTATTCTCTCCCTGATGGCCAAGGCCCCATAACCCTCAGGACATGCCCTTGACGTGAGAACCGACTTGCTGGAAGGCCTCGTTCCAGGACCCAGCAGGCACTGCAGGGGAATGTGCTATCTACACCCTGGCCTACACTTTTCAATTGGCTAAATGTCAGTTGTAAGCTACCATTTTCCATTTACCCTTTAAAGTCTATTACCACATGCATGTAGCCTACAATGGCTCTCTTAACACACACACACACACACACACACACACACACACAACCAACACCTTAAACTTTTTTTTTTTTTTGAGACAGAATCTCGCTCTGTCGCCCAGGCTGGAGTGCAGCAGTGCAATCTCAGCTCACTGCAACCTCCACCTCCTGGGTTCAAGCGATTCTCATGCCTCAGCCTCCTGAGTAGCCGGAATTACAGGCGTGCGCCATCATGCCCGGCTAATTTTTCTATTTTTAGTAGAGATGGGGTTTCACCATGTTGGCCAGGCTGGTCTCGAACTATGACTTCAAATAATCTGCCCACCTCAGCCTCCCAAAATGCTGGGATTACAGGTGTGAGCCACCCTGCCCAGCCAAATCAAATGATTTATACACATCTCAAGACGTATCAACATTGTTTTCTGGCTTAAACTACTAATCTGGAAGCTTCCAGCCACTAGCAGTCGTGAAGCTACTTAACTCAGTGTGAAACCCACCATCTGCCAGAAGGAAGAATATTAACAGCTAGAACGTTTACTGCAGTTCCTGGACAGAGCGTGTCATTTCCAAATGCCTCTTCCGACCTGCGCTGCTCACAGTGCAGAATTCTGTGGGCCTGAGAGCAGAGCACCCAGCACAAACCTAAGGAAAGGTCTGCACGCCGCATGTGCTCCCCGCCCCCTGCAGCCCGAGGCAGGCTAGTGATGCCCTCTCCACACGGGTCGCGCTGTGCTCTCCATGCTTCCCTGGATCTGTTAGGGCACCTGCAGCATGGCCACTTCCTCCTCCCAACTCTCTCCTCTCCTGGCCTAGTGCCTCCTGCCCACTCTGACTTCTTCTTGTCATTGTAACACCTCCTAGGTCAGTAAAAGGCATTGTTCATTCCCGACTCTCACATTGGGTCAGCAAATTTTGCGACTAATAGGCGTCTGACCACCCTCAGCTTCGTGCTCAGTTATCTGCAGACTATAGCGGTTCCATCTGAACCACGCGCAGAAGCACCTGTTCCCGCATCTGCCCAAGGGCACTCAATAAACACCAAAGGACTCTGAAGACCAACACGGTCAAGACCAACACGGTCAGCTACTGCGGGTGGGCCTCAGCGCACCATCACCAAGAAGGGGGGAAAGTGCCCCGAACATGCTGGACTCAGCAGGCGGCAGTGGCCCTGAGAAGGCAGCAATGCACCCAGCCTTTGTCTAGGCACACAGACCTAGGGTGGGCCACGTCCCCACACACTTCCATCTGTCGCCTCAGTCACGTCCGTTAACCTCTCTGAATCTCAGTTTCTTCTCTTCCTGATACCCCCACCGCCACCTACTTCAGAGGGTTGTTTGAGGGCCAAAGAAGACGTAATCTGGATTATCGGTGACAAACCTCTAATGAGATTAGAGTATACATTGTTAGAAAAAACAACGGCTGTAAAGACGGCAACTCCAATGATGGCCCACAAAGTTTTCCATGCACTCATAGGGAAGACCTCGAGAATATTCTGTTATATGAAAAAAGAAAATTGCAGAATAATGCATATAGAATATTACTTTTCTCCTAAGGAAAGGAGGGAAATGAGATCATAAATTCCTATTTGCTGCCATTTGAACAAAGTGGGAGATGGACACAAGAAAAGTCGCTGTCACTGTGCTGCGCCGTCGGGCAGGGGCAGGTGGCAGGAGTGGGGGAACCCTGCTCAGTAAACTGAAAAATGAGAGAGTCTATCACTCTCAAAATCAAAAGAATTAAGTGACAGCAAGCAAAAATCTTAAATACAAATACACTGTATCATGAAACCCAACATTAGCAATACACCGTCAGCAAAACTACATCCTTTTGTCACATTAAATTAATTGTGTTCATTTACTGCCTTTGTAGTTGGACTGAATTTGTATGTTTGGGATTTACAGCTGCACAAAATTCCTCTAACCATAAGGAATTTATGCCTAGCCTTGGGTTTTATATGTTTAAGTAGCATTATAATAAAAATTATGTATACATATTTTTACCTTCAGTACGGGGTTTAATTAACTTTAAAAAATTGGGGAGCATGTGGGTGGTGGTGCAGGTGGTACAACGAGCAGGTACCTGATGAGGACTGCAGCTCCAAGCAGCAGGTCCAGCCCTCATCCTGCAGCACCCAGTGCTAAAAACTGTGGCCAAATTTCTCTAAACAAACAATGTCAAAAAATCGGGGAGATATAAAAGCAAAATGAACTTAAAAATAATTATATATATATATATATATAAATGGCATATATACACATATATGCCATTAAAAACTTTAGGGAGATGAGGGACAAAACATCAGTTTTAAAGGAGGCATAGCTGAGTATAAATCCTGATCCAACCACTTAGTGGCTAGATTAGAAAGCAGGACAGGTTACAGAAACACTAATCAACTAGTAAGCTAACATATACAGAAGAGCAATATAAAAGATACTCTGAAAACGATTGATACATGACATTAAAACCACTAAATGATCCATTTTTTGAACATTACCAAAACTGTGGTTTTAGATCCAAAACTACCTTCAGTTGTAAATAAAATCTGGTACTGCCAACAGCTACAGAGTAATAAAATGTTTAAATAGTTTTCAGGTTGAAGAAAGCTGGGCGCGGTGGCTCACGCCTATAATCCCAGCACTTTAGGAGGCTGACACAGGAAGATCACTTGAGGCAAGGGGGGCGTTCAAGACCAGTCTGGGAGACAGAGTGAGACTCCTCTTCAAAAAAAAAAGTTGAAGGATGCCCTAAGACCGTGGGGTCTGAGCCTCACATGCATGCACCTCACACTCAGCTGCTAAGAAGTAATGTGTGGGCGCCTTCATGTGCTGCATCTGTAATACGACCTACTGTAGATTCATTTTTCTTGTTAGATAATGCATCCTTAACCTGAGTAGCTCCCTCTAGAAATCTCAAGTTGAATTTCAACCAGGGAATGGCCCGATTCATTGCCTGCTGATTGCTAAGAGGTATGACTTGTAGGTAGATATGCAGTGCAATTAAACGGATACTCACACCCCCAAAAAGAACTTTAATGGATGGATGGATGGATGGATGGATGGCCAGACGGAAGGGTAGGTAGGTGGTTGGACAGACAGGTAAACAGTAGTGAACAAATAAATGGACAGATAAGTAGACAGATCCATTCAGACAGAAGATTGAAATTTGCCCCTGACAAATGATTTCCCACAGTGTCATCACTAAAACAAAAATCAGAAAAATACAAGAAACAATAGGACCACTCCCAAAATCCTTAATCAACTGCTTCAATCAAGAAAAGGTAGGGTGGGAAAAAACTGTCAATCACTTTAAAAATTGCTACACAACTGCATTCATTTTTAAAGATCAGGTAAAAAATTTTCAAAAGCTAACGGAAACCTCCTAAAAAGTTTACTGGTACCAGGAGTTCCAGACCAGCCTGGGCAACATAACACTCATCTCTAAAAGAAACAAAAAATAAAAAAATTAGCAGGGCATGATAGACCACTCCTGGAGTCTCAGAAAGCCCTGTCTCAAAAAAAAAAAAAAAAAAAGGCCAGGCACCGTGGCTCATGCCTGTAATCCCAGCACTTTGGGAGGCCGAGGCGGGTGGATCACGAGGTCAGCAGATCGAGACCACCCTGGCTAACATGGTGAAACCCCGTCTCTACTGAAAATACAAAAATTAGCCGGACATGGTGGTGGGTTCCTGTAGTCCCAGCTACTTGGGAGGCTGAGGCAGGAGAACGGCGTGAACCCGGGAGGCGGAACTTGCAGTGAGCCCAGATCGCACCACTGCACTCCAGCCTGGGCGACAGAGCGAGACGCCATCTCAAAAAACAAAAACAAAAGTCTATTGGTAAGAGACACGCATAGAAAACACCACCACCACACTTGATTCACCTAGCACCTACCAACACCTCAAGCTTTACATAATGACTCACATTTCCAAAACCTAGATAATGAAGGACAATCAGATCCAGAGCTACACCAGTGCCCAAAGAGCAAATCCACCCTCCGTCTGACTCAGAGCTCCCTCTTACTGCACAGCTAGTCCGTGCCTGAGACATAACGGGCATTCGTCATGAGCAACTGAGCACAGATGGGTCTGTGACTGCCTCCCATGTGTCAGGCACTGTGCTGGGTGCTTTGCATTTTCAAATAACCTGGCAAGGTGTATATCACCAGCTCTATTTTACACCTAGGAACTGTAGCTCTGGAAGAGAAACGCCCAGGTGGTCTAGGCCTCACTGGTACCCAACTCTGTTTTGCAGCCGGTATGCCCCATTTGTGTTGATGATCACTAGATAAGAGACTTAAGACTATGCACTTCCTCTCGGCCATGGTCCAGAACTGAGACACGGTTTCCTCAACTCATCACGGACACAGTAACGGAAAAACCCTGCGCAGGCTCTCTAGCTCCCAGCAGTGCATTTTCACTGACTCTCACGTATCACCTGCTCTGTCACCCACCACCTCCCCACCTTCTTTTTTCTTAATGTAAAAGAAATAAAACCTGAGAGGTTATACACCTGCCATCACAAAGCCCCTCTCCCAGTAAAAGCAGGAGGATGAGAGCACATCCACTGCTGTCAGTCACTGCTCTCCTCAACACTGAGTTCAACGAAACAGCCTTTCTTCCTTCTTCACCCAGCTGAAAACTTAACTTTGAGAATTAGCAAAACTGCCCATAAGCCCCGAGCCCCAGGGCATCTGAGTGCTGGTGAAACATGGGCCATCCCACAGGACATGGATCGTCTTAACCGTCTTGGCCATACCTTACTCCAACCCATAAGAGAAAATCAGCCAGGTGTGGTGGCTCCCACCTATAATCCCAGCACTTTGGGAGGACGAGGCAAGAGGATCACATGAGCCCAGGAGCTAAAGACCAGCTGGGCAACATAATAAGACCCACCCTCTCAAAAAAAAAAGGGGAAAAAAAAAAAGATATGACTTGGCTCTGTGTTCTCATCTTGAATTGTAGCTCCCATAATTTCCACGTGTCGTGGGAGGGGCCTGGTGGGAGGTAATTGAATCGCGCGGATGGATCTTTCCTGTGCTGTTCTCATGATGGTGAATAAGTCTCACAAGATCTGATGTTTTTATAAAGGGGAGTTCCCCTACACAAGCTCTCTTGCCTGCCACCATGTGAGACGCGACTTTGCTCCTCATTCACCTTCTGCCATGATTGTGAGGCCTCCCCAGCCATGAGGAACTGTGATTCCATTAAACCTCTTTCCTTTATAAATTACCCTGTCTCTGGTATGTCTTTATTAGCGGCGTGAGAACAGACTAATACAGGAGGATTTTACCTTCTGGACCAACAGGGACAGCATCGTCAGCAACCCTGCTCCTGGAACAATTTTCTCCTGCTTCTCCTGTTCCATCAAAAGACTAACTCATTATTTTGTCCAAAGATACTATCTACATTTATGAAGACTGAGAAAGTTACTTTAACCACTTTTGTAATGCAAAGATATTTTATAGGTACTTAATATTTAATTGTAATTCAATGATGTTCTCACAGAAGTAACTCTGCCAGCATTCTGTATCTGCACAGCACATAAGCTCAGAAAAGTTCTGTTTCTATCCAAGTTAACATACAATTCTAATAAGTTTTTTCTTGCAACATACCTGCTACTTCCCCTTTGTGACTACAACTGTATTATACTTCAGCACTTGGTTGAAAATAGCTGATTGAAAGTGGTGATGTACATGTCAATATTCGCTTGTTTTCAGGTTTTTATTCCCCCGTCTGTGTTTGAGAGACATTAATCAGAAAGGAAAGGATAAGTTGGTATCTGTGCAGAAGAGGGTTAAGAAAGCAGGCCCCAGCAGCCCTCCTTTCAAAGCCCTGCTTACAGGGGTGGCCCGTGGCTGGGGTCTGCGGACTTGGATTTCTGGAGGATTCCCACCACCCTAACTAGTAAGTGGGGTTCGCTGTGCCTCAACTGTTTTCCAACAATATGGTTTATGCTGAATGCCTGCTTTCCTGCCAGAAGGCTGGGATTTTGGCAAAGGCTACCTGTCACCAGCCTCCAGTAAAAACCCTGGGGGCTAAGTCTCGGATGCGCTTCTTTGGCTGGCAACATTTCACTACCTTGTATTGGTCTACCTTGTTCTGGGGGAAATTAGCCCCTCCTGTGAGCCTCCATGGGGGCGGGGCTTTCAGAAACTTGTGCCTGGTTCCCTTCAGACCTCACCCCATGCACCCTTTCGCCTAGCTGGTTTTGCTTCGTTATCTTTCTACTGTAATAAATCATGCCCATGAGTATTAGATCCTGAGTCCTGTGAGTACTCCCAGTAAATCCTGGAAGCAGGAAGTGGTCTTGGGGACTCCACCCAGCACCACATTTGCACAACCAAACAATAATCAACTTTTCACCCCTCGTTCCCTTAACCCTTCAAAGGATGCACCAACCCCCACGAGCTTCTTGCAAAGCGCGCAGGGTCAAACACGCGTGCTTTCCCAGTTCCCTGAATTCAATGCGTGTTCGCACTTAGTACAAATTAGACCATCGCCTAGATGTGAAGCTCCCAGAAAAATCACCTTTTATGCCACGACCTCCTCATTCTGAGCTCTCACTGCTTTAGCGGTTTCTTGATAGGTTTCTCTTGGTTTGACAACAAGATAAATTAGATTTAAAATTATTTCCAATTTTACTCAACGAAGTCTACAGGTTACATTGTCTGGGTAAAAGTGAGATTAATCTTATTGATAAAGATGTTTTTCATGACAAAAATAAACAGCATGATGAGGGAGACAGGCGCCAAATCCAGCCACCATGAATAGTTCCTACTTTCCACCACTCATCAGAAAAACATCCCTAAACCATGTGAACACGAGAAGTACAAAGAACCCATCTGGGATGATCATCCAATGGACAACCCAAGAAAACTCAACTGTCCTTTTCCTTTCCAACTTGGACCCGGCAGAATGGCTCCCGCAGAAAAGGATGGCGAGAAGAAAAACGGCCATTCTGCAATCAGCGAGGTGGTGACCCGAGAAGACACCATCAACATTCACCAGCGCGTCCACGGAGTGGGCTTCATGAAGCGTGCCCCTTGGGCACTCAGAGAGATTCGGAAATTTGACATGAAGGAGATGGCAACTCCAGATGTGTGCATTGACACCAGGCTCAACAAAGCTGTCTGGGCCAAAGGAATAAGGAATGTCCCCTACCGCATCCGTGCGTGGTTATCCAGAAAATGTAATGAGGATGAAGATTCACCAAATAAGTTCTATACTTTGGTTACCTATGTACCTGTTACCATGTTCAAAAATCTACAGACAGTCAATGTGGATGAGAACTAATCGCTGATCATCAAATACATCAAATAAAGTTATAAAACTCCCCCCCACCAAAAAAAAAGAAAAGAAAACTGAACCAGCCCCTCTGCCCGGCCAGCCGCCCCGTCCGCGAGGGAGGTGGGGGGGTCAGCCCCCCGCCCGGCCAGCCGCCCCGTCCGGGAGGGAGGTGGGGGGGTCAGCCCCCCTGCCCAGCCAGCCGCCCCGTCCGGGAGGTGAGGGGCGCCTCTGCCCGGCCGCCCCTACTGGGAAGTGAGGAGCCCCTCTGCCTGGCCAGCCGCCCCGTCCGGGAGGGAGGTGGGGGGTCAGCCCCCCGACCGGCCAGCCGCCCCGTCCGGGAGGGAGGTGGGGGGGTCAGCCCCCCGCCCGGCCAGCCGCCCTGCCCAGGAGGTGAGGGGCGCCTCTGCCCGGCCGCCCCTACTGGGAAGTGAGGAGCCCCTCTGTCCGGCCACCACCCCGTCTGGGAGGTGTGCCCAACAGCTCATTGAGAACGGGCCAGGATGACAATGGCGGCTTTGTGGAATAGAAAGGCGGGAAAGGTGGGGAAAAGATTGAGAAATCGGATGGTTGCCGTGTCTGTGTAGAAAGAAGTAGACATGGGAGACTTTTCATTTTGTTCTGCACTAAGAAAAATTCCTCTGCCTTGGGATCCTGTTGATCTGTGACCTTACCCCCAACCCTGTGCTCTCTGAAACATGTGCTGTGTCCACTCAGGGTTAAATGGATTAAGGGCGGTGCAAGATGTGCTTTGTTAAACAGATGCTTGAAGGCAGCATGCTCGTTAAGAGTCATCACCAATCCCTAATCTCAAGTAATCAGGGACACAAACACTGCGGAAGGCCGCAGGGTCCTCTGCCTAGGAAAACCAGAGACCTTTGTTCACTTGTTTATCTGCTGACCTTCCCTCCACTATTGTCCCATGACCCTGCCAAATCCCCCTCTGTGAGAAACACCCAAGAATTATCAATAAAAAAATAAATTTAAAAAAAAAAAAAAAAAGACTGAACCATCTTCACCAACAGCAGCAAAACCATAAAATAATCTGCCAGGGAAGTTTAAAGAAGGCTGGGATGTGTGGGATGAGAAGTTCTGCCCATCTGCGGGGCCTGACCAGCCATCCCTGGCACGGAACCTGCGTGCCCCTGAGATGTGGGAGAGCGGCCCGCCGGCGCTGCGGCTGCACAGCCAGGTCCCCAACCCTCAGTGATGGCCAGCAATCATTTTCTCCTTCCTGCAGGGGCAGGAATTCAGGAAGGGAAGGGAGGGGACACCCTGTCTCTGCTCCACAATGTCCGGGTCCTCAGCAGGCAAGATGCAAAGGCCGGTGATGGCTCAGTGGCTGGCACTGGCACCACCAGAAGCTTCACCACTCACACATCTGGCGGCTGACAGTGGTGGTCGCTGTTAATGAGAAACCACCTCCTCCCATGGCCTCCTCTGGCAGCCTCTCCGATGGGGCTGGTCTTGGGTTCTGAGAGAACCAGGTGAACGGTATGTCGTCCTCAGCACACCAGCCAAGAGCGCCATTTCCCATCCAGTCACAGCCCATCCAGATCCAAGGGAAAGAACAGCAACTTCGCCTCTCAATGGGAGGCGTTTCACAGTTACACTGCAGAGAGGGCACGTGCGGCGGGAGACGCTGCTGCGGTCATCTTGGGAGGCGTTTCACAGTTACACTGCAGAGAGGGCACGTGCGGCGGGAGATGCTGCTGCGGTCATCTCTGGAAAATACGATCTGCCACTGTCCATCCTCTGGCCACCACACGTCACATCCTCCCACATGCAAAATGAACCTGACACCTCCCCAGGGCCCCCAAGGCCTGTCCGATTACTGCTATCAGCTTGAAGTCTGGGGTCTCGTCACCTAAACCCTGCCCAGCTGAGAAGCCTGTGTGCAGGAACATGCAGTTCCTCAAGTCCACCCCTCTTCCATCCCCGTTCTTCCCAATCCAGGTCTAAAGAGCTGACCCAGACACACCCACACCCCACACACAATGTCCCACCCAGGACAGCCACTCGAGGCAGGCACACAGCGCCAGCACCTCCATCAGGGCTCTGTCCTGGTACCTGGGGCTTGTTTTCTGGGATCTCAGCTCCGCCTTCTCAGATATACTTCATTTTCCATGAAAAGTACCCCACATTTACAGCTGGGTGATTTTCACAGCCTGCTTCCTCCTCACAGAAGTCTGGGGGCCCAAAGACTTATTTTCATTTTGTATTGCCTCTGCTCCTTTCAGTCCAGGCAGACACATAATTTCTTTAAAAACACTTGGTGGCCTTTTTGTGTATTAACTCATAATCTCCTCCATTAGACAAGCCACACCCATAAAGAGACAAGCCCTTTACCTCCTGGGCTCCCAGAAGAGGCTGTGGCATGACAACGCCCTTTGGACTCTTAGAGGCCAGACGGGATTTAATGCAAGAATCTGCAGGCCTCTCCTCCAGCTGAAAGGCCAGACACTGCACTTGGATCTCAATCTGAAGCCTTAGGAACGGAGCTCACAGCCCAGTCCAGATGCATTTTGCCGGAAGCCCTTTCTTCACTTGAGGAGCCTGGAGAAGAGGCTGGGAATGAGAAACAGTCTTATTTTTGAACCCAGGAAGTCCTCTTCCTTTACACCAAGGAGAAGCCAGGTGGCACTTTGAATTTTCTGCCTGGAAATCTCCTAAACTAGATGAGCAAGTTCATTAAATACACACATACTTTCCTCTTTCCCACAGCAACAATGACACCAGGCTTCCCACCACCACCTAACAAGGGGCCCCTTTCCTCCAGCGTGCAATGACACGTTCCCTCCTTTCCTTCCGGGGTAGGCAAAAGGCAGCCAGTAGGCCAAGCCCAGCCTGCTGAGGACCAAATCCAGGGCACCCATGTGGTGGACACCGTCTGCAGTGCCTTCTCACATTGGCAGAGTAGCAGGGACAGTCATCATGTGCCACCCACAGGCTAAAATACTAGACCCTATTACCTTCTAGGAGGCCCTTCAGGCAGCCAGCAGCACTCTCCTGGAGGCCCGGAGGCTTCTGCCCAACACCCCATCCCAAAGCCAGAGCTGCAGGCATTGGGATTTGATTATGGCCACACCTGGCTCCAGCTTCCAAAACATGTTCAAGTTATCCACTGCTGCTTAACAAACCTCCCTTTACTTAGCAGCACAAAACAATCATTTCATTATGCTCACAGGTCCCATGGTCAAGAATTAGGAAAGGGCGCCACAGGTCTCAGGGGGCCTCAGCTGGGAAGACTTAAGTCTGGGGGTGAGTGTCTTCTGGGGGCTGGAATCACTGCATGGTGGCTCACCTTCACAGGGCCTCACCGCATGGCTGCGGGGTTTCCTCACAGCACACGCCCCAGCAGATCCAGGGGAGAGCCTTTTATAACCTGGTCTACAGTCCCGAGTCAGCCCAGATTCAACGGGAGGGAACAGGGACCCTACTCACAATGGCAGAAGTGTCAAGGTCACATTATAAGAAGAGCTTGCCTGTGGCCATGTGAGGACAACACCATCTGCCAGCTTCCCGGGGGGCTGGGGTGGGAGGACTGCATGAGCTCAGGAGGTTGAGGCTGCAGTGATCACAACACTGCATTTCAGCCTGGGCAACAGAGCAAGACCCAGTCTCAAAAAGATAGATAGATAGATAGATAGATAGATAGATAGATAGATAGATAGAAAGAATCAAGAAAGTTTAAGGTCAATAAGCAATACAAGCCTTTTCTAGCGTCTGAACAGTTAATGTATAAGCTGTTTTACTGAGCAGCTCTTCTGGATTCTACTGTGACGGTATCAGCTTCATGTCCGGTGCCTTTCACATCCCCATTCACTGCTCCATGCAGGGAAAACACAGATTCCACATGTGGAAAGAAACCAGTTTGTCAGCAGGATCACAGAGCTGCAAGCTCACGAGGCCCTCCAGAAGCCTCGCAGACTGCGGCAGAACCACCCTGCGCAAAAGATCAGCAACTTGGACTCAAGGCTCTTGGGCATCTGCAAATGCGAACGTTCCTGAGGACTCTCTCACCCCAAAAAACTGCAGATGACCTTCACATTTTTAAAAACCTTTTTGTCTCCTAATAAGAAGCAATGACCATCTTAGAATACAATATCAAAAACAGTACAACCCAGAAATCTGAATTGATTCTTCCTCCATCCATGAATTGCCCTGAAAATTACATTTGTTATCTTGGGCTGCCCCACACCCCACCACTTCTATTAAATAAGTTGTCAGAGCCATTAATTTCTTTCTAGACGCCTCTCTGCTGTGGTCTCTTTACCTTCATCACCATTTCTACTCCTCCATGTTGAAATGGCATCATATAGTATCTGGAATTCCCATCATGCTTTGGGTGACCGTATCCACTGGTCTACTTCCTTCCACACGCCCCACATCTCAAGCAGACGAATCTTTTTTTTTGAGACAGGGTTTCACTCCGATGCCCAGGCTAGAGTGCAGTGGCATGATCACGGCTCACGGTGGCCTCAGCCTGATGGACTCAAGAGATCCTCCCACCTCAGCCTCCTAAGTAGCTGGGACTACAGGTGTGCACCACCACACCCAGCTAATATTTTTAATTTTTTTGTAGAGATGGCATTTCACTATGTGGCCCAGGCTGGTCTTGAACTGCTGGGCTCAAGGGATCAACTGGTCTCAGCCTCCCAAAGTGCTGGGATTGCAGGTGTGAAACACCACATACAGTCAGATGAATCTTTAGGAAAAAAAAAACCAAAAACAAAAAAAACATGGCCAGGCACAGCATCTCACACCTGTAATCTCAACACTCTGGGAGGCCAAGGCAGGCAGATGGCTTAAACTCAGGAGTTCGAGACCAGCTTGGGCAACATAGTGAGACCTTGTCTCTACAAAAAATAAACAAAAAATTAGCTGGGTGTGAAGGTACATGCCTGTAGTTCCAGCTACCTAGGTAGCTGAGGAGCCAGGAGCCAGAGGTTGCAGTGAGCCGAGATCGCACTGCACTCCAGCCTGGGCAACAGGGTAAGACCCTGTCTCAAAAACAAACAAAAAGGATAAGAAAAAGAAAAGAGAAAACAAAGCCTATCTTTCACCTATTTAAAACTTTCACTGCTCCCCATTGCCTTTACAATATAAGGTTGAGATTCCTTCACCTGGTCCCCAGGCTACCGCAGTCTGGCCCAGGGATGAGTAATTTGAGTCAAGTTAGTCATCCCCACCCAAGCCATGCAGACACTCACACAGTTCCATGAAAAAGCCATGCTCGGTTTCCTCTCAAAATCTCTGTGAACACCCTCCCTAAACTCCGCATTCCCTGTCCCTTCTCTCAGCCTTCTTCAAGTCCCAGCTCAAGTTCCATCCCCTCTACGAGGCTCTCCCAACCATTCTGCACCTCTCCTACTGCCAAATGCCGAGGCTTGAGCTTGGTACTACGAGCTTCAAGGTTTAATCACAGCTGCCTTCCCTTTCTGTGCGTCCCTGTTTTAGGTGTGCTAGTCCCACACTTGGGGTTCCAACCATATGAAATGATGCTGTAAGCTTCTTGCAAACTCCCTCCCATGTCAGACCAAATACTGCCAAACAAAAGTCAGCACACAATCAACACCTGCTGAACGAATCGGCTGTCCAGCACTGCCTCCCAAAACAGCCAGGAATACCAAAGCTCCAGGCCTTAAAAACAGCTGCTAAAATGCCAGGATCTAAATCCTCTTTTAAGAGGAAATTACATTTTGCTTTGAGGAAAATATGTGACAACCCTGTGGCGTGGTGGTGAGTCCCTTCCTGATCACCACCACTCCACTTCCAAGCTAGCCTCTCTTTGGATCCATTGAAATAAGAGAAAAAGGTGTTATTTTATCAAGGCCTTATCTAATGAGATATTGACATCATCAAAATTAAAATTGCATCAGGTTTTCTCCAAAATGCTTTCTAAACAGGGGTTCCTAAACACCAACACCATCATCAAGCATAAAAGAATAAAAGAAAAAAGTTACACAACCTAATAAATAAGTAAAATAGAAACCTTGGTATCCTTCTCCTGATCACAGAGAACCACTACATATGATCCTATAATTAGCCATAAACCCTGCACACCCCAACCTATGCCCACAAATGACTAGCCCATAAGAGGACCCACCACTAAGATAAACATTTAAAAAAAAAAGTCGAACCTAATAGTGCCCACTATCCTTTGAACGATTAGGGGAAGAGAGCACAAAGGGAAAATTTAACCACACAGTGTTACAACAGGTTTAACCAAAAAGATAAACACAGTTCTTTTAACACAGTTCTCTCTGACTTAGGTTTCTAACATTTAAAAGGGTTGATAGGTCAATTTTCTTTACTTATTGGTTCCAATCTCAACCAGGAAAATGTGAGCATGAGATCAAGGCAGCAAAAAACCAATTTTCTTAAAATAAAATGTAAATATTAATCATAGAAAATGTAAACAAAATAGCTGCCAAGTTAATTGCTTCTGGAGGACCATGTTTTCCAACGTGCATTTCTTCACAACATATCCACGCTAATAAGCACGTTCAATCTAGGACGGCTCATCTCCCTAGCCTTTAGTTTTAAATGGTAATAAAACAAAAACTACAGTAAGAGAAAAGTTGTCAAGGCCTATCAACTTGTATAGGTCCATTTAGTAAAGTCCCCAGGGATATCCTCAAAACACTGCATCCCAAACAGCATGGCAGGTGGTTGACGGTCAAGACTCCTATAAGAAGAATCAAAATAGCCTGGCAGTACCAGTGAAAATATCAAAACCAAAGCCACACCCCACCCCCCTGACAAAGGGCAAGCACATGTACATAAAAACCCTCCTGCCACTGGGCACGATGGCTCATGCCCAAAATCCCAACACTTTGGGAGGCCGAAGTTGGAGGATTGCTTGAGCCCAGGAGTTTGAGACCAGCCTGGGCAACACAGAGAGCCCTGGTCTCTACAAATATTTTAAAAACTAGCCAGATGTTGGTGGTGCACACCTGTGGTCCCTGCTACTCAGAAGGCTGAGGTGGGAGGATCACCTGAGCCCAGGAGGTTGAGGCTGCAGTGAGCCATGATCATGCCACCGCACTCTAGCCTGGGCGAATGAGCGAGACCCCATCTAAGGGGGGGGAAAAACCCTGTCTGCTAAGATGACACTGCCCAACTCAGCAGATCACAGAAGCAGCCTGTGTGTAATAAAGAACAGGCACGTCCTCACAATGGAAAGCCACAGTGTTTTACTGCAGGCTTCAAGACTTCTATCTGCTGTGCTTTTGCTTTTTTTCTAATAGAACTAGATGTTTAAGAAAAAAGCTGGAGCTAGTGTAAAGGTTGATTTCCTTGTAAACAATCAGAAAATCCATCTGCATGCTCATTGTTACACTGCAGTAGAAACCCCAAAATCAACCCACTTAATAAGGTCAACCCATCAATTAATACAGGAAGAAAAGAAAGTGAAAGGGTTACCAATGAATTCATATGCTCCCACCCATTCCCCGTCTCTCTCTCTCTTTCTCTTCTCCCTAGTGCCCATTCTCTCTCCCTCTCTCTCTCTCTCTCCCTTCTTGTTCCCCTTAGCCCCCATTCTCTTTCTCCCTCTCTCTCTCTGACTCTCAGGCACACACATCAGCCCAGGCAGTTACTGAACACTTTTAGAAGGAGCCTCCTGTCTCTAACCTCTGAAATATGCATAAGCCAAAGTAAAAAAGGGATTCGTTGTCACAAGAACAGATGTTGCAGGGGTTCATCTCTAAGCTTCATGGGAGAAATCCTACTCACCAACTGGCAATTTACCATGGAGCCACAGTGCAGCCACTGTTATTAACATTTGCCACACTTGAGAAATAAAGGAAAAGAAGAGCCACCCGGTGATGGATATTTTTAATTAAAACATTCCATTTTCAGTAATGGCTGGTTCTCTCTGCTGAGTTCTAAAGGCTTTATTCTTGTGCTGTGCTCACAGCCTGACGAGCTTCTTCACACACAGAGCACATATGTTCTGAGTGAGGCAGAAGGAAATCCTGCAACAGCGTTGCTCCGTGCAGTTCACATGGCTAAGGGGATACAGTTCTGCACAAGTGCAAGGACTTCGTGGAAAGCATAAGATTCCAAGAACATTGACAGAGAAAGTCCACCTTTAATAGTAGAAACGCTGGTATCGAACTCAAAACTCAAAGGTCATTTCCTACGTTTAAAGAACTGCACGGCCGGGCGTGGTGGCTCACGCCTGTAATCCCAGCACTTTGGGCGGCCAAGGTGGGTGGATCATGAGGTCAGGAATTCAAGACCAGCCTGGCCAACATGGTGAAACCCCATCTCTACTCAAAATACAAAAATTAGCCGGGCATGGTGGCACGCACCTCTAATCCCAGCTACTCGGGAGGCTGAGGCAGGAGAATGGCTTGAACCCAGGAGGCAGAGGTTGTGGTGAGCCGAGATCGCACCACTGCACTGCAGCCTGGGTGATAGAGCGAGACTCTGTCTCAAAATGAAAGAAAAGAAAAGAGAAAAGAGAAGAGAAGAGAAAGAAAGAGGAAAGAAAAAAAGAAAGGAAGGAAGGAAAGAAAGGAACGAACGGCAATATCACTAAATGCTTCCACTTCTATAAACCGGTAGTTCTCGGATTTTTCAGTCTCAAGGTCCCTTCACACTCTTTAGAATCACGGAGGAGTCCAAAGACGCCCCTTCCCAATTATCACTACCAAATGTTACCATGTTATACATTGAAATGAGGGTCTTCTCATTTGTATTAATTCATTTCAAATTAACAATAAAAAGCCTGTTACAGGTTAACATGAATGACATTTTTATTAAAAATGAAACTATTTTCCCAAACAAAAAATTTTAGTGAAAAGAGTGGCAATGTTTTTCATTGTTGCAAATCTCTTTACTGTCTGGCTCAGGAATAGAAGTCACTGGATTCTCACCTTTGCAATTGTATTTAATCTGCTGTAATACATTGATTCAACTGAAGCACAGGAAGAAAATCCAGCATCACATATGGAGCTGCACATGTATACGTAGTCTTTTGAAATAATTGTCAGTATTGTTTGATACACACCAAAACTCCACAAGCGGTTTGTTGGATAAGGAAACTGTTTCAGTAGCTTTTTCATACTCTGTTACATTGAGACCCTCTGTCCTAGCTGGTGCTTGAAGTGGCTCTTTACCCACACATGGTGTTGTAACAGCACGCACTGGTCATGTGGAAAGATGGGCTCACCGAGCTGTGCAGAGCTCTTCTGCAGCATCAAACACACCCAGCATGGCCGCCGCGGTCTCATCAGAACAGGCCTCAGAACAGGCTGGTAACCTGACAAGTTCACCGTGGAAGACACAGGTTTTTTAAAATTCTAATTTAATTTACAGTTGAAAGCTCAATTTTTATCACTGGCAACAATTGCCATCAGTTGTTTTCCTTGAAGTGACAAGCTCACTTCATCCTGTCTCTTATTCTTTCAGGGAAAAGCAGCATCCCACGGGGAAAACCAACAGGCCCCTCCCGGATCCCACTAGTGCCTGTCCCTCAGCAACCAGCAGATCGCAGTCTGTGCAAAGGCACTCAGTGGGGTAAAAACACGTGCAGAAGGGCCCAGATTTGACACAAGTAGTGTGTTTTTGCGGCCAGTTATGAGGCTATCATGGATGCAACGACTGGGTCAACTGGGAGCCACTAAGACTCCGACAGCACTGCCCGCCATTGCGCCCGCCATCAGTGCAGATCCAGGCGCCAGGGAAACGCAGGCCTGTCCTAGCAACCGACCTCACAAACCCCCAAAAGGGTCCTGAAGACCCCCAGGATACTACCAGCATGGTTTGAGAACTGAACTACACTAAATTTGTAGGAATGTGAAGACATACTGCACCAAATTTTCTGTATTTATGGCCAGCATCACGGGAATACTTAAATGTTTCTAGGCCCTCTTTACCCAAATAAATCTCCCATTCTGTTAGGACACTAAACAATCATAGAGATAAGTGAAAATTACAAAGCTCCAGCTTACTGAGATCCACTGGGCCACAGAGAACAGTTAATGAGCTGCCCAATAAAAGTATCCTAAACGAGCTTGCTGAACTGGGCAGTCATATCCTGTTCCCTTCCCAGATGCACACAAATCCAGAACCTGTCCTCCCACCGCCATCACACCCAGGGCAAGCCTCCAGCGTCTTGCCCCTGCACTAGAGCAGCCTCTGAGCACTCTTCTCCCTTCCACTCCTACCCCTACGATCCCTTACTCTAGTCTCTTAAATATAAAGCAGATCACAACACCCCCTGCATGAAACCACACAGCGGATCTCTAGCACACCTGAGTTGTATTTAGTTCCTTACCCAGGTCTGCAAGCCCAGACACAATTTAGTCTAGGCCTCTCTCTCCTACCTAATCTACTGCTCTCCTCCTCACTCACAGCTACAGCCAAACCAGCCTTCTATTTCTGAACTAGGCCACACTCGCTCCAGCCTACTTCAAATGAGAGAGACAAATAAAACCCAGTGGGAAAAAGCAAAGCTGCACTGGGAGGGAAAAGTATAGCCATTAATACAAATGTAAGAGAAGAAAGAAAGCTGAGGATGAGTAAGCATCCATCACAAGAAGACAGACCCAGAGAAAGTAAAAGGAAGGAAGGATCCAAAGCTGACAGAATGAAAGCAAACAGATAACAAAGAAGATCCACAAAGCCACAAGCTGGTTCCCTGAAAAGAACCAGCCTCTCATGCAGTGACTCTCAACCTCTATTTTATTATCGCCCAATCTTTCCCCTAATCTTTTCCCTAATCCCCCTCCCATGAAATGTTGACATCGCAGGTATATGATGTTTCTGTTTGTGCACTGCACACACTTCTGTGCTTTATTCATAAAAAGCAACATTTTCACTATCATCCCCATGCCTGCTCTAGTAAGACTAATCAAGAAAGAAAGGCTGGACACGGTGGCTGAAGCCTGTAATCCTAGCACTTTGGGAGGCTAAGGCAGGTGGATTGCCTGAGCTCAGGAGTTCGAGACCACCCTGGGCAACAGGGTGAAACCCCATCTCTACTAAAATTACAAAAATGAGCTGGGTGTTGTGGTGTGCGCCTGTAGTCCCAGCTACTCGGGAGGCTGAGGCAGGAGAATCACTTGAACCCAGGTTGCAGAGGTTGCAGTGAGCCGAGATCACGCCACTGCACTACAGCCTGGGTGACAGAGCAACACTCCATCTCCAAAAAAAAAAGAAAAAAAGAAAGGAAGGAAAGAAAGAACAAAACTCTGTCTCCAAAAAAAAGAAGGAGAGAAAGAAAAGAAAGAAGGAGAGGAGGGGAAGGGAACAGAAGGGAAGGGAGGAGAGGGGAGGAGAGGGGAGGAGAGGGGAGGAGAGGGGAGGAGAGGGGAGGAGAGGGGAGGAGAGGGGAGGAGATGGGAGGAGAGGGGAGGAGAGGGGAGGGGAAGGGAAGGGAGGGGAGGGGAGGGGGCTGGGCAGGCAGGCAGGCAAAACCACGGTACAGAATTCTAAAAGAGAGAACTATCCACATTGACAAGAGGTGACTTTGAACAACTCTATGCCACTAAACTTTTTAAGTAACAAAGAAAAAGACAAGTACTAGAAAAACACAACTCACCAAAACTGACTCATAAAGGCATAGAAGACATGATAATCATTTTAGAAACAAATCATAATTTAAAAAAATCATTCCACAGAGAAAACTCAAGACCCAGATGAGTAACTGGAAGTTCTACAAATCTTGCTAAAAGCCAGAGGCAGAAAAAAAATAGAAAAACACTCCTCAAACTCATATTTTTGGAATAGCATGACCTTGGTGTTAAAACCCAACAAAAACTGTACAGGAAAAAATTACAGGTCACTTACTTTAAAAAAAGAGTTACAAAAATATTAAACCAAACCCAGAAATGCATAAAAAGTGTAGACAGATTATACCTGAAATGCAAGGCAGCCCCAACCATTAAAGACACTGTGTGCACGCATGTGCGCATACCTGCATGCCTCCTTCACCATGCTAACACACGGCCCAACCATTAAAGACACTGTGTGCACGCATGTGCGCATACCTGCATGCCTCCTTCACCATGCTAACACACAGCTCAACCATTAAAGACACTGTGTGCACGCATGTGCGCATACCTGCATGCCTACTTTACCATGCTAACACACGGCTCAACCATTAAAGACACTGTGTGCACGTGTGTGCGCATACCTGCATGCCTACTTCACCATGCTAACACACGGCTCAACCATTAAAGACACTGTGTGCATGCATGTGCGCATACCTGCGTGCTTCCTTCACCATGCTAACACACGGCCCAACCATTAAAGACACTGTGTGCACGCATGTGTGCATACCTGCATGCCTCCTTCACCATGCTAACACACAGCTCAACCATTAAAGACACTGTGTGCACGCATGTGCGCATACCTGCATGCCTACTTTACCATGCTAACAAATTAAAGGAGAAAAAGCATATGATCATCTTGATAGATGCACAAAAAAGCATTTACTAAAATTCAATAACCACTCATTAAAGAAATAACGCTTATAAGCAAGAAAGAAACCTTCCTTAATCTGATGGAGATTGCCTACGAAATTAGCTCAAAAAATCGTATTTAATAGGGTAAATGTGTTCCCCTTTGGGATAAGAAAAAAGTTAAGGATGCCCCCACATTTATTCAACACTAGTCCTGGTCAGTGTAGCACAGATAGAAAAAAGAGAGAAAGTATAAAGATGGGGTAGGAGGGACTGTCATTATTTACAGAAGACCATGACTGTGTTTATAGAAATCCAAATAAATATGTGAATATTCAAATTAAAATATTCTGTAAGGTTGCTGGATACAAATCAGTCGATTGAAAAAAAACAAAACGAAAACTGTATACTGCATTCCTATGCACCAGAACAAACAACACACAATTTCTAAGACTCATCAAAATAGCATTTTAAAATTCTGGGAATATATCTAACAAAAGTATCTAAGAATAAATCTAACAAAAGATGTGAAAAACTTCTACATGAAAAATTAGAAAAATTAATATTGAAAAGATGTCAAGTCTCTGCCTAAATGATCTATGGACCTACAGATATGATTAAATCACAATCAAAGCCTCAATATGTTTTTCTGCCTCTCAGTGAACTTGACCCACCGATTTTAAAATTTCTATGGAAATGCAAAGGGACACAGGGAGTCAAGAAACTCTGGAGGATCCAAATGGGGAGATGTGCTTTTTCAGACCATCAGCAGCCACAGAGACAGGAGTGTGAAGCTGGCACACAGAGAGAAGTACCCCCGGAACAGCACAAAGGGCCAGAAACAGACCCAGGCGCGTCTCAGCCCTTAGTTCCCGCAAAGACGGCCTGCAGAGGAGTCATCATAGTCCCTGCAAGTGAAAGGAGCTGGGACAAATTAAAATTCATATGCAACAGAGCAAAACTGGGCCCTTACTTCATACCATATGCAAAGCCAATGCCGGATGGGCCATAGACTGGCGTGATTATTAATACATGGTAATTATTCATCCCTAGGACTGCCCTGGGCACACAGGGACTGGCAGTCACCCTCGTTAGGGACCTAAATGTAAAAAACAAAACTATGAAGCTTTTAGGGTACATTATGGGACAAAATCTTGACCTTAAGGTTGGAAAATATTTCAACACAAGCATAAAACACAGGGAAAGCACTTACACATTAAACTAGAATAGAACTACATATTTCTGTTTATCAAGAGAGACCATAAAAAGACTGAAATATTGCATCACAGAGATGTTTCACAGGACAAGAAATGTTCCACATATAAACACATTTTAAAAGGACGTTATCCAGAATGTTTAAAGAATTCCTACAAATCAATAAGAAACAATACAACAGGAAAAGGGCAAAAATCCTCAACAGGTACATCACAAAAGATCCTAACAAAATCACCAGTAAGAGTATGAAAAGGTGTGTAATTTCATTAGTCATGAAGAAAATGAAAATGAAAAACAGAACTTCCATATAGAATCCAGCAATTCTGCCTCTGGGTATATATATCCAAAGGAATTGAAATCGGCATGTTCAAGACACATCTGCATACCCATGTTCATTGCAGTGTGGTTCACAATAGCCGAGATATGGAATGTACCAAGGTGTCCAACAAAAAATGAGTGGATAGGCCAGACGTGGTGGCTCACTCCTGTAATCCCAACACTGGGAGGCTGAGGAGGGCAGATCACCTGAGGTCAGGAGTTTGAGACCAACCTGACCAACATGGTGAAACCCCATCTCTACTAAAAATACAAAAATTAGCCAGGCGTGGTGGTGAACACCTGTAATCCCAGCTACTCAGGAGACTGAGGCAGGAGAATTGCCTGACCCCGAGAGGCGGAGGTTGCAGTGAGCCGAGATTACACCACTGCACTCCAGCCGGGGCGACATGGCGAGATTCCATCTCAAAAAAAAAAAAAAGAATGGATAAAGAAAATGTGATATACATGCACCATGGAATACTACTCAGCCATTAAAAAAAAGAAGGAAATCCTGTCATTTGCAACAACATGGATGAACCAGGAGGACATTACGTTAAGTGAAATAAGCCACAGAAGGACAAACACCACATGATGTCACTTACATGAGAAATCTAAAAAAACGAAACTCACAGAAGCAGAGTAGAATGGTGGTCACCAGAGGTTAGTGGGTGGAAGGGGTAGGGGAGATGTTGGTCAAAAGGCACAAGCCTTCAGTTGGACAGAGAGTAAGTTCAGAGATCTACTATGCAGCATGCTGACTATAGTTAATAACACTATATATTTTAAAATTGCAAAGAGATTGCAAATGGTCTCACCACCAAAAAAAAAAAAGATACATATGTGTGGTGATGGTTGTTAATAAGCTCGATTTAATCATTCCCCAATGTATATATCTATCAAAACATCACATTGTATCTCATAAATAAATACAACTTTTCAAAGTCGGGGCCAGGGGGAAGTAAATTACAGCCATGATATAATACATACCCACAGGAATGAACACAGTAAAAATGCGTAACAGTGTGGGCCGGAGTGTGGTGCAGCAGAAACAACCTCAGCTAAAACCCAACCCGATTACTACGCAATTCCACTCCTAGGCAACTACCTCCCGAAAATCCACACAGGTGCTAACCAAAATTCATATATAAAAACACTTATAGCAGCACTATTCATCATACACACACACTGGGCAACCCAAGTGTTCGACACTGTATTCAATGGCTCACGACAACAGCAAGAATAACCGCCGCTACACACGGCAACAGAATCGATCTCGGGTGTCTTACAAGACACAAAAGAGCGCAGATACTATGATAATGTTTATATACGTTTCCACACCAGGCAAAGCTGTATTATTTCGGGGATGCACAAACAGTTGATAAAACTGTGAGAAAAGAAAAAGGCAAGCGAGTGCATGCTGCACAACCAGGAAAGGGGAACTGCGGGGGAGGCCAGAGGGGCGAGCGGGGCTGCGCCGGGCCGGTGAGGCGCCCCGTCTGCACCCGACAAGCCCCGTGTTGTTTCTGGATATTCCACCGCATACTTGGCTGCGCGTCCTTCTGTACACACAGCACATTCTCGAAGCTTACAAAGGTCGAGAACATTGCTGACGTGGCCCATGACCGGCTCGTGTGTTCATCCGGCAGACGCGGAGCACAGCTACATGCTGAGCATGCTATGCAGGACCTGCTTGCCAGCGAGCCCGTGAAAATCCAGTCCAAGGAACAGGAACAGCTATCACACATGGCAAAAAGGCGAGAAAGGCCATGAGAAACATATCAGGTTAGTAGAGGAAAAATCAGACGTTTGGTCCAGACCCTAAAGAGCTGCTGGTGGCATCTGAACATTCAAACTCGGGACAGACTTGGAGTAGAAGGAACGGACACCGGCGTCCCTGACCGTGATGGGCAGGACAGGAAGCTGCAGCGCCCGGGGCTGCTCTTCAGTTCCCGCCTGGCAGCTGAACCACAGGCCCCCATGGCAGAGGGGGAGGAGAGAGGGGAGGGCTGCCATGCCCGGACCCTGCCCAGCCAGAGCGACACAGGCAGAAACAGGAAGGCGGGTACCAGAGCACCACCATGGCCCAAACTTTCTTACTGCTTTTTTCCTTTTAATTCTTTGTTACTTTTTTGAAACAGAAACTGAAGTGTTGAATTTTTGGCCAAATGGAAAGTGGAGTGAAAAACAGACACCCACATCTTTGGAGGCAACTTTCCCCAATCCATGACCTGTGATCACGACGTGGTTACTACATACAGGATCACGGGGCAGGCAGGAGGCACCAATCAGTCACAAGACTCAATTTACCAAAATCTATGACAGCCCAAGTGTGGATTTTTGTCTCTCAGGCTCAATTTCAGAGAAAAATAGGCCTGTATAAAACTAGCATCTGTGGAGAGATCAGGATGGGTTGAAGTAGAAGTTAATATATGGCTTCCCAGTTGAACCAAACAATTAAATCTATGCCAGAAACGGGGGATTGATGCCCTCACAGACTCGCAACATCCTGCCTAGCGGCCCCTCCATCTGCCTGGCTGCAGAGCGCCTCCCGACAAACTGCAAACAACATTGTGACAGATGTGGAAATGTTAGCTCACGGCCACCACTGAGAACGGGGCTCAGAAGACCTCGGAACAATATTTAATGCGTTGTATTGAGGAATTCTGAACAGAGAGTGTATATACCTAAATTATAAAAGGAAGCAGACTTAGAATGAGTATTTTTCATAAATACTACAAATTTTGAACCTCTAGCCACTACAGAATTGGTTTAACAGGCATTCAAATACTTTAAAACCCAAACCAAAAATAATATAATTCCTAAATTAAGTATACCTCCAGGCTCCTCTTCATATTACACATTATAAAATCTAATCTATATATAAGTGGCTCCAAGTAGAATTCACTTTGAGAAGCAGCACTGTGCCTAAACTATGCAACTGCTTAAGGCACATAAGCCTGAGCGACGTAGCAGCGTGCACACTCAGGACCACCCTACGCAAGTGCTGTGCACCGTGTGCCCGGGGCTGTAGGACCCAGGGCCACCCTAACGGGTGCAGCAGCCCTGTGCGCCTCCACGGCACTGAGGAAAAAATAATAAACCGGCCAGCCGCGGTGGCTCACGCCTGTAATCCCAGCACTTTGGGAGGTTAAGGCGGATGGATCATGAGGTCAGGAGTTCAAGACCAGCCTGGCCAACATGATGAAACCCTGTCTCTACTAAAAAATACAAAAATTAGCTGGGCGAGGTGGCGCGTGCCTATAATCTCAGCTACTCAGGAGGCTGAGGCAGGAGAATCGCTTGAACCCGGGAAGCGGAGTTTGCAGTGAGTCGAGATCGCACCACTGCACTCCAACCTGGGCGACAGAGCAAGACTCCATCTCAGGAAAAAAAAAAACAAAAATAATAATAATAATAATAATAATAATAATAATAATAAACCAAAGCACTGAAACAAGAACAGGATATTATAAAACTAACCACATTCTTACATAATTTGGTTTTAATTCAATTTCCAAATGGCACCCCTCCCTAGCTTTCTACAGCTATTCACATAAAAGCAAAGTCTCATTTTCTTTCAGAAAAGTGTAACAGAGTTGGGGGAAAGGATACAAAACCCAGCCATAGCCAGCTCACGCTCTTTCTATATTTTATGAATCCATACAAATAATATGTGGCTTATCTTAAATGTTTGAGTTCTGGTAACATCTTGCCAGTGAATACCCAACACATCCAAGATCATTTATTTTAATAAAGCCTCATAACTCACCAGCTACCACAGCCTCGATTTAACTCAAGGATCAAAGCATAATTCCCATTTTCTCATGGTAACAATGTTTCTAAGTGGCTAAGAGATAAAAGCAGTAAACACATGATGGCGTCCACGTTCCATCCGGACAGGCCCGTGAAGCTGAATTCTGCGGTGGGCCAGTCTCAGATAAGGGGAAGCCCCAAAGAAGTCAAAAGGGGAAAGGTTGTGGGAAAAATGAAACACAGGAAAAGGACTTTCTCTGCCATTTTATTGAGACATGGTAAACGGAGTAACACATAAAGGAAAAATCGCACTCCTGGCAGAGTCTTCCCTCCATCCGCAGATGATGATTCTGGAGGTTTTTATAGCAGTGGTCCTCTTTGTTCTCGGTGGTCAGGAGAATTTCCACAGGGCTTTTTCCCAGAAGAATTCCACTCATCTTGAAAGGCAGTTATTTATGAGTCACCTTATAAGGTTTAAATTATTATTTTTTCATTTTTTTTTAGCTCCCCTGAGTTCTGACCTTAAAAGCTCAAAGAAAAATTCAGCACTTCACAACCCTCCTCTGAAACCCCCAGGTGACTAGTTTCTCTAGAGCTCTCAGTAAAAATCCAACACACAGAAACTAAAAACCCCATCAAAGTGCAATTCAAGTCAGGACACTGATTCCCCTTCACTGCTGAGAAAGAACTCAGCATCAGATGACAACACTCAAGATAAAAGCGGGGGTCTCCTCGGCCTGGCTCAGCCCGCACTGCCTGGCTCCAGCTCCCTGCTGGGTCCCCCTGCGCCATGCCCCTGACCTCTGCAGAGCAGGCCCCACAGCCAGGTCTGGGAGCAAACAACCAACAGCACCTTCACCGCCTGCAGCCACAGGCAGCTGCCCGAGGACAGGAGGCAGAGGGTGACCACTGCAGAGCTGGGGGACACCCTCCGCCACTGCCTCAGTGACATGGACACCTGGGCAAAGGTCTCTTTCTCCACTCATCATGGGCCAAATAAGAGCACATTAGGTACCCCTTGCCTCCTCCTGACCAACGGCAGGGCTGGAGGCAGCTGCACCTGCATATCATCGGAGAGCTGATTCCGGGGGTGCATTCTCGTTTCTACTCTACAATAGCTTTCCTCAGGGGAACCTGCAGCACTTTCCAGAGACGTCCTTGTTATTCCCCCTTCACTACCGGGTTGGGAGGCCAGTGGATGATCCTCACAGTACAGATGAAGACTGAAGGCAAGAGGCGGGACGGCTCCCGGGAGCATAGGTGCTGGGCCCAGAGGTAGCACAGGCTCCTGCCAGCCCTCAAGAGGCCTCCACCAGCTCACAAGGTCCCACGTGGGACAGGCCTCAGAAAGAGGCAGTGAACAGCTGGGCGCAGTGGCTCACACCTATAATCCCGGCACTTTGGGAGGCTAAGGCTTGCAGATCACTTGAGGTCAGGAGTTTGGGACCAGCCTGGCCAACATGGCAAAACCCCATCTCTACTAAATGTAGAAAAATTAGCCTGGCATGATGGTGCCCACCTGTAATCCCAGCTACTCAGGAGGCTGAGGCAGGGGAGAATCACTTGAACCAAGGAAGCAGAAGCTGCAATGAGCGGTGATCGCGCCACTGCACTCCAGCCTGGGCAACAGAGCAAGACTCTGTCTCAAAAAAAAAAAAAAAAAAAAAAAACAGGAAAGAGGCAGTGGACAGGGACCACAGTTAGCATTTTCTAACAAACAGCTTGGTTGACAACTGCCTTTATGTGTACTGAAAGTATAACTGAGAATATTTAGCCAGGCGTGGTGGCGCATGCCTGGGGTCCCAGCTACTCAGGAGGCTGAAGTGAGAGGATTGCTTGAACCTGGGAGGTGAAAGTTGCAGTGAGCCAAGATCACACCACTGCACTCTGTCAAGCCTGGGTGATAGAGTGGGACCCCGTCTCAAAAAAAAAAAAAGAAAAAAAAAGAAAGAATAATAGAGACTAAAAATTGTGAAAAATTTTTCTAATAGATTTAAAACAGCCCATTTGGCCATGCGCGGTGGCTCACGCCTGTAATCCCAGCACTTTGGGAGGCTGAGGCGGGCGGATCACGAGGTCAAGAGATCGAGACCATCCTGGCCAACATGGTGAAACCCCGTCTCTATTGAAAATATAAAAATTAGCCAGGCATGGTGGCGGGCGCCTGTAGTCCCAACTACTCGGGAGGCTGAGGCAGGAGAATCGCTTGAACCCAGGAGACGGAGGTTGCAGTGAGCCGAGATCACGCCATTGCACTCCAGCCTGGGCAACAGAGCAAGACGCTGTCTCAAAAAAAAAAAAAAAAAAAAAAGCCCATTTGTCTGACCGCTGTCACCCTCACACTCAAGCATATGTGTCAGATGCACACATGTATGTGCGATCAGAGAGGGCCGTGCAGCTCAGGGAAGCAGGATCTGCGTCCACACAGTCCAATTGTTCAGGGAACAGAAAAGAAGTGGTTCCAACCTGCTGGGTCTGCACTCAGGGACTTGGCAACAGTGCTCCTTTTATTCACATCAATCACAGTACACACGCATTCTTACCCCACCTTACAGGAAACTGATGTTCTGAGTGTTTAAAGGTTCAACCCATCTAAGTCCACAAGCCAGGAATCAGCTGAGCTGTCCTCTGAATCCAGGTCCACCTAGTAACCACGCTTCCACCACAAGCATCTTTCCAGCAACATAGAAATCCCGTGACATCCTGAGAGGGGTCATTTAGTTCCTCCTGGAATGTTCAATGAGTGAGATGAGGCTGTTTGTCCCATGGCAGTGTCCACTTGCAGCTGGCCCTCAGAAGCCATGGCCAGAGCTCTCCCTCTCTAGTGCCCAGGGCAGCACTTCTCAGCCTGGAAAGGAGTATCCAAGTTCCTCCAGAGCCTTCTCTCTCCTTCAACATCCCCAGCCCTCTGCAACTCTCCCTAAGGGGAGCTGCTTCCAGGTTTCTCAGGGTCCTAGATCACTCCCCTTGGCCACCATTTCTCAGGTGTGCTCTGTGAATGCAGCTCAAAATAGAAGGTCCAGAAGAAAATCAGATGCTCCATGAGCAGTCTCCACTGCAGAGAATAACAGGGATCCACAGGCCCGATGTGCAGTATCCACTGCAGAGAATAGCAGGCATGCACTGGCCCAATGTGCAGTCTCCACTGCAGAGAATAACAGGCATGCACTGGCCCGATGTGCAGTCTCCACTGCAGAGAATAGCAGGCATGCACTGGCCCGATGTGCGGTCTCCACTGCAGAGAATAGCAGGCATGCACTGGCCCGATGTGCGGTCTCCACTGCAGAGAATAGCAGGCATGCACTGGCCCGATGTGCGGTATCCACTGCAGAGAATAGCAGGCATGCACTGGCCTGATGTGCGGTCTCCACTGCAGAGAATAGCAGGCATGCACTGGCCCGATGTGCAGTCTCCACTGCAGAGAATAACAGGGATCCACAGGCCCAAAAATGGACAATGATTAAGGCCACCACATACACAGCGGCTTTCACAGGAATGGCTAAATGTTTACCTGCATTTACGCAATTGATGGGACAAATAAAGGGGGAAGGAAGGAAGGAAGAAAGAAAGCAAGGGAGGAAGGGAGCAAGGGAGAGAAAGGGAAGACTAAATGCAGGACTTTCAAAGTATCTCTGTTATATTTTACCACAATCTGCCAGCATGTCATCCTTTCAAGATTGGAGTAAATCACGAGTCTTTCATCTACATTAGTACCTGTCCTTCCCAGCTTTATATCATCAGCACTCAGTAATCACGCCTTCCAAATCTGTATCCAACACACTGACGAAAATGATGAATAGGAAAGGTTCAATCACAGAGCCCCAAGCCACACTTCCAAGGGGACCTTCCTCTAGGTTGGAAGAGGAACAAAACAATTCTCAGGATGTGGGTGGCCACAGATTCACCTAGTATGAAAGGCCACACAGGCTAGGCATGGTGGCTCATGCCTGCAACCCCAGCACTTTAGGAGGCTGAGATGGGAGGATCACTTTAGCTCAGAAGTTTGAGACCAGCCTAGGCAACATAGGGAGACCCCGTATCTACAAAAAATAAAAATAAAAAATTAGCCGGGTATGGTGGCATGCACCTGTGGTCCCAGCTACTCGGGAGGCTGAGGTGGGAAGATTGCTGGAGCTGAGGAGTTCGAGGCTACAGCGAACTGTGATTATGCCACTGCACTCCACCCCAGGCAACGGAGTGGGACCCTGTCTCCAAAACAAAACACAAAAAACCCCACACGGGTCACTCTTCACTGTTTTACTTACAAGTGGACGAAGGGCATAAACAATTAAACATAATGAAACTGACCCATAAACATATGTAAAAATACTCAACTACACTAATAATCGAAAAGTATAATTAAAACAATGAAACGGTCAAGCGTCTACTTAATTGCAAAGGTATTTTCAAATGGCAATGCCCAGGGCTGGCAGCCGAGCCAGGAAAAAGCCTCCCTCAGACCCCACGAGCGGGCACATAAAATGGGACAAACTTCCCAAACAGCAATTTTGCAAAACGTGCCAATTCCCCTAAAGGTTATTTATTATTTATCCAGTTATTTCTATCACTTCCAGAAACCATACTGAGAAAATAACCAGAAATCTGAACAAAGATTTATACACTGTCTCATCATAACATGAGTTATAATATTAAAAAATCAGAAGCAACCTAAATGTCTAATAGCACAAAAGTGGTTAAATTATTGGTAATTCCCAATAATGAAATATATGCATGTATTTCCAAAGAGTCTCCTGAAAAAGGAGATGAGATCAGGAAACATGCCTGACCGTGAGGAAGCCATGATTGCACATAGTATTTGGCCCTTTCTTTTCTAAGTAGTTGTAAGTCAATTATTTTAAAATTCTAGTTCTCTTTCTAAATACAGAAGCAAAGCAGCCCATGATAGATGCCGTGCTGAGGCTCCTCTCCCTAGGCAGCACTGCATCAGGAATAATCCCACACTCAGCATCCTTGGAATGAGAAGTATAAAGAGGAGGAGAAGTTCATCTCAGAACTTCAAAAAGACCTGCGCTGAAATCCTCGACTCTAGTAAGTGACACTTAACTACCCCACATGCAGATTTTTAAGAACATGGCTTACAAAAAAGGTTGAACTTTTTCATTTACATGGATCCCAGACCCCTCGGAAATATCTTAATTTACTCTCTTAGTTTAAAAGAATAGTCCTTGGGCAAGGCCAGCAGGCTCACAGTGATGTGGACATAAGGCTCCCGCCTCTGGGAGAGAGAAAAGACTAGATCCTCTTCCTTGCCTCCAGCCATCGTGACGTGGGCTTCTCTGGGCTTCAGTCAGGTGTGAAGTGTTGTTGTGGCAAAAACCTCTTGCCATAAAGATCAGGAAGGGCCGGGCATGGTGGCTCACGCCTATGATCCCAGCACTTTGGGAGGCTGAGGCAGGCGGATCACCTGAGGTCGGGAGTTCGAAACCAGCCTGACCAACATGGAGAAACCCTGCCTCTACTAAAAATACAAAATTAGCCAGAGTGGTGGTGCATGCCTGTAATCCCAGCTACTCAGGGGGCTGAGGCAGAAGAATCGCTTGAACCCGGGAGGCGGAGGTTGCGGTGAGCCGAGATCGCACCATTGCACTCCAGCCTGGGCAACAAGAGCGAAACTCCATCTCAAAATAAATAAATAAATAAATAAACAAATAAATAAATAAAAGATCAGGAAGGGATCCACAAAGTCCTTGAGGCCCTAACTCGGGCAAAGCACAGGAGGCTCAGATCCCATATGTAAATAATAACCCCGAGTACCTGTGCAGAGTACCAATGCAGAGTACCTGTGTAAGGTAGTTATAAGTTGCAAGGGGACAAAGCAAGTAAGGAGAGTTGCAAGGGGACAAAACAAAACCTTAAAATTACTGCTACCACATGAAGTTCAAACCTGTCCAGCACCCTCCAGGGAGGCTGGCAGGCGAGGAGGGAGGATGGTTCCCTTCCCAGCTGCCGGCCGCCCCCATGCCCTCCTGCTTCCTTCTGCTCCCAGGCCCCTGCACTGTGCACTTAGCAGCGGTGCCAGCAAGCGCCAGGCTGTGTCCCTACCTCAGTGGCCCAAGCCCCAGCTCACTGGGTCCCTTCTCTAGCCATCTAGATTTAAGTAACTCCAGCCTCTTCTATTTGTTCCCCCAGCCCTAGCAGCAGCACCTGCCTCCTGTAGTTACCGTCTCAGTCAAGGTTTCCTTTTGGCCCTTTCAGCCCCTCGAAAGCCTGTAAAACCAGTTCCCCACCTAAATCCGCTTGGTTGAGATACCTGGTGTGTTTTCTGTCTTCTTTACTGGATCTTGGTGGATACACCTTCTAATGCTTCAACTCAAAGAGAAAAGACACACATAAATCAGAAGCAACAGAGCCCACGGAAAGCAGCCACGTCTGTCCTGTTGTTTGGCCATGTTGGGAAGCTGGACAGCTTGTGTTGATCAGAAATCACGACTGCAAGATACCCTGTGTTCCCTCAGCTGACACGCCACTTTGGAGACAGTCAGGCCTGAGTTCAGGGGACCTTCTGCAAATTACTTCACCTCTCAAGCCTTCAATTTCCTCCCTTGAAACTCAGGACCAAAGCAGTGCCAACATCGCAATGACTGTTGACATCTGGAGTGAAATGTACCACCCCCCCAACCACTCACTCATGAAAGATCCTTTACTCCACACTAAACAACCCAGCTCCCTGACTTAAGTTCCTCAGATGACGGTTTGCATCCCTTCACTATCTCAGCCACGCACCTTGAATAAATTCCAATGTAACGTGCAATCTTTTTAAAGAGGGCGCTTCTTTAGAGACAGCTCATGAGCAGAGAGGCTATCTCCGCCCTCAGTCTGGATGCTGCACTCTGTGAACACAGCCAGGGTCTGACGCATTTGACTGCGCCGCACATCACAGCGTCAGGCCATATTTTGCCTTCAATCAGCTAAAATAACCTAAACATGTTTGCATAAGCCTAAGAAGTGTTCAAACTGACACTGCTTCATTAAGCGTAGGTCTTCCAGATTACAAAGAAAGCCCATTCTGCATCTTGGCTATTCACCCTCTCCCTCCAGGAAGGCTGCAGGTCCAAGGCCCTTCGAAGAGAATGGCACTGGAGATGGGCATGAAGCCCAGCTCCAGAGCTGGACTGCAGCTTCCACACAGTTTGACACCCTGGCCATGACACCCTGCTGCTACCTCTTTATCTATTGCTTGATGAAAAGTATAGACTGTACACTTATCCAATTCTTCAGTGACTTCCGTGGAAAGGACTGTAAATAAGCTGGAGAGTCAGGCGCAATGGCTCACGCCTCTAATGCCAGCATTTTGGGAGGCCGAGGCAGGGGGACTGCTTGAGCCCAGCAGTTCAAGACAAGCCTGGGCCACATAGGAAGACCCTAGCTCTATAAAAAAAATGTAAAACTTGCCAGGTGTGGTGGCATGCACCTGTAGGTCCCAGCTGTCCTCAAAGTCTAAAAGAAAACATCACTCTAGAATTCCATCCCTAGGAAAAATACCTTTCAAGAATGACAACTGAGGCCGGGTGTGGTGGCTCATGCCTATAATCACAGCACTTTGGGAGGCCAGTTCAGATGGATTGCCTGAGGTCAGGAGTTCAAGATTAGCCTGACCAACACGGTGAAACCCATCTCTACTAAAAATACAAAATTAGCCAGACATGGTGGTGCATGCCTGTAATTTCAGCTACTTGGGAGGATGAGGCTGGAGAATCATTTGAACCTGGGAGGCAGAGGTTGCAGCGAGCTGAGATCGTGCCACTGCACTCCAGCCTGGGCAAAAAGAGCGAAGCTTCATCTCAAAAAAAAAAAAAAAGAATTATGACTGAATAAAGACATTTTCAGAGGCCAGGCATGGGAGCTCACGCCTGTAATCCCAGCATTTTGGGAGGCCAAGGTATGTGGATCGCCTGAGCCCATGAGTTCGAGACAAGCCTGGGCCACAGGGCAAAACCCCGTCTCTACAAAAAATACAAAAATTAGCTGGGTGTGGTGGTACACACCTGCTGTCCCAGCTACACAACAGTCTGAGTTGGGAGGATGGCTTGAACCCAGGAGGTGGAGGTTGCAGTGAGCCAAGGTCATGCCACTTTACTCTAGCCTGGATAACAGAGCGAGACCCTGTCTCAAAAAAACAAAAACACACAAACAAAAAAGATATTTTCAGACTAACGAAGTGAATGTGGCATCAGTAGACCGTCATGAGAAAAGAATTCTGAAGTCTTTCAGTCAAAGTAGGTGGCCCCATAGGAAAGTTCTGAGACGCTAAAGGAAAGGAGAGCGAAGAGTCAAAAGCATGTGCATCAGCCTGAAAGAACAATGACTGCCGAAAACAAGGATGGTAACTTGGGATGTTAAAAATAAAATACTGTACACAGCAATACTCACATACAAGAAACAAACGGATTAAATAATTTCCTAAGTCTTGGGTTGTCTAAGAAAAGAATAAAGGTCATGACGGACGTTGTACTTTTTTCAGTATTCCTACTGTAATTTCTAAGAAACCATTACAAGAGAAAAACAGTGCACTGCTTCAAAAATAGTAAAAGGGAAGAAATTAAATATTTTCAATCTATAAAAAGGCATTTAAAAAAACATTACAGGAAGGACAAATAGAAAGCACAAAAGAGATGGCAGATTTAGGCCCCAATGGCTGTAAGTAGACTAAGTGCTCCAACTGAAAGACAAAAATCATCAGACTGATCTGTTTTAATCCAACTACAAGCTGTTTATAGGAGACATATGAAAAATACAAGGCTACAGAAGTGTTGACTTATATAAAAGGACAAATAAACAAGACTGACACTAACCAAGAGAAAACTGGTGTAACTATCCTGAGACAAAACAGACTGTAAGGCAAAAAGTTTTATTAGGGATAAAGAGTCACTTTACAACAATATAGACTCCAATTTACCAGGAAGATACAACAGTTTTACAACAATATGGCCTCAAAATATAAATGAAGCACAAATGGGCAGAGAATTCTATCTAAATATGTCTAATAAGGAGAATAGACATATTTACAATGATGGTGAGAAGTGTTAATACACCTCTCTGTTACTGATAGAAACAGTCAAAAAAATCAGTAAAGTGTAAATGATTTGTACACCACAAATAAAATATTTGACTTAATGGACACGTATAAAAGGTGGCACCAACAGCTGTAGACACGCATCGTGTTCAAGTACACAGGGAACATTTACAAAAACTGACCACGCACGGGCCTATAAGGGACAGAGCAGCTGAAATTCCAAGCGTGTGCATGCATGTATGCACACGTGTGCACACAGCGGTGCAACCTACACCATCCACAACACGAGGGGGCGCCATTCGCACATGGCAACGGTGTGGATGGCTCCCCCTACAGACGTGCGGTGCACCTGCTACTGCCCTGCTGACAGACGTCTACTGATCAAAATGCAATTAAGAAATCAAAAATAAATCCTAGAAAAAGTCTTCTATGTTTAAAAATTACAACACTTTTAAATAATAAATTGATCAAGTCAAAATAAAATTTAGAGAATAATTTGAACTGAACAAAAATACTGTATATCCAGCCAGGCATGGTGGCTCATGCCTATAATCCCAGCACTTTGGGAGGCCAAGGCGGAAGGAGCCAGGATTCAAGACCAGCCTGGGTAACACAGGGAGACCTCGTCTCTGAAATACATAAATATATTTTTAAAAACTACTACTTGTTGAATGCCATTAAGCATTTACATTTCTAAATGCTAAGTGCATACACTAGAAAAGACAAATGGCTGAAAACTAATAAGGTAAGTACTCATCTCAAGAATCTCCCCCTCAAGAATGGCGGAAAAGGTAATAAAACAAACCCAAGGAAAGTAGAAAAAAGGAAATAATAAGATATAAAATAAACTAGGGGGCCAGGCATGGTGGCTCACATCCGTAATCCCAGCACTTTGGGAGGCCAGGGCAGGAGGATCACTCGAGGCCAAGGAGTTCAAGATGAGCCTAAGAAACATAAGAAGACCCTGTCTCTACAAAAAAAAAAAAAAAAATTAAATAAGCTGGGCTTGGTGGCACACATCTGTAGTCCCAGCTACTTGGGAGGCTAAGCGGGGAAGACCGCTTGAGCTCAGGAGTTCAAAGCTGCAGTGAGCCATGATCGCACCACTGCACTCCAGCCTGGGTGACAAAGCAAGATCTTGTCTCAAAAAAACAACAACAAAAAAGAGTGGACGCACAAATCTCAATGTCAGGAATAAAAAGGAAACATTACTACAGTCCCATTGACTTTAAAAAGATCACAAGAGGATGTTACAAACAACTTTATGCCTATAAATTTGAAACCTAGATGAAATAGACAAAGTCTTCTTAAAATGTAACTTGCCAAAACTGACTCAAAAAGAAAAAAAAAACCGGCCGGGCGCGGTGGCTCACGCCTGTAATCCCAGCACTTTGGGAGGCTGAGGCGGGTGGATCATGAGGTCAGGAGATCGAGACCATCCTGGCTAACAAGGTGAAACCCCGTCTCTACTAAAAAAATACAAAAAATTAGCCGGGCGCGGTGGCGGGCGCCTGTAGTCCCAGCTACTCGGGAGGCTGAGGCAGGAGAATGGCGTGAACCCGGGAAGCGGAGCTTGCAGTGAGCCGAGATTGCGCCACTGCAGTCCGCAGTCCGGCCTGGGCGACAGAGCGAGACTCCGTCTCAAAAAAAAAAAAAAAAAGAAAAAAGAAAAAAAAAACCATCTTAAAAGCTTAAATCAGAACTTTAAAAATTTTTTTACAAACAACACTTTCGGATTACATGACCTTATGGGCAAGTTCTACCAGGCATTTGTGGGACAAGTTATTCCCAACCTGGACACGAACTCTCGGGAACTCAAGAATTGACATGAAGCCCAAAACTTCCCCCGACCCAGGCATGTGGGCAGACAGCTGTAGGGCTGACTCTTGCAGCCCTGCTGCCCTGGAAATGCACCAGTTAAGATAAATGGGGAAGGCCAGTGCTAGGAGCTGGTTCTCCATCTGGGTTCCCATGAGCCTTCTGATCTGTGGGATGTCCTGGAGTAGAGGGGTGTAAGGTGGCCTCATGATTAGAATGACACTCAAGACCAGCATGAAACCACGGCTGGCTCCTCTGCATCCACACCCCTTACATAACTGCATCCGATCCCCAGCAGCCTTACACACTCTTCAGGATCAAGGGGGCAGGAAGCTGTGTGCATGGCTGCCAGGGCTCCTGATGACATGGAGATATCATGAATGCTGCATATAAAGCAATATAAAAAATAATTTTTACTCTTATATACCTACCAAATAACAGGCTAAAAACTTAAATTTTTTAAAGTTGCCTCTTAGGACAGCATCAAAATAATATCAAGTACTTAAAAGAATTCCAACAAAAGATGGGCAACACCTCTACAGGGAAAAGCATATAACTTAATTCAGGGAAATTAAAGAAGACCTATCTAAATAAGAGATATGCCATGTGTGTGGACCAGAAGTCTCAATTCTGAAAAGATATCAAATCTGTCCAAATTGATGTATAGGCTCAGTGCAATCCCAATCAAATACCCCCCAAATTTTCTTTCTTTGAACTCGTCAAGCTAATTGTTAAACCTATATGAAGAACAAAAGAACAAGAATAGCCAAGACATTCTCAAGAAAAACAAGTGCTTCCTTCACACATTTTTTATAAAGCCCTAGTAATTAAAGCAGACAGAGTGGTGCTAGGGCTGACCAATGACACCAGCAGATCAATGGGATAAACAGCAAGTCCCAAACAGACCTACTTGGCCTACGACAGAGCACTGCAACTGAGGAAGAAGGATGAGCTTTTCACAAAAATCTACTAAGACAACTAGATATCCACATGGGAAACTAGATCCCCACCTTAAACCATACACAAAGTTTATACAAAACTTAAACAGGAAAGAAAAAGCATAAAGCCTTAACAGATAATACAGATTAACTTCATGCCATCAAGGGAGAAAGAGAGTTCCTAAATAAGATGCAAAAAAAGCACCAACCTTTAAAGGAACAGACTGATTATCAGACCATATTAAAATGGAGAATGTCAAAAGACCCCATAAGGAACATGAAAAAACAAGCCTCCGAGTGGAAAGATTTTGAGATTTGTTTTTGGTTTTGGTTTTTTAGAGAGAGGGTCTCACTCTGTCACCCAGGCTGGAGTGTGCTGGTGCGATCTCGACTCACTGCAGCCTGGAACTGCTGGGATCAAGCCATCCTCCTGCCTCAGCCTCCCAAGTAGCTGAGACTGCAGGTGTGCACCACCATGCCCGGCTACTTTTTTTGTTTGTTTGTTTTTGAGAGATGGGGTTTCACTATGTTGCCCAGGCTGGGAGGTATTTATAATACATATTCAAAATATATAAAAGCTCCTAAAATCAGTAAGAAAAACACAACTCAACAGAAAACTGGGCAAAAGACTTGAACAGGCATTTTTTTAAAAAAAAGAAGAAAATATATAATTATCTTATATCCTATGCCTGCTTAGGTGTACCAGAATATATAAGAATGCTCATTTGTCCCAGGAGTTCGAGACCAGCCTGGGAAACATGGCAAAACCCCATCTCTACAAAAAAATACAAAGAAAAATTAGCCAGGCATGATGGCACCTGCCTGTAGTCCTGGCTACTTGGGAGGCTGAGGTGGGAAGATCACCTGACCGTGGGAGGTCAAGGCTGCAGTGAGCCGTGATGGTGCCACTGCACTCCCACCTGGGTGACAGAGTGAGACGCAGTCTCTAAAATAAATATGTAATGCTAATTTCAACATTGTTCAGCAGTAGAATGGATAAGTAAATTGTGATGTACACATGAAATGAGATATTACATAGAAGTAAACAACATATATTCAAGCACCTGATTTTTTTGTTTAAAAGAATTTAAAATAGTTACTCTATCCCTACAGCATACCTAAATGTTTTTCTCAACCACCTGATTCTTATCAATACGATACTGAGAAAAGAAGCAACACACGAAAACGCAAGTACAACTTTTAGAGACGCACAGGTAGGAAAACCATTAAGAAAAGTGAAGAGGCTGGGCATAGTGGCTCATGCCTATAATCCCAGCACTTTGGGAGGCCAAGGCAGGCAGATTGCTTGAGCTCAGGAGTTTGAGAGGAGCCTGGACAACACGGTGAAGCCCTGTCTCTACAAAAAATGCAAAAATTAGCTTGGTGTGGTGGTGTGCACCTGCAGTCTCAGTTACCCGGGAAGCTGAGGTGAGAGGATCAATTGAGCCCAGGAGGTCGAGGCTGCAGTGAGCTATGATCACACCACCGCACTCCAGTCTGGGAGACAGAATGAGACCCGATCTCAAAAGAAAAGTGAAGAGATAATTATTGCCAACAAAAGGAAGAAAAGTATTTGCCTCTTTAAGAAAAGGAGTAACTGGGATCAAGGTGCAACACATAAAGAAGTCCTAGGGTACTGAAATATTCTATATCTTGACTGGGCTGGGGGCACACAGATGTTTTTATAAATACTGATGGAATTGTAAATAGATGTTTTCTGTATTCTTTACTTCCTAATTTCAAAAAAGAAAGAAATCAAATCAGACTAGAAAGGACCTTCTTAAACAAAATAGCTAAATGAAAAGAACAATTAGACCATTTTCTATAGGACATGAACAATGATTAACACTGAAAGAGGATTTCTGTATAATTAACTAAACCTTTAAGGTAGCCAGCCAAATCCCGCACTCTGGCACTACATGACTGAGTGCCCAATTTAGATCTGTAACACCAAAACAGGGGAGGATTTTATCCTTAAATCCTCTTACGTGTTTAACAATTATTTCAGTTTCAACCTCTGACCTACCTGGCGTTATAAAGCCCAAGTGAAATGCAAATGTTTCTATCAGAGAAAGGAGAAACTCTAAATCTAGCCTTGCAAATTAGTTGTCTAGGGATCATGAAAGCTGAACTCTTCCAAACTTTAATCTGTACTATTAATGTGATACACCAATGTAATCTTAAATATTAATGCTGTGTGTAAGTTGGAAAGTGAAACTCCACTGGGGGGGATAATTAGGTTCAGTGAAAGAACAACTCATTAATACATAACAACTTATTCACTGTAAAGAATCAACCATCAGGCCCAGCATGGTAGCTCACGCCTGTAATCCCAGCACTTTGGGAGGCCGAGGCAGGCAGATCACTTGAGGTCAGGAGTTTGAGACCAGCCTGGCCAACATGGTAAAACCCCATCTCTACTAAAAATACAAAAATTAGCCAGGCATGGTGGTGGATACCCGTAGTCCCAGATGTTCCGGAGGCTGAGGCAGGAGAATCGCTTAAACCCAGGAGGCGGAGGTTGCAGTGAGCCGAGACTGCACCATTGCACTCCAGCCTGGGTGACAGAGTGAGACTCTGTCTCAAAAAGATAAAAAATAAAAATAAAAAAATCAACCATCAGCTACTCTAACCTACTTAATAAAAGGTGATCCCGTCACGCATCATTCATCTATCTGGCACTTTCTTTCATTTGCCCCTTCTATATCATACTTGGGGGGACTACCACTTCCAGGAAAAGATGGACTAAGTAGGAACAGCCTAGCCCTCCCACCATACACAACTAGAAAACTGAACACAATACATAAAACACTTCTTCAGGCATTGAACAACGAGTCATACAGGAACGTGGTCCCTGAGCGGGAAGACAAATGAGGTGTGCCCCGTGACACAGGAGCTTTCTGCATGGAGACAGGGGCCCATGCAGACCGTGACAGTCACTGAGCTGAGGAGAGAGAGGTCTGAGTTCATGATGGCCACAGCAGCCAGAATGAGAGCGGCAGAGTAACAAGGAGGAGACAGCCACACGGAGGAGGCAGAAACGGAGCTGGGCTCCTTGAGTCCCTGCCTGAAGGCAAGGCAGGGCGTGCTGCTGGTGAGACTCCAGGAGGCCAGGCAAAGAGCAGCCACAGGGGCAGGAGAAGCGGAGCAGGGTGAGAAACATTCAAGCTCCAACGAGGAAGAATTAAGGGACCTCATGAAGCACCCACGACCCTCACGGAGACTCAGAAAGGCCACAACGTTAGGCACAGGGCTAAACTAGACCAAAAGTAAAGGCTTCTCTAGACTAGGGGTCACCAAATTTCCTGCTGTAAAGGGGCAGATAATAAATACTTTAGGCTTTGTGGGACATATAGATTTTGCCTCAACTTCTCAACTTTACCACTGTCACATGAAATCAACATAGACCATCCACAAACAATGGGACTGTGTTCCAGAAGACTTTATTTATAAAAACAAGCAAGGGGCCATAGTTTTCCAATCCTGACCTAGACCTGCTTTTATTTATTTATTCATTCATTCATTCATTCATTTTTTTGAGACAGAGTCTCGCTCTGTTGCCCAGGCTGGAGTACAATGGCACAACCTCGGCTCACAGCAACCTCCACCTCCCGGGTTCAAGCGATTCTCCTGCCTCAGCCTCCCAAAGTGCTGGGATTACAAGCGTGAGCCACCACGCCCGGCCTAGACCTGTTTTTAAAAGACAGCAAACAAGCCCTATAAGAAGGCAGCTGATCTACAAGTAAACTAACTTCCTGCCAGAACAAAACTCAACACTGTTTAAATGCAGAAAACAAAACGCAGATGCTCAACAACGTAACACTCCCTATGTCCAGCATCCAATCAGAAATTACTAGAGGTAAGAAAAAGCAGGAAAGCCTGATCCACAACCACAAGAAAGTCAGTCCATCTAGACCCAAAAATGAGAGTGACGAGGAAATAACAGATAAGATTTTTAAAACAATATTACAAATTTGTTCAAGGATTTAAAAGAGAGCATGAATACGAAGAAAGAAATCCAAATGGAACTTTTAAAGAAAAAAAATAGCATCTGAAATTTTGAAATACATCGGATGAGTTGGCTTAAGAGCATGGTAGGGCTGGGCATTGCAGCTCACACCTGTAATCCTGACACCATGGGAGGTCACTTCAGCCCAGGAGTTCAAGACCAGCCTGGGCAACATAGTGAGATCCTCCTGTCTCTGTAACAATAAAATAAAGAGCATGTTAGATACTATAGAAGAATAGATGAGAGAACGCGAAGACATTGCAACAGAAACAATTCAACTGAATCACAGAGGAAAAAAAGATGGAGGGAATGGGGATCCTCAGTGGGACAATATCTAGCATCTAAAATAAATGTAAATAGAGCTCTGGAAGATTGAGGAGGAACAAGGGGAGAGATAGGAAAACTGGAAAAATAATGGCAGTACATTTTCCAAAATTTTGGTGAAAAGTATAATCCTACAGATCCAAGAATGTCAACAAACCATAAGCAGGCTAATCACAAAGAAAACTACACCAAGGTACATTGTAATCAAACTGCTAAATTCCAATGACAAAAACATCTTTAAAGTAGCTGGAGGAGAAAAAGAATATTACATACTAGAGAACAAAAGTAAGACCAACAGCAGACTTCAGGAACAAGACAAGCCTGAGACAACAGAACATCCTTAAAGTGCTAGGAGCATAAAGGTGAAATAAGGACAACCTCAGACAAACAAAAGCTGAGAAAACATGTGACCAAAATACCAGTACTATAAGCAAAGTTAAAGTTCTTCAGACTGAAGGAAAATATACCAGATTCAAGCTCAGAGCTATAAAAGGAATGAAGCCTAGAAACAGAAATATGTGGGCTGGGTGCAGTGGCTCATTCCTGTAATCCTAACACTTTGGGAGGCTGAGGCAGGCAGACTGCTTGAGGCCAGGAGTTCGAGACCAGCCTGGTCAACATGGCAAGATCCCATCTCTACTAAAAACACAAAAAAATTAGCTGGGCATAGTAGCGCATGCCTGTAGTCCCATCTTCTTGGGAGGCTGAGGCACGAAAATTGCTTGAACCCGGGAGGCAGATGTTGCAGTGAGCCAAGATCACACCACTGCACTCCAGACGAAGCAACAGAGTGAGACTCTGTCTCAGAATAAAAAAAAAGAAAAAATAAATAGAAATATGTGGGTTAATATAAGAGATATTCTTATTTTAAAATTTATTTCTAAGATAATGGACTTTTATTTATTTATTTATTTATTTATTTATTTTATTTATTTTTTGATACAGAGTCTCACTCTGTCACCCAGGCTGGAGGGCAGTGGCGCGATCTCGGCTCGCTGCAACCTCCGCCTCCCGGGTTCAAGCAATTCTCCTGCCTTGGCCTTCCAAGTAGCTGGGATTATAGGCGCCCGCCACCATGCCCGGCTAATTTTTTTTGTATTTTTAGTAGAGACAGGGTTCACCATGTTGACCAGGCTGGTCTTGAACTCCTGACCTCGTGATCTGCCTGCCTCGGCCTCCCAAAGTGCTGGGATTACAGGCGTGAGCCACCGCGCCCGGCCAGACCTTTTTTAAGTAATAACAATGTACTGTGGGGTTTAAAATGTGTGGAAATAAAATGTATGACATTGATAGCAAAAGGACGGGGGAGAGCAGTACACCCTTCTTCTATAAGGTTCTTATATTACATGTGAAGTGGCATAATATCATTTGAAGGTACACTGTGATAACTTAAAGATGTAATATTGAAAATCTTAGAACCACCACCAAAAAAAAAAATAAAATAAAACAAAAAGGTATAGGTTGGGCATGGTGGCTCACACCTGTAATCCCAGTACTTTGAGAGGCTGAGGCAGGTGGATCACTTGAGGTCAGGAGTTCAAGACCAGCCTGGCCAACGTGATGAAACCCTGTCTGTACTAAAAATACTAAAATTAGCCAGATGTGGTGGCATGCATCTGTAATCCCAGCTACTCGAGAGGCTGAGGCATGAGAATCGCTTGAGCCTGGGAGACAGAGGTTGCAGTGAGCCGAGATCATGCCATTGGACTCCAGCCTGGGTGATGGAGTGAGACTCTGTCTCAAAAAAAAAAAGAGGTACAGCTAATAAGCTAATAGAGAACATATCATAAGGGTAATATTTTGTTGTTGCTGTTTAAACTAACACTAAAATAATCATGCAGAAGTTTTTTAAATTAAGTACAGGAAAATATACATTCTTTTTTTTTTTTTTTTTTTTTTTTTTTTTGAGACGGAGTCTCGCTCTGTCGCCCACGCTGGAGTGCAGTGGCGCGGTCTTGGCTCACTGCAAGCTCCGCCTCCCGGGTTCACGCCATTCTCCTGCCTCAGCCTCCCAAGTAGCTGGGACTACAGGTGCCTGCCACCTCACTGGGCTAATTTTTTTTTTGTATTTTTAGTAGAGGAGGGGTTTCACCGTATTAGCCAGGATGATCTCGATCTCCTGACCTCATGATCCGCCTGCCTCGGCCTCCCTAAGAGCTGGGATTACAGGCGTGAGCCACCGCACCCAGCCAGGAAAATATACATTCTTATAATTCTACCTACCCCTACCTCCCATACCTGTGTATAAGTGTATACCTTCCATAAATTTTTTATATAATTATTTTATTTATGTGTACATATACCTTTTTAAAAACACAAATAGGTTCATACCATAAAATCTGTTCTGTGCCTTGTTTTGCATTGTTTTTACTTAGTAACATCTGGGAAACCTCTCCATAACAGCACACACAGAGTTACCGCGCTATCTCTATTTGCTGCACAGAAGCTGACCACGGCATGAGACAGGCACCAAACATTGGGCTCTTAAACTACAGTCAAGCAGTCCCAGGGAATTTCTCAATATTATCCTGCTTAATCCCTACAGCTGCGCTATGCAGGAGGAGTCTTAGACCCACTTGATTGATGAAAACACTCAGACTCAGACCAGGAGCAGACAGGTAGAGAGCCGTGGAACCAGCTTGGAGAAAGGTCAGTGGGACTCCAAATCCCATTCTCTTAGATAAAAACTATGTTGCCTCTTCAATTCTTCAAGTCCATCAAAGTTGTCTGACTCCACATAAGGAGGGACTTTAAACCAATGAGAAACTGCCAGAAAGGCTGCACTCAAAACTAAGCAAGAGCAGTGTAGAAACCGGGCACCAAAGCTGTCCCAGCGCTAGATGCAGCTCCTGGCTCGCCGCTTAACACCCAAAGAATTTGGTAAGGTTGGCTGTGCTCTCCAAATAGCCTCAGTTTACTCAACTGTAACAAAATAAGCCTGCTAGGGCCTTTGTCAGGATTAGGGAAATTAATCCACCTTTTAAAATGTTTGCAAATTATAAAGAGATACAAAGTACAGAGCGAGACAGCTCCCACACCCATGCCTCCCTCCGCCTCCCAGCCCTGGGGCTCTAACCCCTCCACAGCAGTGCACGCCTCCCTCCGCCTCCCAGCCCTGGGGCTCTAACCCCTCCACAGCAGTGCACGCCTCCCTCCGCCTCCCAGCCCTGGGGCTCTAACCCCTCCTCAGCAGTGCCGCTTGCTTCACCACATTCTCCCCTGCCTTGACTCTCCCCTGCACTGGCTCCTTCTCAAAGAAAACATTGTTTTACTGTGGCCTCCTTCAGTCACCAGCCCACCTTGCTCCTCCTACACCCCCCATGGTGTGTGACCACCACCTCCCCTTCCCTTTGCCTTCTTAACAATTATTCCGCAGCAATCCAGCTTCTACCAAGCTCCTTATTCCACCAAACCTCACAAAGTCATTGATGGCATTGGCGCAGTCATCCAACAGTTACAAAAAGACTCTCCCATGTAAGAGACACTTCCTAGTATTATCTGTACAAGTCTCAAGGGTAAGGACTGTAGGTGTTTTTCTACAAAACTTTCAAGATAACATGCGTTCCAGGTATTGGCAAGCATGTGGAGGAACTGGGACTCTCACACAAAGCTAGAAATCCTTCTACCATAAAGACACGCATGCTTATGTTCACTGCAGCACTACTCACAATAGCAAAGACATGGAATCAACCTAAATGTCCATCAATGACAGATCAGATAAGAAAATGTGGTACATGCCAGAGATCAACATATAGAAAAGAAAAGGTGGTGCATATAGGCTATGGAATACTATGCAGCCACACAAAAAAATAAGATCATGTCCTTTGTGGGAACATGGAGGCCATTATCCTTAGCAAACTAACACGGGAACAGAAAACCAAACACCGCATGTTCTCACTTATAAGTGGGAGCTAAATGAAGAGAACATGCAAACACAAAGAAGGGAACAACACACACTGGGGCCTACTTGAGGGTAGACGGTGGGAGGAGGGAGAGGATCTGAAAAAAAAAGCTATTGGGTACTAGGCTTGATACCTGGCTGACAAAACAATCTGTACACAAACCTCTGTGACATGAGTTCACCTATATAACAAACCTGCACATCCGGAAAAAAAAAAAAAGCTGTTGGGTACTAGGCTTAATACCTGGCTGACAAAATAATCTGTACACAAACCACTGTGACGTGAGTTCACCTATATAACAAACCTGCACATGTACCTCTAAACCTAAAATAAATGTTGTTTTAATATGAAAAAATAAAATAAAATAAGAAGGGTGTGGCGGTATCTCCTAGAGCTGAACATTTGTATTCTCTATCTCCCAGCAATTCCACCCCTAGGAATCAACACCAGAGACATATTAGATACATGTTCCCAAAAAGACATGCGAGCTGTGGTCCCAGCACTTTGGGAGGCCGAGGCGGGCAGATCACAAGGTCAGGAGATTGAGACCATCCTTGCTAACACGGTAAAACCCCATCTCTACTAAAAATACAAAAAATTAGCCAGGCGTGGTGGCAGGCGCCTGTAGTTCCAGCTACTCGGGAGGCTGAGGCAGGAGAATGACGTGAACTCGGGAGGCAGAGCTTGTAGTGAGCCCAGATCACACCACTGCACTCCAGCCTGGGCGACAGAGCGAGACTCCGTCTCCAAAAAAAAAAAAAGAAAAGACATGTGAATGTTCCCTGCAGCACAATTTTAGTAGCCGAAATGCTGGAAACCACCCAAATGTCCATCAGCAGGTGAGTTAACTGCGGTCCAAGGGGGTGAATGAGCATGGCTACTAGAGCAGCATGGATGAATCTCACAGACAATGCTGAGCGAGAGAAACCAAAAGCAAAAGTAAGGTCACACAACCCTGGACATCAGGAGCACAGCTTCCTGGGGAGGGGTGGGCACGACTGGGGGCACAGAGGATCTTCAAGGCGGGGCTGTTCTGTTTCTGGATCTGGTTGTGAGAGTGTTCACTTTGTGGCAACTCATCCAGCAATTAAGATGCACTGGGCATCCTTAGGCAACATAGTTGCTTAGGGACATTTAAGTGAGACTCTTCTTTGCAACCAAAAGAACCTGACTAAAACAAATATCTTGATTTCAAAACAAAAAAAGAAAACAGAACTTTATCTCCCTTATTTTTTATTTATTATCTTTTTTTTTTTTTTTTTGGAGACTTAGTCTCGCTGTGTTATCCAGGCTGAAATGCAGTGGCGCAGTCTCGGCTCACCACAACCTCTGCTTCCTGGATTCAAGCAATTCTCCAACCTCTGCCTCCCGGGTTCAAGTGATTCTCCAGCCTCAGCCTCCCAAGTAGCTGGGACTACAGGCGGCCGCCACCACACCTGGCTAATTTTTGTATTTTTAGTAGAGACGGGGTTTCACTATGTTGGCCAGGCTGTTCTCGAACTCCTGACCTCGTGATCCACCCGCCTCAGCCTCCTCAGCTATGATCACACCTCTGCACTCCAGCCTGTTGCAGAGCAAGGCCCTGTCTCAAAAATAAAAATTAAAAAAAAAAACTCTTCAGGGAAAACATTCATGCCTGCTGACCCAGTAAAAACACATCTTGGTGAAAAGAGCTGTGTGTACGAAGTAAAAGGCTGCACAGTGGTTCTCTGGAGCCTGAGCCCTGAGGCCAAACTGCGGGTCTGACCCAGGCTCTGCCACCTGCCAAGCCAGACCAGCAACAGACCAGAAACCATGGAAACGGCCCACTATTGATGCAGGATGGTAGCCCACCCGATGAAGCCACATGTGCCAACATGAAGCATCTTCAGGACATCGGCAGCAAGGCAGGCGACGGTCACACCTAGCTGAAAACTAAATCTGGACCTCAGCAAGGACTTACAGAAAATGCAGGAAAAATCTGATTTAACTTTTTCACAGTACTTTTGTTTTGATATATCTTTAAACTGCTTGTCCGATCTACTTTGTTTTTGTTTTTTGTTTTGAGACAAGAGTCTTGCTCTGTTGCCAGGATGGGGTGCAGTGGCGCAGTCTCAGCTCACTGCAACCTCTGCCTCCCAGGTTCAAGCGATTCTCCTGCCTCAGCCTCCTTAGTAGCTGGGATTACAGGTGTGCGTCACCACACCCAGATAATTCCTGTATTTTTAGTAGAGACGGGGTTTCGCCATGTTGGCCAGGCTGGTCTCGAACTCCTGACTTCAAGTGATCCGTCCGCCTCAGCCTCCCAAAGTGCTGGGATTACACGCATGAGCCACTGCTCCCGGCCTTGTCTGATCTACTTTTAAGGATAAAATAAAAAGCTCTCCAAGAAAACATCAAACTAAAAGATGCTCACTGTGTACTGGGGAGGCTGTCATGACCACCCAGCCCCCAAGCAGGGGAGTGAGGGGAAGCAGGGGTAAACGAAGGCCACACACTGAGGGGCACAAGATCAGCGATCGTTTTAGGCAACAATTTCAACATATCCCACCAAAACATTCCTTAAGTTTTCACAAGCAAACACGTGTTCTTTGGCTTTCCAAATGCCTGGTGTATCTTGTTTTTCTCTCCTACATCCAGTTAGGAGGCTGCGTGTCACCCTGCATCCTCCTGCACCCAAGCAGTCACCAAGGGTCGCAATTCTGCTTCCAGGGGCTCTTGGGGCTGCCGGGCCTGTCACTACCAGCCCAAGCCGCCACCAGACCCTCATCTCCTCCTACCCTCAAGAGACTCCCCACCCCACACCATGCTCCTCCCTAACACACACATATACTCACAAATACACATGCACTGACACATAAATACATACGTATAAACATGTACACACATACATACAGACATAAACACACATGCATACACATAAGCACATGTACACAATCACACATACACACAGACTCACACACACACATATTCACATACATACTTACATGTATACAGTCTCTCACACATACATATTCACACAGTCACACACAAACACACGTACACACTCAGACACATATACACATTCTCACACACCCCAGTCTGCAGCCACAGGGATCTTTGTAAAATGCCATCCTGGGCTGGGTGCGGTGGCTCATGTCTGTAATCCTAGCACTTTGGGAGGCTGAGGTGGTGAATCACTCCAGCCCAGGAGTTCAAGACCAGCCTGGGCAACATGGTAAAACCCTGTTTCTACAAAAAAATACAAAAATCAGCCAGGCATGGTGGCACATGCCTGTAGTCCCAGCTACTCAGAAGGCTGAGGCAGGAGAATCACCTGAGACCAGGGAGGTCGAGGCTACAGTAAGCGGTGATTGTGCCACTGCACTCCAGCCTCAGTGACACAGTGAGACCCTGCCTCAAAAAAACTAAAAATAAAAATAAAATAAAATGCCATTCTAGGGCTGGGTGCGTGGCTCATGCCTATAATCCCAGCACTTTGGGAGGCCGAGGCTGACGGATCACGAGGTCAGGAGTTTGAGACCAGCCTGGCCAATATGGTGAAACCCCATCTCTACTAAATATATATATATATATATATATATACATATATATATACATATATATATAAATTAGCCGGGTGTGGTGGCAGGTGCCTGTAATCATAGCTACTCAGGAGGCTGAGGCAGGAGAATTGCTTGAACCCGGGAGGCGGAGATTGCAGTGAGCCGAGATCACACCACTGCACTCCAGCCTGGGTGACAGAGTGAGACTCCATTTCAAAAATAAAATAAAATAAAATGCCATTCTGAACATGTCACCACCCTGCTTTAAAAGCTTTCTTACTTGTGCTTAAGATAAAATCCAAATTCCTGTGGCCTTATAAGCCGGTCAGGATCTGTCCTGTCCAGCCCCCCGGCTCACAGATCTCTCAGTTCTTCTCTTCTCAGGGTCTCTGCTCCCTTCCTTGACTCAACAAACAGTTATTGATCACCTATTGACCGCCAGTCACCCCGGGAACAGCCTCGGGCTCAGCAGTGAACACAGAGTCCCTGTTCTCTATACAACATCCTAGTGGGGAGACAAAACGAACACGTAGCCAAGTGCTGGGGAGTGGCAGTGTGGGAAGGGAATGGCAGGCACAGAGCACCGGGTGGGCATGAGGCGGCTCCCACAGCACAAGGGAAGGCCCCTTGCAGGAGGCCCCCAGTGGCGTTTCCCTGAAGACCCTGCTCACTCACCTCTCAGCTCCTGCACGTCCCCGTTCCTCCAGCTGAACCTTCCACCCCACTCCCTTCCATTCTGTTTCAGCTACTGGCTTAGAGCTCCCACCTCCAGAAGGCCTTTCTCCGTCCGGCCCATCCAGCCACCACCACCTCACACCCTGCCTCCTGCACTGTCATCCATCTGCCCTGATAGACTGGAAAACACCTTCAACGCAGGAATTACTCCCCATGGTATCCGCAGCACTTAGCCCAGTGCCCAGCACAGAGAAGGGGCTCGATGATAGTAGCTGAATGACTAAATTCTATACATCAGTCACTTGTGAATTCATTGTCCATCCTCCGCCCTGCTCCCGCAACCACTCCACCTGAGCACACAGATCTTCGTCCAGCCACCATGGACTCCACAGCCCATCCAGCTAGGAGCTCAGCCAAGTCTCTGGTGCAGAACAGACACCATCTCAATGTCCAGCTGCAGAATTCCTGAAATCGCTACCTTGTTACTCAAGGGCAGATCATGACTGCACTGTGCTTTTCACTCAGCTGTGGGTAAGGATGTTGTTTTTCTCTTATAAGATGTAAATTCCTACAGGGCCATGACCACGTCTTCCGTCCCCTTCACCCCATGCACCCTACGTGCAGTGCCATCTATGTAAAACAACAGTGATTTCCCACAAAACACTGACTAATGCTGACATTTCTAGACAGCATGAGCCAATTGTTCAGATAGCTGGGGTCTGTGCATTTCACCATATGTAACGTTTACCTCAGAAAACAAGGAAGTCAACCTCTTGCAGCATTTGCTTTCCCAAGTGGCCAGCGTTAGCCATTCCGAGGCTCCCTTCTGTGCATTCCAGCTTTGAGCCCATGATTAAATGAGGACAATGGAGCTGGTTTCCCATGGCTGGGTAGGGAGTGGTAGCAGGCAAAGTGGGAAGGGCTGAACATATCATGGTGAGGAGCTGGACTGGAGCTCTCTCTACACATCCATGGTTCCAGCATACACAGAGAAACAGAGGTAAACAAGACAGAGCGCCATCCTCTCTCTCCTGCTCAGAGGGCCAACCAACGGGAGACGCATGCCACACCAAGGGCAAAGCACACAGCCCAGCTCTAAATGCACACGTTCGTGGCTTCTCAATGCCATTCGCCACTAACAGGAACCAGGCTCCTTGGAGAAAAGGCTAATTCCAGGACTGGGGCAGGGAGGGCACAGAGTGAGCTTGGGCCCTCTGGTTGTGCTGGAAAGTCAGGACGTGCTCCCAAACAGGTATGGCAAAAGGGCAGCATCAGTCAGGAGGCGACCACTCAGCAAGAAACGGCTTGAAGGTAATGGATCAAATGAGCATGACAGTACTGGGACAAAGCACCGTCGTGTGCTCCTGATGGGATTCACTGACAAAGGTGCATCATTACCCAAAATGCCCCATCTCAGTGTGAATATGAGGAAAGACTAGGCAGCTCAAATTCAGGACATTCTACTACATGCAAGGCCAAAACATTCAGAGACAGAAAGCAGAAGAGCGGTTACCAAGGGCTGGGGAAGGGGAATGGGGAGTTGGTGTTTAATGGAGACAGTTTCAGTCTGGGAAGATGGAAAGCTGCTGGAGATGGCTGCTGGTGGTGGATGCTGGTGGTGGCTGCACAAGCATGTGGGTGTGCTTGCTGCCACTAAACTGTGTGCTGAAAGATGGTTGAGATGGTAAATTCACAGTTAAAAAAATCAAGGTCAAGAAAGTCTAAAACAGACTGAGAGACTTCTTTAGATTAAGGTAGGCTACACAGACACGACCACCAAATGCAACGTGTGATCCTGGGTGACGGGCGGGGCATAATGAGGGCATTGCTGGGCAGGCAGCAACACCTGACCTTCTGAACTACAGAGGGCCGGGAGCACATATCCATGATACAGGTCCTGACTCTCACAACTGCACTGTGCTTACGTAAGAAAATGGCCTCCTCTAAGGAGACAGACACGGTGTTTAGGAGTAGAAGGGGGACAGCATCTCCAGCTCAGTCTGAATATGTAAATGGAGGGTGACAGTAAACAAGGCGAGATGTAAACAATCTGCAAACCTGGGCAAAGGCTATAGGGAAGCTCATGATACTATTCTTACAGGTTTTCCGTCAGTTTGAAATTACATCAACATTTTAAAATACAAAAAGTACTAGTCAAGAACAATAAACGCACCTGAAAAATATACCGACAGCTGGGTAAAATTCAAACTTGTTCTCGGCGACTGTCTCCTCTTCAGCTGTTTCCTGTTCGGCCTCTGAAGGCATGACAATTCTCTGCAGTCACACCCACCAATATGTGACAAGTTTAAGGGTTTCAGGGGTTTTTTTGAGACAGGGTCTAGCTCTGTCACCCAGTCTGGAGGGCAGTGACACCATCATAGCTCACTGCAGCCTTGACCTCCCTGACTCAAACCATCCCCTTGACTCAGCCATCCGAGTAGCTGGGACCACAGGCACATGCCACCATGCCCGGCTAATTTTTTGTATTTTTTGTAGAGACAGAGTTTCACCACATTGCCCAGTCTGGTCTCAAACTCCTGAGCTCAAATGATCCACCTGCCTCAGCCTCCCAAAGTGCTGGGATGACAGGCATCAGCCACTGTGCCCAGCCTAGAACACAGTTAAAGCATTGATTTGCAATGCCAAATATTTACTGGAATGGCATTTTCCATATATTTATGTATTTATTTATTATTATTTTTTGAGACGGAGTCTCGCTCTGTCGCCCAGGCTGGAGTGCAGTGGCACGATCTCGGCTCACTGCAACCTCTGCCTCCTGGGTTCAAGTGATTCTCCTGCCTCAGCCTCCCGAGTAGCTGGGATTACAGGCATCTGCCACCATGCCCGGCTGATTTTTGGATTTTTAGTAGAAAACAGGGTTTCACCATGTTGGCCAGGCTGGTCTCAAACTCCTGACCTCAAGTGATCTGCCCTCCTTAGCCTCCCAAAGTGCTAGGATTACAGGCGTGAGCCACTGTGCCTGGCCATTTTCCATATATTTAGACTTAGAAAAAGGTATCAAACTTCAGCTCTCCTGAAACAAGTATTGTAGATGACCAAAATACCTCCTTATTTTTGTATTTATTGATTTATTGAGTTATTGATTTATTTTGAGACAAAGTCTCGTTCTGTCACCCAGGCTGGAATGCAGTGGCATGATCTTGGCTCACTGAAACCTCCACCTCCCGGGTTCAAGCGATTCTCATACCTCAGCCTCCCAAGTAGCTGGGATAACAGGCATCCACGACCACGCCTAATTTTTAAATTTTTGGTAGAGATGGGTGTTTCACCATGTTGACCAGGCTGGTCTTGAACTCCTTTCCTCAAGTGATCCTCCCACCTTAGCCTTCAAAATTCCTTTTTAAAGTCATTTGAATAAGAGGAGGATAGAGTCAGAAACTGGAGGACACCTCCTATGTGTAATCCACATGCTATCTTGTTAAAACTCTAGCTCTAGAACTCCACAGGGTGATAATGAGGACATGTTCTTATCCATCTCAAGAGTCTTCCACAGCTCTTCAGAATGGAACAATGAGACAGAGTTTCACTCTGTCACCCAGGCTGAAGTGCAGTGGCAAGATCTTGGCTCACTGCAACCTCCACCTCCTGAGTTCAAGCGATTCTCCTGCCTCAGCCTCCCAAGTAGCTGAGATTACAGGCACCCGCCACCATGCCCGGCTCATTTTTCGTTATTTTTAGTAGAGACGGGGTTTCGCCATGTTGGGCAGGCTGGTCTCGAACTCCTGACCTCAGGTGACCCACCCGCCTCGACCTCCCAAAGTGCTGGGATTACAGGCGTGAGCCACCGTGCCTGGCCAGCATGTTTTAAGTTTTTTTTTTTTTTTAATCTGGGTAGATGGTCTCTTTGTGACTCCTGAAACTCACATGAGACTCACTAATGAAAAGTATATCCATTTCAAGAGCAAATAAAAAGAGCGGAACTGTACCAGCCAGCCAGTCCACACTACACCCACAAACTCCACCCACTGGAACCCATCCACTTCACATTCTATTTCTACCTTCTTCAAATCAGTAGGATCCATGCTCTATCGTCCATTCCTACTGCAGCCGCCTCTTTTGTGGCTCCCAAGGTTTCTTTTCTTGCTGTTTTTATTGAAGCAGGGTGTCACTCTATTACTCAGGCTGGAGTGCACCAGCACAATCATAGCTTACTACTGCAGCCTCAACCTCCCAGGCTCAAGCTATCCTCCCACCTCAGCCTCCTAATTTGCTGGGACCACAGGTGCGCACCACCATGTCCGGCTTATTTTTTACTTTTTGTAGAGACAGGGCCTCACTTTGTTGCTTAGGTTGGTCTCAAATTCCTGGGCTCAGCATGTAGTTGGTGATGGGGAGCTGCCCAGGAGCCCAGCTAGGGAATTGTTGTGTATAAATTTGTGTTTAGAAAGATCTTATTGTCTGTGGATGGAGTAGAGGGATTGGAGAGGTGAGACAGAATTCTGGAGAAATAGGAGGCCCTGACGGTGGCTGTGTGGCCACATGTAAGGCCACTGCCCTTACAATCACACAAGCGCTGATGTGAGTGTCTCATGTGAGTCTCGGGAACCACAAAGTATCTACCTAGATTTAAGAAAAAAAAAACAAAAAACTTTTTAGATCCTCCCAGCTCAGCCTCCCGAAGTGCTGGAATTACAAATGTGAGCCACCACGCCCAGCCCCCAGGGCTTCTCACCTGGATTAGCACAACTCCTCTCCACTTGGTGCCCCCACCTCCAGTCTCGCCCCTCTCCAATCACCCCACTCCATCCATAGCCAATAAGGTATTTCAAAACACAAATTTATGCACAACAACTCCCCAGCTGGAATCCTGGGACAGCTCCCCATCACCAACTACATGAAGTCACTGGCTGCTGGGAGTTTAATGCTGGTCAATGTGGATGATTTCTTTCATAAATGCAGTTCAATGCAAATGATTTACTTATTTAATATTAAATCAAGATGCTCCCCGTAATAATGTCATTCTCACCTGTAATTACTATGATTGATACCTATACTTGCGTATTGTAATTTGGTGCTACCGTGTCTGTCAGTCTGTCTAGGCAGCAGCGCCCTGGAGAGACAGGACACTTCCCGTGAGCTGTCCACCTTGGCTGAACCTCTGGCCACCTCCTCCTTGCCAGACAGAGTGGACATTCCTCCAGACAGACTGGGTGTTCCTCCACTCCCAGCACAAGAGCTACTGGGTGGGCGGTGGTGCATCTCCCTCCGGACACACACTAGAAATCTGGAGCAATAGAAGGACCTGATGGAGGGCTAGGTGGCCACATGTAAGGCCACTGCCCTCACAATCACACAGGCTCTTCACAAACATCCTCCCAGCTCCAAGTCCAGAGACCTCAACAGTTCTTTAGGCAGAGCGAATGGAAAGAGGGCAACAGATTAGGGCCTTTATGTTTCTTATCTAATGTCACTTCAAGGCCCTGCCTGACATTTCTGACCAGCCACCTGATATCCTCAAGCCCTTCTTCCTAAGGATGAGGCCCACTTTCTTCTAACTACACTAATAACTCTCAAACATCTGGCAGCAGGGCCCCTTTACGGTCTTAAAGGTTCCTGAAGACCCTCAAAGAGCTTTTTTATGAGTTTCATTTATCAACATTTTCCGTATTGAAGGTTAAAACAGAAAAACATAATTGATATATTTATGAATTCACTTAAAAATCAAACTTATTATATATTCAAATAAATAACATTTCTACAAATAACTATATTTTCAAAAATTGTCAGTTATCTTGTCACTTGTCTCAGGTGGCTTTTTTTAGATTTTTGCAAATCTCTTTAATATCCAGCTTCATAGAAGACAACTGGATTCTCATTTTTTTTGTTGTTGTTGTTGTTTGTTTTGTTTTGTTTTGTTTTGTTTTGAGACAGAGTCTCACTCTGTCACCCAGGCTGGAGTGCAGTGGCGCAATCTCAGCTCACTGCAAGCTCTGCCTCCCGGGTTCACGCCATTCTCCTGCCTCAGCCTCCCAAGTAGCTGGGACTACAGGCGCCCGTCACCTCGCCCGGCTAATTTTTGGTATTTTTTAGTAGAGATGGGGTTTCATCGTGTTAGCCAGGATGGTCTTGATCTCCTGACCTCATGATCTGCCCGCCTCAGTCTCCCAAAGTGCTGGGATTACAGGTGTGAGCCACCGCACCCCACCTTGGATTCTCATTTTTGGTGCCACATTCAATGGGTTGAAATACACTGTTTTGGTTGAAGTATGTGAGAAAAATCTGGCCTCACAAAGATACATAATGGCAGGAGTATCAGAATATCCAAATAATTGAGAATATTATTATTTGATATTACAACAAAATTGAGTAAGTGGTAGTTTCTTAAAGATCTGTTGCAATCTATTTGAATAAAATATTTAAACTCTCACTATAGGCAACATAGTGAGACCCCATCCCTACAAAAAATCCAAAAAAAAAATCTAGGCATGGTGACTCACACCTGTAGTCCCAGCGACTCAGGAGGCTGAGGCAGGAGGATCACTTGAGCCCAGGTCAAGGATGCAGTGAACTGTGAAACAAACAAATAACAACAAAAAATATACACACACGCACACAACAGAACATCAAGCGGGGTGTGGTGGCTGACCCCTGTAATCCCAGCACTTTAGGAGGCCAAGGCAGGTGGATCACCTGAAGTCAGGAGTTCGAGACCAGCCTGGCCAATATGGCAAAACCCCATCTCTACTAAAAATATGAAAATTAGCCAGGCGTGGTAGCAGGCACATGTAATCCCAACTACTCAGGAGGCTGAGGCAGGAGAATTGCTTGAACCTGGGAGGCGGAGGTTGCAGTGAGCCGAGATCGCGCCACTGCACTCCAACCTGGGCAACAGAGCAAGATTCCGTCTTAAAAAAAAAGAAAAAAAAACACCTATCCTCTGGTGAACTTTTTGTACCCTATTACATTAAAATCCACTGGTCTAACATTGAACGGATCTTTTACCTATGGATGATTTTATAATATCATGGATTGGTCATCTGGAAATATTTGTTCACTGAATTATGCAGCTGTTCCAAATGTGGGCACATTTCATTCTACAACATTAATTCCATTCATTAATATCACTATGGATCTCACCAGAAACATCTTTAAGTCTTGGGAAGCTGCCAGGCTCACAGCGGCAGATACAAGTTTTCCAAAACCAATTTTCACTTGAAGGTTCAAATTTCATGACTGGCAGCAAATACTGTCAGCTGTATTCCTTGAAGTGACAGCTCACTAAGTTCATTTTCAAAAACACGTCTGCCGTGGACACAGGCCTCAACATCCAGAGGCGGCCTGTCGGTGATTCCTTTGGGACGTGCTGCGTCCATGAAGGCAGCAGATGCTCCTCCTCCAGGCAGCCACTGGGCTTTGCCTGCAGGAGAAGGAGCAGCACACACAGTCTGAAAAAGATGTGTGCTTAACAGTCAAGATTTAGTAAAAGTCATCATTTTCACTGCTTTATTAGCAAGGACATTCTCTCCATGTGCATGGCAAAGAAATCAGGAACTAGTAGTACAGCTTGGCACCGCTGTCTTGATTCATCACTTTTGCACTGTCAGTGCAGGTATCAACAGAGTGGAAAAGGCCAATGGTGTTCCATTATTATGAAAACAGTTTTGACCTTGTGGATCCCTGCAAGGGTCTAGGAGAAGCCCCAGTGCACAGGGCACATGCTGTGAGCAGACTGAGCATCCTTCTCTGTCTGCTGAATGTTGGTCTGCTGGTCTGCTATTTTCAACCCCCTGACCTCTTAACATAAATGTTTCAGTGGAGACATTATGATACAGTTTTGTTTTGTTTTGTTTTGAACTAAACTTTGTTTCTCCCTCTGCACAGGTTCCACTTCCTCTCACTGCTAGCCATGTTACTTATGTAACTTTAGGTAAGCCATTCAACTAAAACGTCAGTTACCTCATCAGTAACACGGAGAGAATGATCCCTAGGTAATTTATGGTGCTGTTGAGCCTTAAAGATAATGTATGTGGAAGCCTTTTGTAAACTATCCATTTTGTATCAGTATAGTTTTGTTGAATCCCTACTATGTGCCAAGCACTGCCCTATGGACTAGCATAGACTAGACTAGGTCCTTGCTTTATGATGAAAAGCTCACATCTCCAGGAGGAAGTAGGGAGAAAAATATCAGAGAAATAAATAGCCATCAGGAGGGTTTATGAGTGACAGGGTGGCTGCTTCAGATGGGGTGATGGTGGGCCTCTCTGAGGAAGGGACCTAGATGCTAAGTATGAACGACGAGAAGGGGCCAGGTGTGCAAAGATCAGAGAGAAAAGCATTCCAGGAGTTTCTATCCAAGAAGCAGAAAAGGCAGGCAGAGGCCAAATCATGAAGGCTTTGTGAACCAGCAAGAGGAGTCTGAGTTCTACTTTAAGCACAGAGGAAGCCAATGGAGACCACCAGTAAGGAAGTAACAGAATCTGATTCACACTTTTGTGGGGAAAAGCAAGAGAGATCAGATTGTTACTGTGTCTGTATAGAAAGAAGTAGACATAGGAGACTCCATTTTATTCTGTACTAAGACAAATTCTTCTGCCTTGAGATTCTGTTAATCTATGACCTTACCCCCAACCCCGTGCTCTCTGAAACATGTGCTGTGTCAAACTCAGGGTTAAATGGATTAAGGGCGGTGCAAGATGTGCTTTGTTAAACAGATGCTTGAAGGCAGCATGCTCCTTAAGAGTCATCATCACTCCCTAATCTCAAGTACCCAGGGACACAAACACTGCGGAAGGCCACAGGGACCTCTGCCTAGGAAAGCCAGGTATTGTCCAAGGTTTCTCCCCATGTGATAGTCTGAAATATGGCCTCGTGGGAAGGGAAAGACCTGACCGTCCCCCAGCCCGACACCCGTAAAGGGTCTGTGCTGAGGAGGATTAGTAGAAGAGGAAGGCATGCCTCTTGCAGTTGAGACAAGAGGAAGGCATCTGTCTCCTGCCCGTCCCTGGGCAATGGAATGTCTCGGTATAAAACCCGATTGTACGTTCCATCTACTGAGATAGGGAAAAACTGCCTTAGGGCTGGAGGTGGGACATGCGGGCAGCAATACTGCTTTGTAAAGCATTGAGATATTTATGTGTATGCATATCTAAAAGCACAGCACTTAATCCTTTACCTTGTCTATGATGCAAAGACCCTTGTTCACGTGTTTGTCTGCTGACCCTCTCCCCACTATTGTCTTGTGACCCTGACACATCCCCCTCTCGGAGAAACACCCACGAATGATCAATAAATACTAAGGGAACTCTGAGGCTGGCGGGATCCTCCATATGCTGAACGCTGGTTCCCTGGGTCCCCTTATTTCTCTCTCTATACTTTGTCTCTGTTTCTTTTTCTTTTCCAAGTCTCTCGTCCCACCTAACAAGAAACACCCACAGGTGTGGAGGGGCAACCCACCCCTTCACACTTTCAAAAAATCCCTCTGGCCAGGTGTGATGGCTCACGCCTGTAATCCAGCACTCTGGGAGGCTGAGGTGGGAGGATCACTTGAGCTCAGGAGTTCAAGACCAGCCTGGCCAACATGGTGAAACCGCATCTCTACTAAAAATACAAAAAATCAGCCGGGCATGGTGTCATGCACTGGTAGTCCCAGCTACTCGGGAGACTGAGGCACGAGAATCTCTTGAACTCGGGAGGTGGAGGTTGCAGTGAGCCGAGATCACGCCATTGCACTCCAGCCTGAGAAACAAGGAGAGACTCCATTTCAAAATAAATAAAAGATCCCTCTGACTGCTATGTGAAAAACTGGTTGTAGGGCAAGAATGGACATAGGGAGACCAGTCAGGACACAAATGCAGTGTCCAGACAAGAGACGGTGGCTGCCTGGACTGGGGCTGCATCAGTGGAGACAAAATGAAGCAGGCCAATGTAAGACATGCTTTGGAAGTAACGCTGATGGGTTCTAATGAATTGGATGGGGCGATAAAGAGAGGGAGAGGAAAGAATTAAGGATAAACTCTAAACTTACAGCTTGAACAACTGAGTGGATGGTGGTTGTGGCAAGCGGTGATGGAGAAAACTAAGAAAAAGCAGGCAGTAGGCATCTGAGACAGAAATTTCAGGCCAGATCAGAACTAAAGATTGGGGGTTTAAGCATCACTGGCATGTAGACACTATTTAAAATCATGGGCCCCGATGAGATCTGCTAGGGAGGGGCACACCCAGAACAGAGAATGGGGTCCAAGATCAATTCCTGGGGTGCCCCTGCATTTAGGTGTCAGGTAGCAAAGGAGTCTGAGAAGGAACAACTAGTGACCTAAGAGGAAAATCCGAGTTTCGTGGAGACACAGAAGCAAGTGAGGAAAGAGCTTTATGAAGAGGCCATGGTCCACATTGTGGAATGCTGCTGAGAGGTGAAATAAGAACAGAGAAGGACAGAGAAGAGAACTTTAGATTTAGCAACAAACTGGGGCCATATGGAGACCAGTCTCAGGGGAGTGGAACAGGGCACAGTTGGAATGTGGAGAGGACGCAAGGTGAGGAAAGCAGAGGGGGTAGTGTAGATTATGAAGGATTGCTATTACCCTTGCTGAAAAGACCGCATAAACCTTTGGCAGTCCATGTATTAGTTGAACAGATCTACTCTGCTTCCTCCATGACCTGGGCAAAGTATGGCTACAGAGCAATGCAACTGAGTCTAGAGAATGGTTTACAAAATAGCCTTCTTCATCTAACCGTTTCATCCCCTACACATGTAGACATAGGATGCCTGTCAGTGGTCCTACACATGCATGGAAATAGTGTCTGACAATGACACCACACATGTGTACACAGAATGTGTCTGCCAGGGGTGCTACATGCATGTAGACAGAGTGTCTGTCAGTCTACATGTGTGTAGACATAGCATGTCTGTCAACACTTTCAGAGCAATAGCTCTCAAGCACCCGTCATTCCATCCCACATATTCCAGGCAAAAGAGTCATCTGAGACCAGTTATCCCCACTGTCCACTTTCCAGTAGGAAAATGAACTCTGTGATAACTATAAAGTATCACAGTTAGACCAGGCACGGTGGCTCACACCTGTAATCCCAGCACTTTGGGAGGCCGAGGCAGGTGGATCACCTGAGGTCAGGAGTTTGAGACCAGCCTGGCCAACATAGTGAAACCCCGTCTCTAATAAAAATATGAAAAAAATTGGCCAGGCATGGTGGTGGGCACCTGTAATCCCAGCTACTCGGGAGGCTGCGGCAGGAGAATCGCTTGAACCCAAGAGGCGGAGGTTGCAGTGAGCCAAAAACACAAATAGGGGAGATATATACGTATCTGTTTTAGCCAAAGGTCTGTGAATGATTCATTTTGAACTACAATTCATATATGTCTAGTTATTTGAAAATTGCAAGCTAAAAACACTATGGATACATATATGCCTCATTCACTATACATAGTAGAATTAACCAAACAACAAACTAACTTGATAATAATTTTAAAGTAACAGTAACTTAGAAATTAAAATGTGGTAAAAGTGGCATTTGAAAACCAAGACTGATTCAAAACAAAGATGGCAGGAATCCCAACTGAGAGCGGGCAAGGGCTGTAGCTCTGGAAGGATGCCAAGTGTTGGGTGGCAAAAAAAACTTCTTGGGAGTCATCAGTCAGTCAACTTTGGTAAAGATGTCAATTTGAGGAATCTGTAGCAAGGCTACTAAATAGGAGCCAGTAAGAACTAATGAATATATGTACAAAATAAAAGCGTATGGAATTGCACATTAACCACAAGAAGAAGCAAAATCTCAGCTTGCATTTAGGACAGTCAGTGGCCACCAGGAAGTAGTTGATGTAGCTCCTAGCACAGAACAACCACGCCCACACATTTCACTTTACAAACATGCTGCTCCACCAGACTGGAGGCTACGTCCAGCACAGTGGGACTGTGTGGCCTGGAGGCCTGGGTAACAGAGATTCTTACGTAGGTAACCCACTGGTCAAAAAACACCCCAGGGCCAGGTGCTGTGGCTCACACCTGTAATCCCAGCACTTTGGGAGGCTGAGGCAGGTGAACGACCCGAGGTCAGGAGTTCAGGACCAGCCTGGCCAACATGGTGAAACCCCATCTCCACTAAAAATACAAAAAAAACTAGCCAGGCGCCTGTAATCCCAGCTACTTGGGAGGCTGAGGCAGGAGAATAGCTTGATCCTGGGAGGCGGAGGTTGCAGTGAGTCAAGACCACACCACTGCACTCCAGCCTGGGCAACAAGAATGAAACTCCATCTCAAAAAAAAAAAAAAAAAAAAAAAAAAACCACCCCAGGCTGAGCGTGTTGGCTGATGCCTGTAATCCTAGCATTTTTGGAGGACAAGGCAGGAGGATTGCTTGATCCCAGGAGTTCAAGACCAGCCTGGGCAACACAGTGAGACTCCCCAACCCCAGACACACTGGCGCACACTTATAGTCTCAGCTACTGGGGAGGCTGAGGTGAGAGGATCACTCAGGCCCAGGAGGTCGAGGCTGCAGTGAGCCGTGTGATCTCACCACTGTACTCCAGCCTGGATGACAGAGCAAGACCCTGTCTCAAAAAAAAAAAAAAAAAAAAAGAAACAGAAAAACACTCCACAAATGGGGTTGTTCAGCCTGCAGTGTTGGACTACAGTGTGTTTGGTAATAAATCTGAATTAGTATGAATATTTACAATAAAAGAAAAAAAAAGTTTGCTGACTTCTCAAAGACAAAGAGAGAGGCCTGGCCATAGCCCAGTTGCCCCTTCAGTTATGGCATCAGGGAGCCCCTGTTCCCACCCTCCAGAAACTGTCACACACACTGTGCCAAATGTCAGCTGCCATTTGTCTTTATCTTTGAACCTATGCCATTATTCTTCTTAAATGTGGCCTGTTTCATTCTCTTATGCTACCATCCCCACTCAATATCATTTGAGTTTGCAACTTCTGTCCTATAGCATGTGTGATACGGTCCTTGAGGGAAGAGATGACAAGATTCCAAAGGACCTGACCTTTGGAAGAGGGAAGAGATGACAAGATTCCAAACTCCCACACACTCAACTGAAGATGTTAGCTGCTGATTTTCTCCACCGAAAAACAGATACAGCAAACTTTCTCCCCAGCTCCTTTCTAAGCAGCAATCTCAGTAGTCACTAAGAGTCACAGAACTTTTGTTTCTCTTAACAACCTGTGAAAAGCTTATTAGGGAATGTTGATCATTCACAAATTAATGTTTTAATTAAAAGGTCAAACGTATACCCATTAATCAGTTTCAAACTGTTGGAACATAGGTTTAGGACAGCAGAGAGAACCACATTTCAAAATAACAACAACAAAAAAACTGCCCTCCACAAAGAATTTTTTAAAAAGTCTTTTCATATATGTATAGCAACCACAAAAGCTTTTAACTATATAGTTACTACTAAAGATGTCCATAAGATAGAATTTATACAACCTCCCCCAATGACTAACTTATTTAACTCCTTAAAATGCTTTTGGATGAAACAAATTTTCCTAACCTTTTAGAAGTAAGCCAAGTCAGTAGCTAACTGGTTACTACTGACTGACTGACTAGAGTTACCAGAAGTTTTATTTATTTATTTATTTTTGAGACACAGTCTCACTCTGTCCCCTAGGCTGGAGTGCAATGGTGCGATTTCGGCTCACTGCAACCTCTGCCTCCCAGGTTCAAGCGATTCTCCAGCCTCAGCTTCTCGAGTAGCTGGGATTACGGGCACCTGCCACCAAGCCCAGCTAATTTTTGTATTTTTAGTACAGACAGGGTTTCACCATGTTGGCCGGGCTGGTCTCAAACTCCTGACCTCAGGTGATCCGCCTGCCTTTGGGAGGCCTGCCTTGGCCTCCCAAAGTGCTGAGATTACAGGCGTGAGCCACCGCGCCCAGCCCAGAAGTGTAATCTTATATATGTTCAACATCATATACTAAAAAACAATAATATTCCATAAACATATACATAAGCCTAGAGAAAATCAAACATTGTAACACCAACTTCCTCTTTTATACCACTGAAATGTGCAAATAAAAGCAGCCTGGAGGGAGAAAATAACTTACAAAAAGACAAATTATAAGTGTGCATAGAGGAGAAGCAGTACTACCCTTTTGCTTTTGAGGCCAGGAAATAGATGGGTGTTTTATGAAGGACAAATCCAACAAAATTCGGCTGTTTTCTTTCCTACCAGCTGCTTGTGAGTCACTCTCCACACTCCAAACACCATGCGGACACCCTAAAACCTGCACCCAAGTCTCGACGCCTCATACCCTAACTCACGATTAAAGAAATCCTGTTTCCAAGTTACAGCAACAGGACACTACATAAAAGGAGGAAAATCTAGCTTCAAGAGAAATTGTTTAGAAGACTAGAATGAAGTTCAGTGTAACTTTATAATAACTTTGCACTAATTTGTTACTAGTTGAACATTTTCCAGTAATCTCATTTCCTAGCATAGTATATCAGACTTCTGCACTTCACCCAGCTTGGATATTTTAAAAAGTAGACTAATCATGTGGGTATAAAGATTATATCGCACGTTGTCCTTCCTCTAAGTGTTTACAGAACTAAGTAGTATGCCAAAGAGCATGTAAATACTCGCAATGCTCTATTTTCAAATTTGCTTAACTTTTATTATCTGAATTAGAACTTAGTTGGAATTGAATTAACACTACCCAGTGAATAATGACTAACCAAAACAGCATTTTCCATTTTCAACCAAAAACTGCAGTCTGAAATGGCTTTTGCTTTCTAGTTGACTTACAACGTGTGGCTAGGGGGAAATGTCGGCGCTTTCCCAAGGACACTTTTCGGGCTGTAAACTTTCTTTGTTGGGGAAACTACCAAGTTCAAGGGGTGCCTTCAGAATCCACTTACCCGATCCTTCATCCTCCAGCTCTGAGCTAAGGATTTGGAGCCTTCAATTTTCTCACAGTGCCTCTTTTTCATAAAAGCCAAAGGTAGGTTCCAGTCTGTAAGATCAGCCTCATCTTCCTCCCCCAGGCCCAGAAGAGGCGATTGCAGCATTTCGGACTCCATCAGTGGGGGAGGGGGTGGGGGAGTCCTTGGCAGCAAGCGCTCGAGAACCTCCAGCCTTAAAAACTAGCGTGTACCAGAATTGGTGAAATAAGAAACAAAAACGGGAAATCGAAAACCAAATGGATAAAGAGTGCGGAGACCCTTACTCAGGCAAAAGTCTGAGATCCTTATCTCTAACTCTGAGCGGGAAGTGGGGAGGTGGGGGCCGCTAGGAAATGGGGCAGCCCAAGAAGCTCCGCAGACACACACCACCCCAGGTCCCAAGCCACTGGCTGCTCCTGAGGCTGTACGTTTCCAGAGGGGCTGCGAGGGGAGCTGCCAAAAGCGTAAGAGACTTCAGGCCTCACGATGACCCTGCTCTCGGCCTCCACCGCCTCAGCAGTTCCGAAGACAGGCAGGCCGCTCTTGGTGCCGGTTCGCCCACTGGGCCGACTGGGCTGAGGTCTCCGGCCAAGGGATCGGGTTCAAAGGGCCCTGGGTCTCCTCCAGCCACTCTCAGCCCTGCGGGTCCCGCACTCGTCTGAGCTGCTGCAACCAGAGCCACGACCGGCCCATCGTGCTCGCCTGCACCCGGTTCCTCAACCTCAGGTCCGCGCGGCCTGGCTGGTCCTGGCCTTCAGCCCCGAGGCTCTCTCCTGCCTGAGAACGAGTCCTGAGAAACGGGCGACACGGAACCACGGAGGAAAGGGACAATGTGGGCTTATTGGGTCATGGGAGCTTTGCCCTCTGGTTTGGAGCTACAGTGAAACTCATCTCATCAGCCCATCAAGGAGGACGCCATATTGCCAGGACCCAGAATGCACCGCGGCCTACGGCGTGGCCGACAGACCAAACCTCCTCAGAGCGGTCTCTCCCCGCCACCCAGCATGCAGCGAAGGAGAAAGAGTCCCCGACCCCGTTACCTCGGTTACCATAATTCCGTTTTCCCCAGTTAATCGCCATTTGTTCAGTAGAGGCGTGTTATTAAAGTCAATCCTACAAATGAAACTGTCGGTTTAATTTATTTTTTCAAAAACATTGTCATTATAAATGAAGTTACATGCTCCTGAAATTAAAGGAATCAACCGCCTTGTTTCTTCCAGATTTTGAAAAAGCGGCAAAAGCTTCACTGATAATATTAGAAAATATTAAAAAGCACTGATAATATTAGAAAATATAGTACTTTTTTTTTTGGAGTGTAGTGTCCTCCACAGTGTCAATCAGATTTTCTCTTTAATTTTTTCATAGAGAACCAAGTGAAAGGCCGGGCGCCGTGGCTCACGCCTGTAATCCCAGCACTTTGGGAGGCCGAAGCGGGCAGATCACGAGGTCAAGAGATCGAGACCAGCCTGGCCAACATGGTGAAACCCCGTCCCTACTAAAAATACACAAATTAGCTGGGCGTGGTGGTGCGCGCCTGTAATCCCAGCTACTCAGGAGGCTGAGGCAGGAGAATTGCTTGAACCCGGGAGGCGGAGGTTGCAGTGGGCCAAGATCGTGCCACTGCACTCCAGCCTGGGAGACAGAGCAAGACTCTTCAGATGAAGAAGGGTCTGAAGCAACAGAAGAAGAGTCTGGAGCAAGATTCGATGAAAAAAAATTTCATCTAATACAATTTTTTGTTTAATCTGTTTCGTTTTCTGAGCAGTTTATCCTTTTTAAATTTTTTTCCCACTTCTTGGTAGCAGTAGTTTATTCTTATTTTGATATAGCTTCACGTGCAGACATCTAAAACTACATGTCTGTGCGTGGAGGCAAGCCTCTTGTGTGACTCTCTTTTTCAATTCAGGAAATTTGGCTCATTTACAATGTATAGAGAACTGTGTAAGGTGGACTATAAAACCAAATGTAGGCAGGGCACCGTGGCTCACGCCTATAATCCTAGCCCTTTGGGAAGCCGAGGAGGGTGGATCACGAGTTCAGGAGTTCGAGACCAGCCTGGCCAACATGGTGAAACGCCGTCTCTAATAAAAATACAAAAATTAGCTGGGCGTGGTGGCGTGCGTCTGTAGTCTCAGCTGCTCGGGAGGCTGAGGCAGGAGAAGAGCTGGAACCTGGGAGGCAGAGGTTGCAGTGAGCCGAGATTACACCACTGCATTCCAGCCTGGGTGACAGAGTGAGATTCCATCTCAAAAATAAATAAATAAATAAATAAATAAATAAGAATAAAACGAGGCCAGGCGTGGTGGTGCACGCCTGTAATCCCAGCACTTTGGGAGGCTGAGGTGGGTGGATCATGAGGTCAGGAGTTCAAGACCATCCTGGCCAAGATGGTCTTGATCTCTCAGGATGGTTTTCCGGGGCTTAGACACATGTGGCCATCCATATCAAAATCTTGATGGCATTTGTGTTCCTTTCAAAATGAGAATGAAGAATACAATCCCAGACCTTTCTCACCCAGCACAAAGCAAGCCTTTAATAAAGGCTACAGGATTAAATCATTGTCATTCCGCACATTCGTTTGGTTATTACACCCCATGGAGCCAATTCTCCTATTGAAACTCAGGGCACCCTCTCTGTTGGCAGAGACTATCCTCACAGTTACCAGCAGAGGCTTCAGGGATGCAGGGTCTTAGGAAGACCCCGTTCTCATCTGAAGGCAACAAAATCACTCCTGTCCTCTGCCTTGTCACCTTGCTCCCCACCTCCGGTGGCTGTAGACAGCTGCATTCCAGCAGCTCTTGCAGGAAGTCACAGTTACAGAAAAGCAGCAACGCTAAACCCATTCATCCCTAACTAGCTCTGTGACCTGGGAAAGCCCACTGAATCTGTGTGAGACTCAGTTTCCTCACCTATAACGTGTGTGACCTTGGGAAATCCATTTTTCGTATCTGAAATTCTAAACGAAGGTGTCAGTGAGCACGTTGAAGTCCAAACCCACCAGGTGGTCAGAATCGCCCAGGAAACTAAAATTCAGGATGCCCAGCTTCCAACCCAGAGCCCCAGATCGGGGAGCAGGGAGACCGGGATTCAGAATCTGCATTTTTTTTTTTTTGCAGTTTTTACAGTTTTATTTAAACACAAAACATGCACATGAGCTGTCTGCTCGTTTTCTTCACTGCGCAGACTGGCATGGGGGTCAGTGACTCTGATGGCCAGCTGGGCGGCTCTTTCTGTGGTGGCTTCGCGGTTCCTGGAGGAAACACTGTGAGCGATCTCAGCGCAGTAAGAAGTGTTGTACATCAGCAGCACTTCCAGCTCCTTGACGTTGTAGACTGAACTTCCAGAAGCCAGTGGGCAGCGTGTGCTTTGTTTTTTTGTTGCTCCCATAACCAATGTTGGGCATCAAGATCTGGCCCTTGAACCTTCTACCAACCCTGTTGTCAATACCTCTGGGTTTCTGCCAGTTACGCTTAATCGTGACACATCGGTCTGACTGGTGCCGGATGAACTTCTTGGTTCTCTTTTTGATGATCTTGGGCTTCACAGGGGGTCTGAGGGCGGCCATGATGCCAAGGAGGAGATGGCTGCCCCCTCCATAGGCAGCGCCAAGGAAGAGAGCCAGAATCTGAATTCTTAAATCAGGTCGCTCTGAGGATAGTTCACAGCCAGGCAGACTTGGAGGTCTTAGACAATATTCGCTCTAAAGTCTCCTGCAGTGATTCAGTTCGGGTCCCATATTGGGCCCTTAATCAATATGTGTGGCAAATGAATGAATGCTATGAAGTAATTGTCCAGACTTCCATCTGACAAAGCAGAAAGAGACTCACCTTCTCCTCAAAACAGCAGAACAAAACACACCCTCTACTGTTTAACACATGTGACCCCGAGCCAGGGGTCCACTCGGGTCCTGGACTGAGGATGAAGACACACACACATTCTATGGTCCCCAACCTGCCACCAATTCCTGCAGATTTCAGCAAAGCCTCTGCCCTCCTCCACCCTTGGTCTCCACGTCTGTGACATCAGGAACTTGGAGAAGGCGAATTTCTAAGGATCCTTCCAGTTTGAAATTCTGTGATTCATGTAAAGACCAGAAAGGGGCTTGTGACTGCTCAGCTCTCACCCTGAAGGTTCAAGGATGGGCCTGAATCATTTTATGGCATCTTGACATTTAAAAGAAACCTCGTTCTAGTATGTCACGGATGATTCTCTTCAAGTCCCAGCCAAGCATTTGGAAGTGGCTCTAGGTTTTTGAAAGGCAGTGAGCATCTGTGAGTAATGGCAGCCTGGAAATTCAAGGGCTGACTTGTCTCACCTGGGTGATTCCATGACTGTGGCATGTGGTGGGCTGGCCACTCGGGGCTGCAGTTCCAATTTCCAATGTCTCCAGTTCTTCACAAGCAAGGACATCTATTGTCCACAGAGACTTTAAATAAGATCCTTTTTTTTTTTTTTTTTTTTTGAGACAGAGTCTTGCTCTTGTCGCCCAGGCTGGAGTGCAGTGGCGCAATCTTGGCTCGCTGCAACCTCCGCCTCCCGGGTTCAGGCGATTTTCCTGCCTCAGCCTCCCGAGTAGCTGGGATTACAGGTGCCCGCCACCACGCCTGGCTAATTTTTGTAATTTTAGTATAGACGGGGTTTCACCATGTTGGCCAGGCTGGTCTTGAACTCCTGACCTCAGGCGATCCACCCGCCTTGGCCTCCCAAAGTGCTGGGATTACAGGCATGAGCCACCGTGTCCAGCTAAAATACTTTAATCTTAAAAACAAAATGTTAGGAATCTCAGAAAACACACAAACCTGGTTTGATTCAAGCTATGAAAACGGTCATGACCAGCCTGGGCAAAATAGTGAGACCCTGTCTCTA